>NC_000004.12:42839016-43148440 GCF_000001405.40 Homo sapiens | reverse complement strand
TGCAACACAAGCCATGCAAACTTCTTTTCCATTTTTGTAACCCCTGCACAGAGAGATGAAAACACTACTTTTGTTATTTTTTTTTCCTTAAAGGGGTCTCTCTGTTCTGCAAGAGGTTGCAGAAACTGCTACTTCACAAAAACATCTTTTCCCAAAGAAGTTACTTCATATCCTAAATAAATTAATGTAACATGTGTATAGTCAATTTCTGTTTTATAAATGGAATCTCAGCTCATGGGTGGGTCAGTCAACAAATGAAACATCAATGCAAGAAATAAAATAAGAGAGGAAATTACCAGTCAATCCACACAGAAAGCAGATTGGTTTCTTCTTGAAAACCATGGAGAATAAGATAGCTGGATTACACCAACCAGAGTACAATGATATTGCAAACAAAGAGATAAGTTGTCTTGATTCTATATATTGTATTACTGCACAGGATCATGTACTCACCTAAAGATCACAAAACTCTTTGTGGCATGGGGAACTGGGTTAGTAGAGAGGTAGAATGAGAAAGAAAATTTAATGAATTGATAATACACTAATTAGAAAGTCTTTTGATGAAAGGGGAAGTTAAATGAACTCATGGGAAATGCTATAGCTTTAACCAAGTCGCCAACACATCCTGAATACTATTGTCATGTATGTATGTGTTCCTCTTAGAATTCTTTCAGTTACAGTGTTTTCCAACACTCAATAAAGAAATTAAGGTGGATGTGAAATGTGAATCCAAGCTCAAATATACTCCATGTCTTATTTTAGACCCTGCTCAGAGACGTGGCCTGAGTCAAATCAATAATTTAAAAAAATCAAAGCAGCATGAAATTTAAAGTCACCTTCTACTTTATCTTAGAGAAAATATGCTTAACATACAATAGAGCAATAGATAAAGTTTTTAATGATGTCAGAGACCTCAAAAATGTTCATTAATACACTGAGAAAGAAATAAAGTAACTGAGGAATAATGGAAAGGAAGAAAGAGCAGGAAAAAGAGAGGGAGGATGAGGATGAGAAAAGGAAAAAAGAAGGAGAGAAATTAAAAAAAAAAAGAAAGAAAAGATGGAAAAAAGGAAATAGAAGATGGAAGTTAGAAAATCAAGCCCGAGACCTGGCAATAATTCCCTTCTGAAGGCTGCAGTTACCTCATCTGTACTGACAGAGCCTGGGGCCAGATGTTCCCTATATCTATAGCAACTCAGTTAAAGGTGAAATTACAATGGTTATTTCTGCACACTGATTTACCTCAGCTTTATACAGTGCAGAATTGCACAGGAATTATAATTGCCTTAAAAATTCTTCCTCCTTAAGCTGTTACCTGTGGGACCCCAGCTCTATTAACATCCGTGGTCCCATAGCCTTAGGTCTTCAAAGACCCTCCAACTACTTCCTTGCCCTAAAACAAACATCCCACCCTCAAGACCTCACTTCCTTAGACTCTTCCCCAAAACAGATCATTCTTCACAGAATTGAGAGATACTGTCAGAATATTTTTGATTCCCAATTCTGCATCCAATCCACTATTCTTCCACCCTCTGGTGAAATTCTGTATTTTAATTTTACATCAGCCTCCTCTCACAGCCAATCTCTGCAGTCCTCCACCTTCTCATTTCCCTCCAGCATGACTTCTTCAACTATCTTCAATAACTGCATTTGGTTTCTTAGACCCTACACACAAGCTCAATCCTGTCAACACTTAGAAACCTCTTCCTTGGCCTTAGAACCCCATTGTCACTTCTCATTCTCTCTTTTTCTCAACCAAAATTCTTAAAACACGTTCAGTATACTGTCTTGACTTACTTTCACTCCTTAATACACTGCAATCTAATGTCTGCCCCTGCGATGTTAGTGGGAGCCCCCACTCACCTGCCAATTGCCAAGTGAAAATAGCACTTATATTACTTAGACTTTCTGTAGTATTTGATGTTATTACATCATGAGCAGTCTCTCCCCCAACGTTGCTTACCCAACACCTGATCTCCTGGTTTTTCTTCTCTCTCATCACTGCGTCTTAGTCTCTTTTGCTTGACCCTAAGTGTTCCCTGGGGTTCTTTATCTTTTTTCCTTTCACAAAGCTCTCTCTCTTTACCCAAGCACATACATTCTTAAGTATTTAAATTTCACCTGTAGCTGCATGATAGAAGTTTTCTTAAACGTGGAATGAGAAAAGGAAAAAACAGACCTCCCTGAAGATGGGACATGAATAGGCACACAAAATGTTTAACACCATGCCTGGCACATAGGATAGACTCAAACACTTGCATTCATTATTTCTAAATATAAAGAAAATTTTTCAAACTCTAGCGATTGCCAAATATAACACTCTAGCAGATCTCTGTAGTGAACTTTAGCTTAAATACATTACTATACATTGCACCTATATATCTGACAAAGATCTCCAAAACATGTCTAAAACTAAAGTCTTATTCCCTTTACCTCCCCTTCATTCCCCCTTCCCAAAAAATTGTAAGTCTGCTGTTCTTCCTTGTTTATTCCCAATTTTTGGTTGAGGACAACTTGTCTCTCAAATCTGCAATGTGAGTCATTCTAAATCCCTTCTTCTAGATTGTATCAATGATGCATTTTCCCCACTTTCCCCATTCCCAACTATGGGATACATGAAATCCAGAGCATTCTACCTAGCTAACAACTGGGATCCATTTTCTCCTTTTCACCTGACCCTATGCTAGTTCAAATCCCTGTAATCTTATTCCTGAACTGCCTTTTCATTAGCCTTCCAGTCTTTGCCTCACTAGTCTAGAGTCTAGACTGGCAAAGAAAGACACTACTTAGGCAAAATACAGCCTACATTTGCCACTGATGGAAATAAACCCTTTTTCACAAACGCCTCATTTTAAGATGATAAAAACAGCATATACAGCTCTTCAATTTCCTAATTCTGCCTAACGAGACCATATCCATGGTCTCACCTTTTGTCAATTTCTTCTCTGAACTTAAATCCAGCAATATGAACCCCTTAATATTTTGGATACACCTTGCTGTCTCATGTTCTCATGAAAATACTATTTCTTCTGTTGGACTGTGCTTACACTTCTCATTGACCTGAAAACTACCTAACTATCTTTCAAATCCAAAATTATTAGTCTTCTCTCCTACAGTGCTTTAATTCCCATCATCCCAGAAAAAATTCATCACTGTTGGATTCAACCATGAAAGGGTCAAATTCAAATCTGGGCTTAAACTTTTTGTAACTATATGAACTTGGATAAGTCACTTAGCTTTTCCTTGTCTCATTTTCCCAAATTGCAAAATAGGCACAGCACTTGTGAGGCTTAGGAGTTATGAATAGCCAACAAAGAGCAAATGCTAAATGAACTGTAGTTATTATGTGCATATACAGAATTAGATAGATGCTATTAGGCAGTATATTATCATCAGTTTTGTTGTAATCATTTGTCTTCCCTATTGAATTATGGAGTTTGAGGAAAGAGACTGTGCTATCTGAACATCTGTATCTCCAGAACCTAATGCTGAACCTAGCATTTAGTAGCTCTTCAATAAACATTTGTTGAATAAATGCATACAATAATGAATATTCACTATTGTTATAGAGAAATTAGTGTTGGAAAATAACAAGGACTTAGGAGGCTTCCACACCACAGAAGGTCCTTTATTAAAGGCCTTTAGCTGATCTCCAGTTGCAATAACAGTGCATTTGTAAGTCAATATTCTTGGATTCTATAAAATAACTCTGTCACGGTTAGGGAGTGAGAATTAATGGAGACAAGAATATTTATAAATCTGTAATCAAATATACAGAAGTAAAGAAGTTCCATTTTTGTACCTCCTGAATCTTCTCACCTAGGAACATCTATCTCCATCCACACATATCAGTCTTGCTTCCAGGACAAATTATACTGCCTCCCACTTATAGCGCTACTGCTTTATGATTAGACCCCTTAGCCAGGAATTTTCTCTTTCTGGACACTATGAAGTTCTGGTTTACCTGCTTCTCCTGCCAGTCTCTGATGAGCTACCTCTGAGTAAATTCTAGATTCAAGCTCTTACTGATTATTATTCCTAGTGGCTTCTTATATACACATGCATTAAAGTAGTGCTTCCAGATTACTGTTCTACTGACTATTACATTCAGCGAACAAGAAAAATAATATGGGTAATAATACTAATCAGGCCCCCATTTGGCACCAGTCACTGTGCTAGGTAAGTAACACATGCTGCCTTGTTTAATTCTTACAACACAGAATTCTAAGAGACATACCAAGATTAGGTAACTTGTCACAGGAGGAGTAATTAACAAACTAAATTAATTAATAAAGCTGATGATTTTGCCTCTTAAGATAAAGCCACATTGCTTTTCTTTAACCTTGAAAATTAAACATGTACCAAAGAAAGTGTCAAATAATTATGCATTATTATGATATAATGCCTTCAAGCTAGAGTATAGTTAGATGAAAAGCTAGGTGATTGGTAAGATTGAGCTAATCACTAGACATAAATATGGTAAGAATATTTCCCAGTCTCACTGGAGAACCTGCTAGAGAACCCAACAGAGCTATGGTTAGTGAGTGCATAAAGTTCTTGTTCTTTCGTATTTTTATGGAAATACTTAGAGAACACATAAAGATGAAAATACAACCAAGTATAATTTAACCAAGAAATTATTTGTGCCCTTGGGTCTTTTTTCCTAAGTGCTTTGCCTTACCAGCCACCTAGTGACCCCCACTCCACCAGTACCAAACTTTGACAGTAAAGTGAAAACTAAAAGAAGTCATTCATGCTATCTTGAATTTAAAGAAGAAATCTTTGTTCTTAAGCCCAATTACTATTAAGTTCAGATTTGACTCCTTATAGAATTAGAAAGCTCTGTTATTTACATTGTCTAGGTGCCTTTAAAGTTGAGTGGAATCAAGCAAATTGAAGGGGAAACTGAAGATAATATACATATTTTATGTGGACTAACAGGAATTGACCAGAATAATATAATTTTACTCTATAAAAATGAAGAAACATGCTTTAGCTCTTGGATTATTGCCTATAATACGCGTCATGTATCAGACACTAAAGAACATTGAATGGACAGAAATGAAGCTGGCCACTGAGTGAGGATTATGAAAATTGTCTCTCATTTCTTACAGAGCATACTGAATAGATATTAGAATGTAAATGACATGATTACTTACATATAATTTCATCTCTCATATTTTCAAGGAATAGGAATACAAGTCTTGCAATAATATCCTTTATGAAAACATCTTTGGTAATCAATCTGCTATTTTTCTCTGAAAACAAATGCAGTATAAGTAATTCTTACTATTCTAGGAAACAAAATATATGATCTGATTCTAGTGAAACTGCTAATAGAGGAAAATATTTCTGCACTGATTCTAAAGGCAACACAGTAATGTATTCATTATTGCACAGACCTCAAGGTCGGGTTGATTTTATTACCCATGGCTAAGTCAGGAACTAAATTTTTGTGTACGTTTAGTATTTTCCATGACATTTCTATAAATGAAGTTATAGAAAAACCAAACATTTTTTGCAAAATGCTACAACCTTTAAGTTACCCAGAAGAGTAGTAAATCTGCTGGTTATTCTGTATTTGCCTCACAATCTCTGACCCCATTCATTTGTGACCATTTTCCTCCTGTGTGTACCCTAGGAGGATGCTCTATATGAACTGAATCAGTGGATTTCCTTGACAGTCGGTTTCCATCAGAGTGGTCATCTTCAAGAGATTGGAGGTCTGGAGGAGAAAGGGTCAGGACTCTTTTTTTTTAACATTTATTTTATTTTATTTTATTTTAAGTTACAGGGCTTATGTGCAGGACATGCAGGCTTGTTAGATACGTAAACTTGTGCCACAGTGGTTTGCTGCACCTATCAACCCCTCACCTAGGTATTAAGCCCAGCATGCATTAGTTATTTTTCCTGATGCCCTCCCTCCACTGCCCTCCTCTAACAGGCCCCAGTGTGTGTTGTTTCCCTCCCTATGTCCACGTGTTCTCACTGTTAGGCTCCCACTTATAAATGAGAACATGTGGTGTTGTTTGGTTTTCTGTTCCTGTGTTAGTTTGCTGAGAATAACGGCTTCTAGCTTCATCTATGTCCCGGCAAATGACATGATCTCATTCCTTTTAATGCATAGTATTTCATGTATATATGTACCACATTTTCTTTATCCAGCCTATCATTGATGGGCATTTGGGTTGATTTCATGTCTGTGCTATTGTGAATAGTGCTGCAATGAATATACATGTGCATGTATGTTTATAATAGAATGATTTATATTCCTCTGGGCATGTCCCTAGTAATGGGATTGCTGGGTCAAATGGTATTTATGGTTCTAAATCTTTGAGGAATTTCCACACTGTCTTCCACAATGGTTGACATCCAAATTGTAAATGTGTTCCCACCCACAGTGTAACAGTGCTCCTATTTCTCTGAAACCTCATCACCATCTGTTGTTTCTTGACTTTTTAATAATCACCATTCTGACTGGTGTGAGATGGTATCTCATTGTGGTTTTTATTTACATTTCTCTAGTGATCAGTGATGTTGAGCTTTTTTTCATGTTTGTTGGCCACATATATGTCTTTTTTTGAGAAGTGTCTGCTCATGTCATTTGCCCACTTTTTAATGGGATTGTTTACTTTCTTTCTTGTAAATTTGCTTAAGTTCCTTGTAGATTCTGGATATTAGACTTTTGTCAGCTGGATAGATTGAAAAAATTTTCTCCCATTCTGTAGGTTGTCTGTTGGCTCTGATGATAGTTTCTTTTGCTGTGCAGAAGCTCTAATTTTTGCTTTTGTTGCAATTGCTTTTGGTGACTTCGTCATAAAATCTTTGCCCGTGGCTATGTCCTGAATGGTATTGCTAGACTTTCTTCTACAGCTTTTATGGTTTTGCATTTTCATTTAAGTCTTTATCTTGAGTTAATTTTTGTACAAAGTTTAAGGAAGGGGTCTAGTTTCAATTGGCTAGCCAGTTCTCCGGCACTATTTATTAAATAAGAAATTCTTTCCCTATTGCTTGTTTTTGTCAGGTTTGTTGAAGATCAGATGGTTGTAGATGTGCAGTTTTATTTCTGAGTTCTCTATTCGGTTCCACTGGTCTATATGCCTGTTTTTGTACCAGTACCATGCTGTTTTGGATTACTGTAGCCTTGTAGTATAGTTTGACATTGGGTAATATGATGCCTCCAACTTTTTTCTTTTTGCTTAGGATTGTCCTGGCTACACAAGCTCTTTTTTGGCTCCATATAACTTTTAAAATGGTTTTTTTCTAATTCTGTGGAGAATGTCAATGGTAGTTTAATGGGAATAGCACTGAATCTATAAATTACTTTGGGCAGTATGGCCATTTTCATGATATTGATTCTTCCTATCATGAACATGGAATATTTTTCCATCTGTTTGTGTCCTCTGTGATTTCTTTGAGCAGTGGTTTGTAGTTTCCCTTGAAGAGGTCCTTCACTTCCCTTATTAGCTGTATTCCTAGGTATTTTATTCTCTTTGTGGCAAGTGTGAATGGGAGTTCATTCATGAGTTGGCTTTTTACTTGTCTGTTGTTGCTGTATAGGAATGCTTGTGATTTCTACACATTGATTTTGTATCCTGAGTCTGCTGAAGTCGACTATCAGCTTAAGAAGCTTTTGAACTGAGTCAGTGGGGTTTTCTATATATATTGGATAATGTCATCTGCAAGCAGAGACAGTTGACTACCTCTCTTCATATTTGAATATGCTTTATTTTTTTCTTTTGTCTAATTGCCCTAGCCAGAACTTCTATGTTGAATAAGAGTGGTGAGAGAGGGCATCCTTGTCTTGTGCCAGTTTTCAAGGGGAGTTCTTCCAGCTTTTGCCCATTCAGTATGATATTGGCTGCGGTTTTGTCATAAATGGCTCTTATTATTTTTAAGTATGTTCCATCAATACCCATTTATTGAGACTTTTTAACATGAAATGATTTTGGATTTTATTAAAGGCCTTTTCTGCATCTATGGAGACAATCATATGATTTTTGCCTTTAGTTCTCTTTATGTGATGAATTACATTTATTGATTTGCATATGTAGAATCAGCCTTGTATCCCAGAGATGAAGCCAACAATCCCCACATCAAAAATCGAGAAAGATCTCAAGTCAACATCCTAACATCACAAGTAAAAGAATTAGAGAACCAAGAGCAAACAACCTTCAGAGCTAGCAGAAGACAAGAAATAACCAAGCTCAGAGTGGAAGTGAAGGGCATAGAGACACAAAAACCCTTCAAAAAATCAATGAATCCAGGAGCTGTTTAAAAAAAAATCAATAAAATAGACTTCTAGCTAGACTAATAAGGAAGAAAAGAGAGAAGATTCAAATAAACACAATCAGAAATGATAAAGGGGATACCACCACTCACCCCACAGAAATACAAACAACCATCAGAGAATACTATAAATACCTCTATACAAATAAACTAGAAAATCTAGACAAAATGGATAAATTCCTGGACACACACACCCTCCCAAGACTGAACCAGGAAGAAGTTGAATCTCTGAATAGGCCAATAACACATTCTAAACTTAAGATAGTAATAAATAGCCTATCAACCAAAAAAAAGCCCAGGACTAGATTGATTTACAGCTGAATCCTACCAGAGGTACAAAGAGAAGCTGATACCATTTCTTCTGAAACTCTCCCAAACAATTGAAAAGCAGAGACTCCTCCTTAACTCATTTTATTAAGCCAGCTTCATCCTGATACCAAAACCTGGCAAAGATCCAACAAAAAAAGAAAACTTCAGGCCACTCTCCCTGATGAACATCACTGCAAAAATCCTCAATAAAATATTGGCAAACTGAATCCAGTGCACATCAAAAAGGATTCCTTTCTTTACTTGTGTCTTGCTTTAGTACTGCATTTCTTTCAGCTCAGTACTTTTTTAGGATTAAATCTCAAGCAAAAAGTCCTTCTCTATGGCTTCAAATGTTACAGGCCTCCATGAAATTATTTCTCCTTTCGATATCTGCATTCCTAGGAGTTACAATGGCTTCCTACTCTTGTTAGTCTCTGGGTCCCTCATCATCCCTTGCTGGTTCCACTAACCATGCCTATACCTCTATAAATTTTCCCCTTGTTAAGATGTCTTTTCCTGGAAAAAAAAAATCAAAGCTGGAGACATTGTAATACCTGACTTCAAAATATACTACAAAGCTATAGTAATCAAAACAGCATGATATTGTTATAAAAATAGGCACATAGACCAGTGAAACAGAATAGAGGACCCAGAAATAAATTTACATGTTTAGAGCCAACTGGTCTTCAACAGAGACCAAGAACATACATTGGGGAAAAACCACCTTCTTCACCCTATCATGCTAGGTAAACTGGATATCCATATGCAGAAGAATGAAACTAGACCTCTATCTCTCACCATATATGAAGATCAACTAAAAATAGATTAAAAACTTAAACATAAGACCCAAAAACTCTAAAACTATTAAAAGAAAACATAAGGAAATGCTTTAGGACATTGGCTGAGGCAAAAATTTTATGGCTGAGACTTCAAAAGTACAGGCAACAAAAACAAAAATAGACAAATATGACATATGAAACTGCAAAGCTTTTTAATAATGAAGAAAACAATCAACAGGTGAAGAAATAACCTGTAGAATCATTTGCAAACTATTCATCTGATAAGGGGCTAATATCCAACATATGCAAAGAAACTCAGACAATTCAATAGAAAAAAACCAACCAAACAAACAAATAATCTAATAAAAATTGGGCAAAGGATCAGAATAGACATTTCTCAAAAGAAGACATACAAATAAACAAGTATATTAAAAATGTTCAACATCACCAATCAGGGAAATGCAAATAAAGGCCACAATAAGATATCATCTCATATCAGTTAGAATAGCTCTTGTCAAGAAGACAAAAAATAATAAATACTAGTAAGAATGCAGAGAAAAGCGAATTTTTAGACACTGTTAGTGAAAATGTAAATTAGACAACCATTATGGAAAACAGTATAGAGATATCTCAAAAAACTAAAAAACAGAACTACCATATGATCTAACAATCCCACTACTGGGTATTTATCCAAAGGAAAAGAGAAAAGTGTATTGAAGAGATACTTGCACCCTCATGCTTATTGTAGCACTATTCACAATAGTCCTGACATAGCATCAATCTAAATGTCCCTCAATGGATAAATGGTGATATAGTCTGGATATTTGTCCCTGCCTATACATCATGTTGAATTTTAATCCCCAATGTTGGATGAGGAGCCTGGTGGGAGGTGACTGGATCATGAAGGCAGAAGTTCCTCCTGCTGTTCTTGTGATAGTGAGTTCTTAGGAGATCTGTTTGTTTAAAAGTGTGTAGCGCCTCCCCATTTTCTCTCTTCCTCCTGCTCCAGCTGTGTAGGATGTGCCTGCTTCCCCTTCACCTTCCATCATGACTATAAGTTTCCTGAGGCCTCCCCAATCATGCTTCCTGTATAGCCTGAGGAACAATGAACCAATTAAACTTCTTTACCTTATAAAACTTTATAAAGAAACTTAATACAACTTTCTTTTATTTATAGCCAGTCTCAGGTATTTCTTTATAGCAATCTGAGAATAGACTAATACAAATGGATAAAGGAAATGTGGCATATCTACACAATGGATTACTACTCAGTCATAAAAAAGAATAAAATTCTGTCATTCTTGGCAACATGGATGAGCCTGGAGAACATTATGTTAAGTAAAATAGGTTAAGCATAGAAATATAAATATTGCATGTTCTCACTCATACGGGGGCTAAAAAATTAAGCTCAAGGAAGTACAGAGTATAATTTTGGTTATTAGAAGCTGGTAAGGGTAGGAAGCAGTGGAGGATTGGGAGAGGCTAGTTGGCAGAAACAAAGCTATAACTACATGGGAGGAATAAGTTCTAGTGTTTTGTAGCACTGTAGGGTAAATATAGTTAATAATTTAGTGTATATTTTCAAAAAGCTAGAAAAGAGGATTGCAAATATTTATAACACAAAGAAATAATAAATGTTTGAGGTGATTGATATACTAATTATTCTGATTTGATTATTACATAGTGTATATATATATATCTCAAAATATCACTTGGTATCTCACAAAGATATACAATTATTATAAGTCACTAAAAATAAAAGAATTACTTGACCAATCTGAGGGGAATTCTGTTTTCTACCCATACCCTGATTTCTACAGTGAGGTTATATGTAATATATGTATTAAGCAAATAAAACTATATTAAATATATCCATGTTCACTTTCCAGGGTTAGAAGGGGAAGGGAAGGGAAGGCAAGGAAAGGGAAGGGAAGGCAAGGGAAGGGAAGGGAAGGGAAGGGAAGGGAAGGGAAGGGAAGGGAAGGGAAGGGAAGGGAAGGGAAGGGAAAGGAAAGGAAAGAAAGAAAAGAGAGGAAAGAAAAGAAAAAGTGAGTTAGTCAGACAAACCCTCAAAACTTAACCCAGTGATTTCTAGTCAGAGAGGTCCCTATTATCAATGAAGGGCTGAATTCAACATTTCAAAAAAGCCAAAGCTTGTCTTAGGTAAAACCTCACAGGTTAAGTAAAATAATGAGTTTTGCTGTCTTTTGTCTTGCTTTGGCTAAAATGATGACAGCTCAATGTGATGCCACTAGTTATCTTTGAATAATCAGAAGTTCTTAATTGTGATTTTATATACCTGAATAATAACGATGTGACAGCTAATTATTTGCACATGATAAGAACAATGTGGCAAATACTCTAATCTTAATGTTTATAGAAAAAAATCAATAAAAAGGAGTTATTGGGGTTGAAAGTTAGGCAATGACTGGCTTCATACTGTAACATCGGAAAAGGAGGCTCTGCTTAACTCTGGGGCTCCTTGCTGCAGACTCTGCCACATGCCTCAAGGACACTTCACAATGCAGGGCAGCCACCTCCCTATGGATACTTAGTCCTCAAAGACCCCAGGAATCAGCCACAAGAGCCTTCCATTTGAATGCACACCATTGCTTGCTTCAGTCCCATGGATGAGAGGTCTATGGTATGGAAGACTGAAATAGTGAGACCAAAATTCTATACTTATCAACTGTAAATTTCAGAATCCAGTTCATAGACCAGCTCTGCTGTGTGACTCAACGTGTTGAATTTTCCCTTCTGGGCTCCCCACATCAACATTTTACCGCCTATAACCGAATGTGACTAAATTCTCTGTTACACTGTGTACCTTGGTTGTGAAATTAGCTTCACTCTCTTAATAATTCTCATTTTATGTGAGTAGCCTTTGATACAGGACTGCTGTGCATCATCAGTTGGTAATGTCTGCAAGTGTCAGAGGTAAGATTTCACTCACAGTCCTACTGGGGGCCAATACGTGCCATTGTTGGTGTCAATAAAAGACACAGTCTCTGAAAACCTCTAATACTGACCACTCTTTCCCAGGGCTGTTTTCCGTGAAGGTCACAATTCAGATGTCTTAGGTATAGCCTGTGATTTCCAACTTGAGTACATCCCTGATGCCAGGCAGAACTTTAGTAACAGGCTCTGGTTAAATGGGTTAGATCCTAGATAGTTTATATATATTTATTGATCTATCATTGATCTATCTAACTAGATGTAGATAGATGGATAGATAGGTGATAAATAATAGATAGATAGAAAAAGAAATATATACATGAATACGGTACAAAAATACACTTTAGTATGGCATTCTTAAGTATTTTACTTACTTTTAATGCCTTTTCCTCAGGGAAAAGGTTTACTTTTCTCTTTTTAATATACATGTTTATAGTGCTACATATATCTGAGAAAAATAGTTGCTGAGTTTTAAAACCAACTAGACTATCTGAAAATACTAATTTCCAAAACATCAAGTAAAAATCCTGAGTGTTGGAGTGAAGGGACATAGGTTCTGGTGTTGGTCCATCTGTCACTTACCTAAGGGATCTTCACCAGCAATTCATGTGTCAGGATTTCAGTTTTCTAATCGGTAAAGCAAGGAGACTGAGAGCCCTTCTCAGACCACCCTGCTTCCTTTCCACCTCCAATTCATAGTCTATATCAACAACCTGCTCCCTCCACTGACCTTTCATATTTATGATTAACACAACTTGTAATTACTTATTTACTCACTAGATTTTATAACTTATGCATCAATTTGTATACTAGGAGCTCAGGAAATACTTGTTGGCTGAATGGGAGAATTAAGTTGATTCCAGTTTTAATATCTTGTGCATTTAGTAGGTAAGGTCAGGATCCAAGCTAGGCTCTCACTGAGCCAATAATCCCACTGAGCATTTAGTTGGAGCTTGTGGTGACAACCATAGTACTGCATTCCAAAGCCATAGGCAGTTTTAGCAGGAAAGCGTAGTGTTTCCTGATGGAAGTACTGTCAAATGAAGCCTTTGAGTGAGAATGGCAGATAATTCCTTTAGGACATCTTGGGAACCACATAATCTCAAATGCTACTTATGGATTTAACTCGACATCCTCCTGAAGCTGACTCCCAGACCTTATAGGTCAAAGTCTCTTTGTGGCTTTAAAAACAGTACTGGATTTGGAACAATGAGGCCTGGGCTTGAGATCTCTCTCTGCTGCTTTTAAGCTGTGTAGCTGTGAAAAATAACTGAACTAAATTTCAAATCTAATTATTCATTTGTGAAAATCAGATTGCATCTACCTACCTACATACGCTATAACTCAAAATTACTTTGGGTCATAAGGAAGTTAGCTCTACCAAATAATATAGTATGTATGAAACACACTAAATGCCATTGAATTTTAATATTTAGATTCACCTTTAGGAGAATTCATCTTTAGAAACTTCAGGTTGTCATAGTTTTTTAAGGTTAACATAAAAATGCAAGAGATGATTACTGCTTTTGTAAGAAAAACTGCGGAAATTATTACTAATGACAATTATCCAAAATATTAAAACTATTTACAGAATCACCTAAAGAGTTACAGTAATTAATTAGTTAACATGACTTCATTTTAAAAGAAGAATAAATCTTCGTCAAAGGCTAAAATGACTATAGGAAAAATGTGATTTTAAAACAAGGCTGAAACTCTTAAACTGCACTAATAGTTCGTAATTAATAGTTGAATTTGAGTATCAATATGATCACAAAGTAACAACAATCAAAAAGTTCAGAAAATAAACTAGAGTCCATTTCTGCAATGCAGCAATAACAACTACTGATAATAATAATGGCAAGTGCAATACTAGCAGCCAACATGCGTTGATAGGTTACCAAATACCAAAACTGTGTTCCCATGTATTATATCTCTTTTAAAATTTCCTAAACAACCCTAGAAAGTTAAGCTCTGATAATACTTGCATTTTGCAGATGAAGAAACTGAGTTTCAGAGAAGTTGAGTAACTTGTCCAAGCCATAGTCATTAAACTTTAGAGCTGGAATAAGACCTTAGGCAGTGGGATTCCAAAGCACTAAGAAAGGAGATACAAATTACTTACATAACTGAAGATTGCAGCACTTCCATATAGAAGCCTAAGCATTCTTCTTCGATTTACCTGCATGTCTGAGATGCCATTTATTGACACGACTCACTTGCTGAACATTCAGGCATTAATTACAATGATAACAAATGCCCAATCCAATAAAACTGCTGTTAGTCACTGTTCTACTGCTGAGACACATATGGACAAACAGTGTGTGGTGGAAATTTTTACTCAAGTCAAACAGGAAACCAGGTATCAACTATAAGGAAGACGTGACTTAAGGATAAGCGTCTTTGTTAGCCCAGGATAGCTTCACTACCTCACTGGTGCTCGTAGGCACTCAGCAAGCCGCTTTTAGCTGATCACTACATCCCTATGGGGATATTAATTTATTATTTGAGTCACACAATTAAAAATGACTTACAATTATTTTCTCATTTCTTTCTGGGATGTTATTTTAAAATCATAATTACAAAATTAAGTAATTTGCATTTTTTCTCATTCTTTCTTTCAATGAAGTATTTCCACCCCGTTTTTAGACTTGTTGTCAATTCTCTCATTTATATACCTTGCATTCCTATTCACTTATGTTTTAAGGATCTCTCTAAGGTTAAAAGTCAATACAGAAACTAAAATCTGAAATAAGTAAACTTTTCACATTTAGCCAATAATTTTTATGTGTCAATCATTTTCTAATATGTTAAAGTCAATATATGCAACTGGTTTTCCAACTATTTACAAAATATAACTGAATGTTTCCTTTGGTAGATAATTCAGCATTTTATAAGACCCTAAAATGATTACTATAAATAAAAAGAAGAGATACTACTTTATTTTTTCTATTTCATTATTAGAGATAAACTGACTTCATCAAGGTCACATACTTGTTAAGGAAGATTACCAGGGCTGGAAGGTAGATCTGATATAAATTCCCCTATAGCCTTGCTACTCGGCGTAATATGAAAATTTACAGCATTGCCATCATCAGGGAGCTTGTTAGGAATGCAGAATCTCAGGTCCCACTCAGATGTACTGAATTAAAACCCACATTTTACAACATCCTTAAGTGACTTGCATCTTGTCTAAGTTCAAGGAGAACTGCCACTGCTCTGTAACATACTGCCAATTATCTCAATTATCCATTCACAAAATAATGTGGCCCTTGGCAGATGTACTCATATAGAACTTGAGAGAAATTCAGGAAAACTGAGGGCGAGACTTTCTTTTTCCTTTTTTTTTTTTTGAGACGGAGTCTCGCTCTGTTGCCCAGGCTAGAGTGCAGTGGCGCAAGCTCAGCTCAATGCAACCTCCGCCTCGTGGGTTCAAGTGATTATCCTGCCTCAGCCTCCTGAGTAGCTGGGATTACAGACGCGAGCCACCATATCCGGCTAATTTTTGTATTTTTAGTAGAGATGGGGTTTCACCATGTTGGTCAGGCTGGTCTCTAACTCCTGACCCCGTGATCCGCCCACCTCGGCCTCCCAAAGTGCTGGGATTGCAGGCGTGAGCCACCGCACCCTGCCAGGACTAGACATTTTTTAAAACTTATGTTGAGTAATTTCAAATAAATCTTTTTATTATCAGGCACTTTTCTTTAGAAATAAGCCATGAATATGTTTGTAATTGCTAATATAAATTGATACCTACATAGGCATCTGTTTAATACATATATACTAAAAGAATGACGTATTTCAGATCTTTATTGGACTGCACGTTTTTTCATCCCTGGAGCCCTGGAGAGGAGAGCAGTACATCCGCATAACCCATGAAACTCAACTTTTACCATGCACATTATTACCTATTGGAAGCTCACCAGCGCCACCTGCTGAAGCTGCCGTAGAAAAAGCTAGCAAAGTGTTTTGCACTTTTGTTTTCTTATCAAGGTAGTTTCGTTATAATTTTACTGTTTAGCATTGACATTTTTCCCCAATCCTTGAATTTTCTCCATCCCATCCAACATTTCTCCTTTGTTTATGAGGCCCTAATAGAGTATCTATACTTTAGCCTACACAACCACACTCAAAATATTTTAAAAGCAGCTTCAGAATATATGAAGTAGTTTATATTACTGTATTCTTTGCATAGATTTATAATTGCCAGGACAAATGTTCTAATTTACGACTCAAAAAGTAATATCAATGTACTGGGCCCAGCCTAGTGACCCATGCAGAAGGCCTTACACTTGTGTTCAAAGAACAAATATTTGAGGCCCATTAGTTATGGGAAATTCCTATCTTTAGTCTCCTTCATTGGTTGTCTGTGTATGTTTGTACGAAATGGCTGCTCTCTCTTTTGCCTTTAATAAAAGTTAACATCACCGTACATGAGTATCTTTCCATCTCACAAAGCAAATTTTCTTTAACCCCTATTTTCTTTCCTCACCCTGATTAATTCACTCCCAGAAAAATCTCTGGTCCCTTTCTCATATTATTAAAAATAAAACTGGCTTCTAAAAAGGCAACTGTTCAGAAACTCCTGGAAACATTTAAAGCTAGTTCCAAATGATCTATCAAAATATAATTAGTTGGAAGGATCTCGAGCTCAAAATCTCTCCTAGTTAACAAAGTTAGTTTTTGTCACTTTTGTTGTTGTTAATGATGATTGATTATAGCACCTTTAAAAGTGATTCCATTAAAGTAATGTAATTGCTACCCTAAGTACTTCGCCTCTGGAATGCTGTGTGACATCCTACTGAAAGGGAATGCAAAATATCCCTTAAGTTTAGAGGTACACAGAAGAAAATCCCTGTGTCTCATCTTTTAACAACTTAAGCCCTTATGGAGAAAGAATGTTACTTCCACATTAGTGAAATTTAAAAGGATGAATTGAAAGAAAAATAAAGTACATTCTCTGAAAAATATATGCCTTCAAATCTTAAAGTGCCAATTCAATATGTTAAGAATTGGCTAACATAAAATGTTCAGAAGAAATGAGAGCAAGGGGAAATTGACTCTGTCACCCAGACTGGAGTGCAACGGCACAATCTCGGCTCACTGCAACCTCTGCCTTCTGGGTTCAAGCGATCTTCCCTCCTCAGCCTCTGGAGTACCTGGCATTTCAGGCACCTGCCATCATGCCTAGCTAATTTTTCTATTTTTGTAGAGACAGATTTCACCATGTTGGCCAGGCCGATTTCGAACTTCTGACCTCAGGTGATCTACCCACCTCAGCCTCTCGTAGCACTGGGATTACAGGCGTGAGCCACTGCACCTGGCCGGGAAATTGACTTTTAAAAGATTCTCAGATAAGAATTTACATGAAATCACTTCCACTTTGCTTTTCATATTGAGTTTGGTTACCATAATAAAAAAAAATAGGCATACCACCTGGATTTGATCTATTTTGAAAAAAAGTGCTTTACATTATTTTGCATTTTCAAAGAATAATTACGCCAGACAGAGTTTGACAGGCAAGGAAGACTTTACCCAAGACTATTGTAAAAGGGGAGAGAGATTGAATTCTATTCCACTGAAACAAAAGATGGGTGGGTTTTTAATCATGGGGGGTCGCCAGCAGCAAAGTGCTGGAGGACATTAGCAGAGAGGTTGCTCAATGTGATTAGGCTCAAGGTGTTTGTTTATGAAGGTCTTACCCTACCACAGAGACTGGAAGATAGGGAAGCTGTTCCTCTTGATGACTACATCTCAATGGGATAGATTCTAGGTCTTCGAGAAAGGTAATTTCTGCGTTGTAAAACAGGCAAGAGGCTAGAGGATAATTTACATACATTTCAAAGGGACAGAGAAAGGATTTACAATTACAAGTTTTCTAAAACAAATTCTCTAAGCAAAAGGAGGTCAGGTGCCTACAGTCAGGAAGAAACCTGTGCAAAGTCTAGTCAAGGTAAGAGGATTAAGGCTGCCTTGGTTAGCATCCAATTATTATATCAGAAGGGTGTTATTTTCTGAATTCACTGGATGTGAAAAAGAAGTAAAAAATCTAGATTTTCTTTACTGATTTATAAACTATCTCTAAAAGTAATCTACAAAGAGAAATTCTTAACCTATAGCTACTTTATTAAAATAATTGAATAACCTCACAATAAGAGGGCTTTGAAAGGCAACACTCAATTGAATATGTTAGTTTTTGTTGGTTAGTCAAAGTCTATTCACCTAGTGTTATAAGAGATTCTATCCTTTGCCATTGGGTAACTCATTTTTTTTTTCTTAAATTTCAGAGATTCTATTTTATTTCTTTACTTTTAAGAAATTCATTTTGAAATTGTATTAGGTATTGCCATAAAATAATTGCACTAAAACCATTGCCACACTATTTTCCATAAAGTGTGGCTGAGCCATTTTACATTCCCACCAACAGTGTACAGAGGTTCACTTTCCTCCACATTCCCACTAGTATTTATCTTTTTTGTAGTGGTTGTTTACAATAACCATCCTAGCAGGTGCAAAGTGACATCTCATTGCAGTTTTGATTTGCATTTCCTTATGATTAGTGATGTTGAGCACCTTTCATAAACCTTTTGGCCATTTGTATGTCTCTATTAGAGAATTACTTATTCACGTATTTGGCCCATTTTTAATCAAGGTATTTGTTGGGTTGTGGGGTCTTTTTGTTTTTTGTTTGTTTTTTGTTTTTGAAATTGAGCTGGAGTTCCTTACATTTTTTGAATATTAACTTTTCATCAGATACATTGTTTAGAAATATTTTCGCTCCATGTATACCTATGTAACAAACCTTCACATTCTGCACATGTATCCCAAAACTTAAAGTATAATTTTAAAAAAAGACAATATAAACATATTTATTATGTTTGTAACACTTTTCTTATCCCATGTTTTAAAAGGCAACTGTATAAGGCAACAATTAAAAACTGTGCTTATTTATTCACAATAGCAAAGGATGTGGAATCAACCTAAATGTCCATCAATGACAGACTGAATAAAGAAAAATGCGGTACATATACACTATGGAATATTATTCAGCCATAAAAAAGACTGAGAGCATGTCTTTTGCAAGAACATGGGCAGAGCCGAAGGCTAACTAATACAGGAACAGAAAACCAAATACCACATGTTCTTACTTGTAAGTGGGGAGTAAATAGTAAGAACTTATGAATATAAAAAAGAAAACAGCAGACACTGGGGTCTGTTTGAGAGATGAGGGTGGGAAGAGGGAGAGGAGCAGAAAATATAACTATTGGGTACTGGGCTTAATACCTGGGTAATGAAATAATATGTGCAACACACCCCCATAACACGTATTTACCTGCTTAACAAACCTTCACATGTACCCTCAAACCTAAACTAAAAGTCAAAAAAATTTAAAAACAGAAATATTTTCTCTCATTCCATAGATTGTCTCTTCATTCTGTTTATTGTTCCCTTTTCTGTATAGTTTTTTAGGTTAATGTTGTATCACGTTTATTTTTGCTTCTGTTGCCTGTGCTTTGATGTCATATCCAAGAAATCATTGCCAATATCAATGTCAAGAAGGCTTTCCCCTATATTTTCGGAAAACAGTATAGAGGCTCCTCAAAAAAATTATATGTAGAATTCCCATATGATCTAGCAATCCCACTTCTGGGTATATATCCAAAATAACTGAAAGCAAAATCTCAAAGAGACATCTGCACTCTCATGTTCTTTGCAGCATTATTAACAATAACCAAGATATAGAAACAATTTAGAATGTCCATTGACAGATAAGTGGATAAAGAAAACACACAATGGAATATTATTCAGCCTTATAAAAGAAAAAAAATCCTACCATATGTGACAGAAAATATTGATGAACCTTGAAGACATTATGATATTATGTGAAATAAGCCAGTCACAGGGCAATACTGTATGATTTCATTTATATAATGTATCTAAAATAGCCAAACTCATAGGCTCAGAGAGTAAATGGTGGTTGTGAGGGACTGAAGAGAGAAGAAAATGTGCAGTTATTGTTCAATGGTATAAAGTTTCACTTATGAAAGATGAATAAGTTGTAGAAATCTGCTGTACAACATAGCATGTATCATTAACAACATTGTATTTTACACTTCAAAATTTGTTGAGAGCAAATCTTAACACAAACAAATAAACAGGAAAACAAAGGAACACAAGGCAACTTTTAGAGGTGATGGATATATTTATTATCTTGGTTGTGGTGATGGTTTCATGGGTGTATGCATATGCTTAAACTCATCAAATTGTATGCATGAAATGTGTACAGTTTTTTTATAACAATTATACCTCAATAAAGCAGTTTTTTTAAAGAAATTGAAAAAAGATTTTTAAAGCAGTATTAAGGAGGAGATGATAATCTCCATATTAAAGAATGTTGTTTAATTAGCCCTGTTTTTGTCTTGGAGATTATGTATCAAATATCTTTTAGATGAACTTATTTATATTCAAAAATAAAATAAGATAATTGCCATAAAATCATTGCAAACAATCATGATACTTCAATGGCATACAATAATAAGTGTTTATTTCTCATGCTTTGCAGGTTCAGTTGATCTATGCTGAGTTCCCTGGCATGACTCAAAATTTTTCATCCTTTTCTTAAGACTGGCAGGCAACCCCAGGCATATCCCTCTTCAGAGGATGACAGAAGAAAGGAGCAATCAGAAACAGACAAGACATCTTGAGCACTACACATACCATTGCTTCTTCCTAACATTGGCTGAAGAAAATCACATGGATGAGCGCCGTGTCAGAGAGGGCACTACAAGTTACATGCCAAAGAGCAGGAATACAAGGAGGAGTGAAGAATTGGGGATATTAATGCAATCTACCATAGATTAAATTATTAAATATTCATTGAAAACTTGCTATATTCACTGAGTAATGTTGAAGAATACTTCCTTTTTCTCTCAAGGAATGCATAGTCTAAGAGAAAACTTTTGAGCAAGTTCAAAAAGGCTTTCAAGGGAAGTATTTTCAACGAGTATTAAAAAACACACTATTCATTGAATAGAAATGTACAAAAAGCATTCCTGGGAACATCATGAACAGAAGCATGTAAGTTAGAAAATATGGGCATATTTAGAAAGGTCCAATTTGAGTGGAATAATGAATACATAAAAAGCAAGAATTTGAAATGCTGTTGGAAGAAAAAAACATTGACTCAGTATCCCTTACTAAATCATCATCTTCATCTCACTCCTTAAATGTTAAAGGACCCTAGGAATTGGTCTTTTCTTTCTCTCTACTCTACTAGATTGATCTGATTTCCACATCCATATTTAAGTAAATGACTCATAAAGCTGAATCTCCAGTCATAACCATTCTCCTTATACATAGAGAACTTCTTGTTCTAACTGGCTTCTAAATATCTCTAACTGAATGCTTTAGAAACACTTCAAAGAGGATGTTTCTAAATGAGTTTCTCTAGTGTTGAAGTGAAGGAAACTCATTTAGAAACATCCTCTTTAAAATATTTTAGAACAACTGGGTCTCCTTAGCTAAAAAATCCTAAGTCATTTTCTAACTTCCTTCTGCTCACAACTCAGCTACATTTAATCATTCATTGAGTCACATCAATTCTGCCTCATAAATGTTCCATGTATCTACCCACTCCTTTCCATTTCCGCATTATTACCTTAGCTAAGACCATCTACATTTCTTGACTGCAAAATTACAATATTCTCCAAACATAACTCCCATTTCTAATCCTTTCATTACCAGAATAATCTATCAAAACTAAATTCTTTGATCATATTATCTCTTTGTATAAAAAAATTTAAAGGCTTTCTCTTATTGCTGTAATTATCTTATTTGGTCATTTATTCATTCCAAAAATGCAACTTTTTTAAAATTTTTCTTATGGATACATAATAGTTGTACATATTTATGGGGTGCATGTGATATTTTGATACAAGCTTATAATGTGTAATGATCAAATCAGGGTAATTGAGGTATCCATCACCTCAAGCAAGTATCATTTATTTGTGTTAGGAATATTCCAATTCCAGTCTTTTAGTGATTTTGAAATATACAATAAATTACTGTAACCATAGTAGCCCTACTGTGTCATTGGACACTAGATCTTATTCTTTTTATCTAACTGCATTTTTCCACCTATTATCCCCTCTTAATACCCCATACCCTTCCCAGCCTCTGGTAACCATCATTCAACTCTCTATCTCCATGAGTTCAATTTTTTTAGCTCCCACTTGTACATCTTGATTTCCTACCATGTGTCAGCCCTGTTTTTGTTAACAAGAATACAGCCCTGAAAAGCACAAGCAAGGCCTCTGCTCTCATGGATCTAACATTCTAGTGGGATAAAAATAATATAACAAGTAGAGAAAAAAAAAATAACATGATATACTCTAAGAGAATAAAAAGCGGTGCTATAAGGGATGTAACAAAACTTATAGGGTAATGGGATAAAGAGGAAACGTGTGAAGTGTCTGTTTTTGAGTCCAATTAGGAAAATAATACTGCTAAGAGTTGATGGTGACAGATTTAGGCTGGTAGCAGGGAAGAGGTGATTAAAGATATATTGAGATCCAAGGTACATTTTGACACAGAAACAACAGGCTTAAATTATGGGTTGGGTGTGAGTGATGAAGAAGAGGAGAATCAAGGATTGGTTTCTTGTATTGGGACAGGAAACTGGGTGAATGGCAGCACCATGAGCTTAGATGGTTAATATATCTGGGAAGCAGTGGTTAAGAATAGAAGAGTCAAGATTTCTAGTTTTACCATGTCTAGTCTGAGATGCCAAAAGTAAGCACGGAATAACTGCTTCAAAGTACAGAAATTAAATCAATTAATTAATAGTTAATGAGCTCTGAAAATTCAAAGTACTATAAATAATTTTTAACACATAAATTATAATGGGAACTTTAAAAAGTATATTAACATGCTTGCCTCTTGCATTTTCACACACATCCTTTTCATTAGTCAGTAGGATGGGGATTACTTTTGACCTGTTATTATTTAAATGTCTCTCACATTTTGACTAAAAAATGTATGGTTATTTAATTAAATCAATAGTACTTAAAGCCATTACAATAGCATGTCTAAAATATATCAGGAGGAATAAGATTCTACAGGTTATGTCAATGTATAGATTAGATTATCTTTTCATGGATTCAAGCAATCATTCAACAAATATTTCTTAAGGACCGCCAATGCCCCAGGTTCTGCTGAGTTCTATGAAAACTAGCCTATGAGCTTCACTGCTCAAAGCTAGAAGAATGGAGGAGGTAAGCAGAGGAATGGGAAAACACTAAGTCCACTTTTTCCATCCCAGAAATTGTGGAAGAGGGATGATAGAAATGATCAGACCCTAAGTATTCTTCTTACCACTTCACTCCACATTTCAGGCTCTCCTTTAACTGTTTTTTTAACCTCTGGATATGTACAGGAATAAGCAGAAAGACAGAGCAGGAGATCTGTTCTCCTGGCATAATAAAAGTAAGGAATGTGAAGGCCATTAGAAGGCCTTATCTGGGCTCAAGATCACATCCAATATGGCGTGAGGGTGACTTGTGAAAGTAGCAACAAGAATCAGATAGGTAAGTGAGTCTGTGCTGGGGCCCTTGGCATTTCTTATCCTGCACTTGGAGTGCTTGGTGAAAGACCCTAGAGAACTAAGCTGACCCACAGACCAGGAAAGTCATGGTTCAGAACAGAAGCTGCTTCAACAGAGACTTCAGGCTTGGGAACAAATGGCCAGAACCACAGTGTCCAGCAGTGGGGCCAATACATCAGTGGTGCTAACTAAGACATGTGTAACTTTCTTACAGACTCAGATGTTTTTAAGGAAATCAATTTCCAGATTCTCAACTTTCATAATTTGTCTTTATAAAAACTTACCTAACTGGGAGCATTCCTGCATCCACAATACCTGTTTTTCACTTTTACAGAAAAGATACAGCCCTCACCCATCCAAATAAACATATAGTTGAAAATATTTATTTTATATATCTCTCTTTTAGTTATTAATCAACCAAAATGTAATAAATACACAGGGCTTCTTTTTTCTTATTTTTATATGTTTTTGTTAAGGTGGACACATAATACTATAATGGAACACTATGTCGTGAGTTGGAATCTTCTGAGTTCAAATGTTGTGAAATAGAGTGGGTGACAACAATTTTTGTTTGACAACTTTTTCTCTTTTATTTCAGGCTATTGTCAAAGAAGGTGTAAAGTCTGAGGTAAAATCTCATAAAAATAAAGCAGAGCATTGGAAATAGATATTGAACCCTAAAAATGCTTTTTTTTGATAATTTGCTTTGTATATTCTAACTACTCATCTCCAGAATTTGTCATTAACTTTTTTTTAAAAAGCAACTTAAAAACAGATACAGTAGCAAAGGCTTATGATATTGGTTCTTCAAACATAACAAATGTTTTGAAAGACTACCATGGCTTTCCTGACACATTGAATAAAATTCACAGGTAAAACTCATATAATTACTGTCAGAGTTGGTATTTAGAATTCAATATGATAATTAAAACCAATAATCTCAAGTGAAATCATGAAACATTTACTCCTTTTATTTTTAATTATCGTACAATATACTTACCTTTTTCTTATTACTATGAAAAATTAACATATGCCAACTATCAGTGTCTTAATTTTCAGTACTAGGTATTGTTTCCTTTTATAGAAGACAGAGAAAATTAGATTCTAGCATCTAACAAAGTTAATATGGTTCTTTTCATTTTAAATCATTAATTTTTATTGTATTATTTCCAAACCCAAACAAATGAATTTGCTATATATATACATTTATTAAAGTAACAGCATGCCTATTGTGGGTTGGATTGTGTCCCTGAAAAATATACTGAAATCCTTACCCCCAGTAGCTGTGAATTGAACTTTTTTTGGAAATAGGGCCAGTGTAGATGATCAAGTTAAGATGAGGTCACTTGGTTGGGCCCTAATCCAGTATGACCAGTATAATCCAGTATGACCTGTGTCCTTATAAAAAAGGTAAAATGTGGACACATATACAAACACATATAGAGGAAAGATGATGCGAAAGCACAGGGAAAAGTCCATCTACAGCTATGTAATGCCTAAGGCTACCGGAAGCTAGGGGCAAGCCCTGGAACAGATTCTCCCTCATAGCACTCAGAAGGAATCAGTCCTGCTGGCATCTTGATTTCAGACTTTCAGCCTACAGAACTGAAGACAATACATTTCTCTCTTAAAAGGCTTCTAGTTTGTAATATAAAAAACTAATACAATGCCTTTTATCATATGTCTTATTTTATAAATAACAATTTTCACAAAATATTGTATAATATATGTATAAAAAAATCATATTGATTTATTTTGAATTAATTATATAAGATGCAAATTAATTACATTGCATTTACCACATTTCCACCTTGATTAGGCTGCTTATAATGTATATTTTAAAGTGCTATAATTTTATTTTTTTATTTTTATTTTTATGGGTACATAGTAAGTGTGTATATTTATGGGATACATGAGATTATTTGATACAGGCAAGCAATGTGGAATAAGCACATCATGGAGAATGGGGTATCCATCCCCTCAAGCATCTATCCTTTCAGTTACAAACAATCCAATTACACTATTTAAGTTATTTTAAAATGTACGATTAAGCTATTATTGACTATAGTCACCCTGTTGTGCTGTCTAACAGTAGGTCTTATTGATTTTTTCTAACTACATTTTTGCACCCCTTAATAATCCCCACCTTCCCTGCCCAGTCCCCTACAACCGTTCCCAGCCTCTGGTAACCATCCTTCTACTCTCTCTGTCCATTAGTTCTATTGTTTTGAGTTTTAGATCCCACAAATAACTGAGAACATGCAATTTTTGTGTCTCTGTATCTGGCTTGTTTCACTTAACACAATAATTTCCAGTTCCATCCATGTCATGGCAAATGACTGGATCTCATTCTTTTTTGTGGCTGAATAGTACTCCATGTGTATATGTACCACGTTTTATTAATCCATTCATCTATTGATGAATGCTTACATTGTTTCCAAGTCTTAGCTATTATAAACAGTCCTGCAACAAATATAGGAGAGCAGATATCTCTTTGATATACTGATTTCCTTTCTTTTGGGCATATACACAGCAGTGGGATTGCTGGATCATACAGTAGCTCAGTTTTTAGTTTTTGAGGAACCTCCAAACTGTTCTCCATAGTGGTTGCACTAATTTACAATTCCACCAACAGCATACAAGGGTTCCCTTTTCTCCACATCCTCAGCAGCATTTGTTATTGCCTGTCTTTTAGATGTAAGCCATTTTAACTGGAGTGAGAAGAGATCTCATTGTAGTTTTGATTTGCGTTTCTCCAATGATCAGTATTGTTGAGCACTTTTTCATATGCCTGTTTGCCATTTGCATGTTGATATGGTTTGGCTGTGTCCCCACCAAAATCTCAACTTTAATTGTATCTCCCAGAATTCCCACGTGTTGTGGGAGGGACCCAGGGGGAGGTAATTGAATCATGGGGACCGCCTTTCCCATGCTATTCTCATGGTAGTGAATAAGTCTCATGAGATCTGATGGGTTTATCAGGGGTTTCCACTTTTGCCTCTTCCTCATTTTCTCTTGCTGCCACCATGTAAGAAGAGCCTTTTGCCTCCTGCCATGATTCTGAGGCCTCCCCAGCCATGTGGAACTATAAATTAAACCTCTTTTTCTTCCCAGTCTTGGGTACATCTTTGTCAGCAGCAAGAAAATGGACTAATACAGTAAATTGGTACCAGTAGAGTGGGGCGTTGATGAAAAGATACCTGAAAATGTGGAAGAGACTTTGGAACTGGGTAACAGGCAGAGGTTAGAACAGTTTGGAGGGCTCAGAAGAAGACAGGAAAATGCGGGAAAGTTTGGAACTTACTAGAGACTTGAGTGGCTTTTATGAAAATGCTAATAGTGACATGAACAATAAGGGCCAGGCTGAGATGGTCTGAGATGGAGATGAGCAACTTGTTGGGAACTGGAGCAAAGGCAACTCTTGTTACATTTAGCAAAGAGACTGGCAGCATTTTGCCCCTGCCCTAGAAATCTGTGGAACTTTGAGCTTGAGAGAGATGATTTAGGGTATCTGGCAGAAGAAATTTCTAAGAGCAAACCATTCAAGAGGTTACGTGGGTACTGCTAAAAGCATTCTGTTTTAAAAGGGAAACAGACCATAAAAGTTCAGAAAATTTGTAGGCTAATGATGCGGAAAATTTACAGCCTGATGATATAGAAAAGAAAACCCCATTTTTTGAAGGAGAAATTCAAGCTAGCTGCAGAAATTTGCATAAGCAGCAAGGAACCTAATGTTAATCTCCAAGACAATGGGGAAAATGTCTCCAGGCCATGTCAGAGACCTTCATGGCAGCCCCTTCCATCATAGGCCCGGAGGCCCAGGAGGAAAAAGTGGTTTTGTGAGCCAAGCCCAGGGTCCCTGTGCTGTGTGCAGCCTAGAGACTTGGTGCCCTGTGTCCCAGCTGCTCTAATCATGGCTGAAGGAAGCCAATGTACAGCTTGGGCTGTGGCTTCAGAGGGCAGAAGCCCGAAGCCTTCACAGCTTCCACATGGTGTTGAGCCTGCAGGTGCACAGAAGTCAAGAATTGAGGTTTGGGAATGTCTGCCTAGATTTCAGAAGATGTATGGAAAGGCTTACATGCTCAGGTAGAAGTTTGCTTCAAGGGAAGGGCACTCATGGAAAACCTCTGCTAGGGCAGTGGGGAAGGGAAATGTGGGGTCAGAGCCTTCACACAGAGTCCCTACTGGGCCACTGCCTAGTAGAGCTGTGAAGATGGCCACCATCCCCCAGACCCCAGAATGGTAGATCTATCAATGGCTTGCACCGTTCACCTGGAAAGCCAAAGACACTCAATGCCAGCCCATGAAAGCAGCTGGAAGAGAGGATGTACCCTGCAAAACCACAGGGCCTGAGCTGCCCAAGACCATGGGAACCCACCTCTTGTATCAGTGTGACCTGGATGTGAGACCTGGAGTCAAAGGAGATCATTTTAGAGCTTTAAAATTTGACTGCCCAGCTGGATTTCAGGCTTGCTCGGGCCCTGTAACCCCTTGTTTTGGCCAATTTCTCCCATTTGGAATGGCTATATTTACCTAATACCTGTACTCCCATTGTATCTAGGAAGTAACTAGCATGCTTTTGATTTTATAGGCTTATATGCAGAAGAGACTTGCCTTGTCTCAGATGAGACTTTGGACTGTGACCTTTTGGGTTAATGCTGACATGAGTTAAGACTTTAAGGGACTGTTGGGAAGGCATGATTGGTTTTGAAATGTGAGGACATGAGATTTGGAGAGGCCTGGGTGGAATGATATGGTTTTGCTGTGTCTCCACTGAAATCTCAACTTGAATTGTATCTCCCAGAATTCCCATGTGTTGTGGGAGGGATCCAGGGGGAGGTAATTGAATCGTGGGGGCTGGTCTTTCCTGTGCTATTCTCATGATAGTGAGTAAATCTCACATGATCTTATGAGTTTATCAGGGGTTTCCACTTTTGAGTCTTCCTCATTTCTCTTGCTGCCACCATGTAAGGAGAGCCTTTCACCTCCCACTATGATTCTGAGGCCTCTCCAGCCATGTGGAACTGTAAGTCCAACTGAACCTTTTTTTTTGATCCCAGTTTTGGGTATGTCTTGAAACTCTCATGTCCAGCAGCATGAAAACTGCTAGGGGTATGTCTTGAAACTTTCGTCTCCAGCAGCATGAAAACAGACTAGTATACATGTCTTCTTTTGAGATATGTCCATTCAAATCTTTTGCCCATTTTATGATCAGATTTCTAAATTTTTTGTAGTTCTACATAAGCTTTATGATTTTTTTCCACTTCTGTGAAGAATGTCATTGATATTTTAATAGGGACTGTATTGAATCTGTAAATTGTTTTGGGTAGTATGGATGCTTCAACTACATTGATTCTTCCAATCCATGACCATGGAATTTGTTTTTTGGTTTTGTTTTTGTGTTTGGTGTCCTCTTCAATTTCTTTCAGAGTTTGTATTGGAGAGATCTTTCACTTATTTAGTTGTTAATTCCTAGGTATTTAATTGTATGTTGGCTATTGTAAATGGGATTACTTTTTTATAGTTTGTATTGTAGAGACATTGTTCACTGTGGAATGTAGAAATGCCACTAATTTTTGTATGTTGATTTTGTATTCTACAACTTTAATGATTTTGTTCATTAGTTCTAATAGTTTTCTTGTGGAATCTTTAGGTTTATCAAAATACAAGATCATATCATCTACAAACAAGGATAACTTTACTTCTTCATTTCCAATTTGGATTCCCTTTATAACATTATCATGCCTGATGGCTCTAGCGAGGACTTCCAGTACGATGTTGAATAACAGTGGTGACAGTGGGCATCCTTCTCGTGTTCCAGATACTAGAGGAAAGGCTTTCAGTTTTTCCCCATTTGGTCTGTTGAATATGGCTTTCATTATGTTGAGGTAAGTTCCTTCTATATCCAGTATTTTTTGTTGTTGTTTTTGTTTGCTTGTTTTCTTTTTTGTTTTGAGATGGAGTCTCACTCTGTCGCCCAGGCTGAAGTGCAGTGGCATGATCTTGGCTCACTACAGCCCTCGCCTCCCAGGTTCCAGCGATTCTCCTGTGTTAGCCTCCCAGGTAGCTGAGATTACAGGCATGTGCCACCATGCCCAGCTAATTTATATCCAGTTTTTTGAGGGTTTTTATCCTGAAGAAATGTTGGATTTTATTGAATGCTTTTTCAGCATCAGTTGAAAAGATCATATGGCTTTCATCCTTCATTCTGTTAATATAATGTCATATTGATTGATTTACATATGATGAACCTTCCTTCCATCTCAGGGATAAATCCCATTTCATCATGATGAATAAACTTTCTAATGTATTGTTGAATTTGGTTTGCTAGTATTTTGTTGAGAATGTTTGAATCAATATTCGTCAGAGATATTGGCCTGTAATTTTCTTTATTTGATAAATCTTTGTCTTGTTTTGGTATCAGGGTAATACTGAACTTGTAGAATCAGTTTGGCAGTATTCTCTTCCCATTTTTTTGGGAGAGTTTGCGTAGTACTGATATTAGTAGTTCTTAAATGTTTGGTGGGATTCGGCTGTGAAGCCATCAGGTCCCAGCCTTTTCTTTACTGGGAGAATTTTTATTATGGCTTTGAACTCATTACTTGTTATTGGTCTGCTCAGATTTTACATTTCTTCCTGGTTCAATTTTGGTAAGTAGTATATATCTTGGAATTTGTCCATTTCTTCTAGATTTTCAAATTTATTGGCACACAATTGCTCATAGTAGCCACTAGTGATCATATAAATTTCAGCAGTATTATTTGTAATGTCTTTTTTTTTCATTTCTGATACTATTTCTTTTGATCATCTCCCTTTTTTCTTAGTTGGGCTAAAGGTTTGTCAATTCTGTTTAACTTTTCAAAAGAACAACTTTTTGCTTCATTGATCTTTTGTATTTTTTATCTCAATTTCATTCCTTTCTGTTTTGATATTTATTATTTATTTTCTTCTACTAATTTGGGATTTGGTTTGCTCTTGCTTTTCTAGTTCCTTAAGGTACTTTGTTAGATTGTTTACTTAAAGTTTTTTTCTCTTGTTTGATGTAGGCACATTTAGCTATAAACTTCCCTGTTAGTACTGTTTTTGATATATCCCATAAGTTTTGGTATGTTGTGTTTCCAATTATCATATGTTTCAAGAAATTTTTCAATTTCCTTCTGAATTTCTTCATTGACCTACTGGTCATTCAAGAGCATATTGTTTAACTTTCATTTATTTGTATAGTTTCCAAAGTTCCTCTTGTTATTAATTTCTAGTTTTATTCCACTGTGGCCAGAGAGGATGCATTGTATTATTTCAATTTCTTTGAATGTTTGAGACCCGTATTGTGACTAACATATAGTCTGTCATTGAGAATGATCTACGTGCTGAAGAAAAGAATATGTATTCTGCAGCTCTTGGAGGAAATGATCCATTTGGTCTATAGTGCAGATTAAGTTTGAGGCTTTTGTCTGATTTTCTGCGCAAATGGGGTTTTGAACTCTCCAGCTATTATTGTATTCAGGCCTATATCTCTCTTTAACTCCAATAATATATTCTTTATATATCTGGGTGCTCCAGTGTTGGGTGCATATATATTTTAAATTATTATCTCCTTTTGCTGAATTGACCCTTTATCATTATATAGTTACCTTTGACCTTTTCTTTTCTTACAGTTTTTGTCTTGAAATCTATTTTGTCTGATATAAGTGTAGTGACTCCTGCTCTTTTTTGGTTTCCATTGTCATGAAATGTCTTTTTCCATTCCTTTGTTTTCATTCTATGTGTGTCTTTATAGGTAAAGTGTGTTTCCTGTAGGCATCACATCAACTGGTCTTGTTTTTTCATCCTTTCAGCCAGTCTAAGTCTTTTAATTGGAGAGTTTAGACCCTTTACATTCAATGTTGTTACTGGCAGGTAACGACTTACTCCTGCCATTTTGTTACTTGTTTTCTGGTTGTTTTGTGGTTTTCTCCATCTTTTTTCTTTCCTTTCTGTCTCCCCTAGTGAAGATAATTTTCTCTGTGACATGGTTTAGCTTCCTGCTTTTTATTTTTTGTGTATTCATTGCATGTTTATTGGTTTGAAGTTACCATGAGTCTTACAAATACTATCTTGTAACCTGTTTTTTTAACCTGATAACAACTCAACACTATTTGCATAAACAAACAAGCAAAAATAAAACTAAAAAAACTCGCCTTAGCTTCATTCCCCCACTTTTTAACATTTTGTTTTTTCTACTTATATCTTATTTTATTGACTATGTCTTGAAAGGTTGTTGTAGTTACTATTTTTGATTGATTAATCATTCAGTCTTTCTACTTGGGATAAGCTAAGTTACATACCACAATTGCAGTGTTATAATATTCTGTGTTTTTCTGTGTACTTACTATTACCAGTGAGTTTTGTACCATCTGGTGGTTATTTACTGCTCTTTAATGTCCTTTTCTTTCTGATTGAAGTACTCCCTTTAGCACTTCTTGTAGGACAGGTCTGGTATTGATGAAATCCCTCAGCTTTTGCTTGTCTCACAGAGTCTTTATTTTACCTTCATGTTTTAAGGGTGTTTTGTTTTGTTTTGTTTTGTTTTGTTTTGTTTTGTTTTTGGATATACTATTCTAGAGTAAAAGTTTTCTTCCTTCAACACTTTAAATATATCGTGCCAGTCTCTCCTGGCCTGTAAGGTTTCCACTGAAAAGTCTGCTGCCGGATGTATTGGAGCTCCATTGTATGTTATTTCTTTCTTTTCTCTTGCTGCTTTTAGGATCCTTTTTTATCCTGGACCTTTGAGAGTTTAATTATATGAATGCCTTGAGGTAGTCTTCTTTGGGTTAAATCTGCTTGGTGTTCTATAACCTTCTTGTACTTGTATATTTATGTGTTTCTCTGGGTTTGGGAAGTTCTCTGTTATTATCCCTTTGAATAAACTTTCTGCCCCTCTCTCTTTCTCTATCTCCTCTTTAAGACCAGTAACTCTTAGATTTCCCCTTTTGAGGCCATTTCCTATATCGTGTAGGCACCCTTTTTTGTTCATTTTTCTTTTGTCTTCTCTGTGTGTTTTCAAATAGCCTGTTTTCAAACTCACTAATTCTTTCTTCTGCTTAATTAATTCTGCTGTTTAAGGACTCTGATACATTCTTCAGTATGCCAATTGCTTTTTTTCCTCTCCAGAATCTTTGCTTGACTCTTTTTAATTATTTAAACCTGTCTGTGAAATTTATGTGATAGAATTCTGAATTCCTTCTCTGTGTTATCTTGAATTTCTTTGAGTTTCCTCAACATAGGTATTTTGATTCTCTGTCTGAAAGTTCACATATTTCTGTTTCTTCAGGATTGGTCCCTGGTGCCTTATTTAATTCATTTGGTGAGGTCATGTTTTCCTCAATGGTGTTTATGCTAATAGATGTTCTTTGGTGTCTTGGCACTGAAGAGTGAGATATCTATTGTGGTTTTCACTGTCTAAGCTTGTTTGTAGCCATCTTTTTTGGGAAGACTCTCCAGATATTTGAAAGGACTTGGGTATGGGAATGTAAGCTATGTCTGCCTTAGGGGGCACCCCGAGCCCAGTAATGCTGTAGTTCTTGCAGATTTGTATAGGTACCACTTTGATTATCTTGGATGAGATCTGGGAGAATTCTGAGTTATCAGGCAGAGACTTTTTTTTTTTTTTTTTTTTTTTTTTTTTGTGAGACAGAGTCTCGCTCTGTCGCCCAGGCTGGAGTGCGGTGGCACGGTCTTGGCTCACTGGAAGCTCTGCCAGGCGGAGACTTTTATTCTCTTCTCTTACTTTTTCCCAAACACACAGTGTGTGTTTTTATTTATTCTGAGCCATCTAAAGCTGAGATGGAGTGTCACAAGCACCCCTGTGGCCAACACAACTATGACTGTGCTGGGTCAGACCTAAAACCAGCACAGCACTGGGTCTCATGAACGCCTTCTGTAACCACTCTCTGGCTACTGCCTACCTCACTCAAGGCCTTAGTGCTCCACAATAAACAGGTGGCATAGCCATTCAGGCCTGTGTCTTTCCCCTCAGGGCAGCAAGGTCCCACATGTCCCAGATGGGTCCAGAAGTGCCATCCTAGAGTCAGGGACTAGAGTCAAAACCTTTGAAGTCTACCTCCTGTTCTGTTGTATTGCAGATGACCTGGCTCAAACCACCAGATGCAGTCCTTCCCCTACTTTGCTCCCCTTTCCAAAGGCAGAGGAGACTCACCCGGTAGCCCAGGCTATGAGGAGAACTGCCAGACCTCTTAAGTCAGCTTGCTGTGAATGTTGCCTGGCCTGGGACTCACCTTGCAGGGCAGTGGGCTCCCCTCTGGCCCAGGACAGGTCCAGAAATGCTGTCCAAGTGTCAAGTCCTAGAATCAGGGGCCCCAAGAGCCCACTCAGTGCTCTACCCCTCTGTGACCATGCTGATACCTAAGGTGCAAGACGAAGTCCCTTTTACTTTTCCCTCTACTTTTCTCAAGCAGAAGGAGTTTTGCCCCATAGCTACCACAGCTGTTAATGTGCTGAGTCTCATCTGAAGCCAGCAAGTCTCAGTGGCTCATCCGCAGCCCTTGATGTAGTACCTGGGAATTGCTGCTGTTTATTCAGGGCCCAGTTAACAGGTGATGAACTCTGCCAGGACTTGGTCCTTTACTCTAAGGCCCTTCTGGCCCAGTTTGTCAAGAAAAGTCTTCTTCTAGGGCCTGGAGTGGGGGCCCCAAGACTCTGATTGGTGCCCTATCCTGCTGTGGCTGAGCTGGTATCCTAGATGCAAGACAAAGTCCTTCCCACTCTCCCTTTTCCTCTCCTCAAGCAGGAGAAAGGGGGTTTGTTTTGGATCTGCGAGCTGTGCAGCCTAGGTTTAGGGGAGGGGTGATGTCAGCACTCTCTTGGCTGCCCCATGTACTACCTCAGTATGTTGAGTGCCCCCTCAATCCCTTATCTCCAGACCTAGTTTAGCACCAGGACTTGTCTAAGAGTTGCAGTCCTTGTGGCCTAGACTGCCTTTCAAGTTTATATGAAGACTCAGATCACTGTAGCCCTCAGTGGCAAGGATTGCAGGCACTCAAATTTGACCTCTGAGAACAGTGATTGCCCTCTGGCTAGGGCTGCTTTAAATACTGCCTCCATGGGCAGGCATCAGCTCAGTTTGAGCCGGTTTTCCTTTCTGCTGTAACAGCAGAGCACTGAGTTCAATGTCTCACAATTGCTGTGTTTCCCTCCCCCGCCCCCAGCTCACAGGTAAGCTCTCCTCACCCAACTTCTGCTGCTGGGGATAGGGAAGGACTGGCGTCTGTGATTCAGGACTGCTTTTTCTCTGTTTTCAGTGCCTCTTTCAGCAGTATGAAGTTAAAACTATGAATGCTCACCTGCTTTGTGGTTCTTATGAGGGTGTTTTATCTGCATAGATAGTTGTTAACTTGGTGTCTTTGCAGGGTAGACAATCAGTGGAGCTTTCTATTCTGCCAGTTTGCTTTACCTCTCTGCTTGTACTATATTATTATTAGTTGTATCCAATAATTATTTCTCAGGATTTTAAAATATGTTTTCAAGTGCATATTAATATACTTCTCTTTATTGAAAACAGAATCAGATTTCATCTAATAAAAAGTCTGATTGCAATGGTTGGTTTGACAGTGAGGACAGCTTTGCTCATTCAGTTTTATGGTAGATATTTTCCATACATTAGATGAGGTAGCTCTGTAGTTCCAAGAGTTTGGTAAATTTATTGAAAACGTAGTGTAAGATAGAAGTATTTTGTCAAAATACACAGTAATTCCACTGTATTGGGAATATATGGTAAAAATAACTGTATATTAATTTTCTCAACTCTTTGTGACTAAAATAATATTTTAATATAACTTATTTTTGTAATTTTACATAATTTGTCTTTTTAGTATGGCTGCGTTTACTGGCTCAGATACTTCCTAAAATTATAACAGTTTTTTCTCACAAGCTAGTATGAACTGGCTTCAGCACTCCACTGGGTGAGACCGAAGTACCAATTAAGAATAACTTATATGTTTTTCCAATTCTAACAAGACCCTACATATGTAGAGTGGCTCACCAGAAGATGCACACACAAGTGAGCTAACATTTCTGGAAAGTTAAGCCAAGAAATGCTCATCAACTGCATTTCTCCAACTCACCCTTGTTAATTTTCTGGACCCTTGGTCCGGTAAATCAATAACTTCTACCAGCTGTATGTAAGTGTGATCTCTTTTCACCAACTGGTTACTCATTAAAATGCTACAGAGTGGGTGGAAGAAGACTAAAAATGTATAAACTCCAACACAAAACAATTAACCTCAGATATAATTTAAAGTATCCTAATAACATTACTAAAAATGTGACCAGGTTAAACTGTGACAAGTGGTCCAAAAGAGATAAATATTGCTAATTTATCTTTATATTTTCAGTTCCTGACTCAGTATATGACATACACTAGGTTCTCAAAGAATAATCTCTTTATCAATGACCAAAATACGTTATATACTTTTTTCTTATTATTGTACCTTTTTTTTTTAAGAAAAGGAAAAGGATATAAAATGGAGATGAAGGAGCTCTTCCCAAGTTCTAAGCCTGCTGTGCTTGTGTCCTCTCAAGTTAGGTATACTTCATGGGCCTAATATATGCCTCAAGAATAAAATAAAATGTATGCCATAGTAATCTTTAACTCACTTTATAAATCAAAATGTATAATATATTAAACCATTAGAAAAAAATGTAATAATAAAGTATAGATAATTGGAGCAATAGAGTATGTTTCAAATAATGCATCAGGTGTTCCTAAAGTTCTGTAAAGTCTACCTACATAAAGTGCTTAAATTATTGTATCATGGTCAATTTTATCAAAACTTTTGATAATCTGTCTCCCATTCCTATTTGAAAGAAAAAAAATAGAGCGTTCAAATTACATAGACCCTATGTATTGATTCTTAGTAGTGTGTTTTAATCAACATGTGTTTTATTTTATATTGTTTTAATACATAGAAATGTCACTTGTGAAAAAAAAATCTACCTACTGTTGTATACACAAGGAAGCCTCAATCTTCAAAATAGTGTGTTAGTCTGCAAGACTGCCTTAACAAAATACCACAAATTGGGTGGCTTAAACAACAGAGGTTTATTTTCTCACAGTTCTGGAGTTTAGAAGTCCATGATCAAGGTGGAAGCAAATCGGTTTCTGTAAAATGCTGTCTTCCTGGCTTGTAGACAGTTATCTTCTCACTGTGTCCTCACATGGCCTTTCCTTTGTACATGTGCAGAGAGAGGCATTTCTGATGTCTCCTCGTATTCTTATAAGGACACTAGTCTTATGGAATTAGGGCCCCATCCTAATGAGCTCATTTAACCTTCCTTACCTTACTAAAGGCCCTATCTCACAATATAATCACACTGGGAGTTAGGGTTTCAACATAAGAATTTGGGGGAGGGCAAGGGACACAAGTCAGTCCATAACAAATGATGTTTTAAGAGTAAATGAAAACAATAATTAAAACAAAAACTACAAACACTTATAAAAAACTGTATGTCAAATATTTTATGCAAGACTATATGTCAAATACTGTTCTGAAAGCTTAATATTTATCTATATATTTAATCCTTCTAACAAGTCTTCAGGTTAGATAATATTATCAATATTTTACAAATGAGATAACAGGCACAGAAATGGAAACTTGCCCAAGTTTTCACAGCTAGTAAGATAGGATCCTGCTAATAGAGCCAGGGTACAAAATCATACAGGCCCCAGAGAGTACACTCAGTGAAACTACTAAAACCATCAAGTCAATTTAAGGATGGATCACTGAATCCCAACTTGTTTCTCAGCTTTATGAAGAGAACAGTCAATATGACTGCTATTTCATACCGGGGCTCATTGGCTTTTATGTAGAGGCATTCTCATTCATCTCTTTGAATTTTAAGATGAACATTAAGTCTTTCTGAAGAAAACTGTCAATTCAAGGTGTTTTCTATGACTGCCACTGGCTCTGCTAATATGCATATACTACAGATATATTTGCCATTTGAACAATTTAGTTATTCTTACAAGAGAGGCTTATGTCAGCATTCTGTGTGCGAGAACTCGTAAATGGAATAAGAGAAACTAAAGTGCATCACTTTATTGAGTGGGCTTGGATATTTGGTGTCTAAACGGCTTGTTAAGGAACTCATATGAATAATTCACTAAATATATTATGAACATTGTACAGAGGCACTTGAAAGATGGTATAAATGACCTGTAGTAATATTTTCCAAACCAGATAATAGCAATTTATGAAGACGGAAAAATTTGCCATTACTGTCATTTATTTTCCAAAACTTGATCTGTTGAGAAACTGAACAGACAGAAGAGTTGCATCAGATGATTTAATCAAACAAAATTTGTTTTGAAAGGTCATTTGCATCATTTTCTTTGAAAATTAATTCTCAATATTAAATCCTAACTAATAAGGCAGTTAAATAGTTTCAGTTCTTTCCAACTATCTGTTCCATTGAGCTGGAATTCCCATTAAAGCTAAAACACAGAATCAATTTTTTCACCTTGAAAACTTGCCTTCTTCTCAACCCAACCAACCTAAATATTTCTTTATTATAAACTGAGCATTAAACAGCCCCATTCACCTCACCAATCAATATCTTCAGGACAAAAGTTGGCAAAATTTTTGAGAACTAATATTGCTTATATTTTATAGTTATTCTCATTTTAATTTTAAAACCATGTTTAATCTATATTTTAACAGTTGTATTCTTCCTTTAACAATTATACTGTTTTCCTCAACAGTAGTATAATAGTTTCCTTTTTAATAAAATTTGAGTTAACAAAGGTTGATTTTAAAATTCAATATTTAGTAAATAATAGTGGATTGCATGCAAATAGCAGAAACCATGACAATGGTTTGTAAATGACTGAGAATTACACATCATTACATTATTCTAGTATATTCTTTTTAAATTAAAAATTATTTTACTCAGCTGCATGAAAAAGTTATTTGCAGCATTAAAAAATAATAACCACATGTAATAAATCTGACAATTATATAAACAAGATTAAAAGTTAAGAAAGTATAGGCCGGGCTTGGTGGCTCATGCCTGTAATCCCAGCACTTTGGGAGGCCGAGGAGGGCAGATCACCTGAGGTCAGGTGTTCGAAACCAGCCTGGCCATCATGGTGAAACCCCGTCTCTACTAAAAATACAAAAATTAGCTGGGGTTGATGCGCACACCCGTAATCCCAGCTACTCGGGGTGCTGAGGCATGAGAGTCGCTTGAACCTGGGAGGTGGAGGTTGCAGTGAGCCAAGACAGCACCGCCGCACTCCAGCCTGGGCAACAAGAGCAAAACTGTCTCAAAAAAAAAAAAAAAGAAAGAAAAGTTAAGAGAGTATAACATGCTTATCACTTATTGCTATTGACAAGAAAGGAGATCCAAATTCATCATGATCTCGTCTAGCCTGTACAGAGCCAGATTCTTGTCCTTCCTTTTTTAAAAAAATTTTCTTTTTTCCCTTTTTTTCCTTCTTTTCTTTTTTTTTTTTTGTGGATTGAAATGCTATGAAAAAAATCAATTTTCTATTTAAGCAGTTCATTACATCTTGAAATTTCACAATCACCTAGACCAACACTATAAGCAAAACCAATCTATGGCTTCCAATCTCTTCCAACTCCTACTTACTATATACGTGAGAAAAAGAAAGAAGTCTTTCTATATCAGTAATGGTAACAATAGTGACTATTTTGTTATGACATTCTTCTATCTCATGCCTTCAGTTATTCCTTGGGGGCTCCGCAACATAACCTCAATCTATTTATGTGACTTTTCTCCCATTGTTCTACAATTGAGAGATACTCATCTCCTTATTGTCCCCCAAACACACCTGGTTCAGGTTTATCCCTAATCCTGTTCTGTTCTATTTTCTCTACCTAAATGCATTTTTCTTTTTTCCCTATCTAGCCAAATGATTTCTATCCTTCTACCATGAAGGGTTTCATTTTCCAGAAAATCTTAGATTTAATTTATCTGGCCCTCTTGTAATCATCTGTACAATTTACTACCTACACATTAATTGCTATATTGCCATATTTGCTTATCTATGGCTTAGTTACTGAACTGGTTTATATCCATTTTCCCCCACTAGGATTTTAAGGTATTGGAATCGGGAATTATCTGTTGCAGGCATTTTTCCCCTGGAACTAAGCTATGCATATACAGTTATTTAGTAAATACCAAATAAATTAGCACTTGGTTATTTTATTTATGCCTCACCTTAATCAATAAATTTTACATGGCTCCACGAATTACATGCAGTAAAACAGTAAAATGTGTATGTATGTATATATGTATATATATATATACACACACACACACATATATGCACATCAGTCTCATATATAAAGATTATATTTATATACCAGGAAAAAGAAAACACAAAATAGTTGCCAATTATCATTTTATTAAACTACATATTTTATTTGTGTTTTATATATATATATAAATTGAGAAAAAGCAAAATACAAATTAAATAGGAAAGTAAAACAAAAATATATATGTCTATAAATGCATGTCTCATAAGAATCCACCAAGATTCAAAATAAGGGCTAAAATTTTGTTCTAGGATTTCTGACCACTAAAGGAAAATAAGTCCAGACACATGGCACGTGGTTTTCATGTTTTATAAGAAAATACTCCCAATTTCTTAGAAAAAACAAAGCTATTTCTAGAATAAATTTCTAAAAAAAATTTTCATAATGTCCAAATGAAGAATAGAACCTTGAAAGGTGATAGGTAAAATGGTCAACAGCCCTCTAGAATATGGCGTTTTTTCACAGATCCTCAATTAAAGCTAATGCCATAAATGTTAACTCCATCTCAGTAAACTTCAGGTTTTAAACATAACTGCTTGCCAGACTGAATAGATTGAAGAACATCATTCTAAATTATACACTCTATGGAGCTACCAGGACACATATCAAATTAATAAAAATAATTTAATAACATATATAATGCCATTCTAATTTCATTCTAATTCATTAAAACAAACCTATATCATAAGCATTTTTCTGTGTTTTCTCTATATCAGAAGAAACATATCTAAATCATACCAAGATGGCTAAAATTTTATGCTATTTAATATTGTGATATAATCTGTTCTCTCTGCCCCTTGCAGTCCTGCTAAACTGCACACCTTGGTAATGGACTTTTAGCTCATGCAGATTAACCTCCATTATTCCTGTCCATAGTTTGAAGGCTGAAAAAAATTCAACAAAATTTACAAACAATTATATTACTCTTTTTAAAAAAACTTTTATTTTAGGTTCAGGGGTACATATGCAGGTTTGTTATAGAGGTAAACACCTGTCACAGGGGTTTGTCGTACAGATTATTTTGTCACCCAGGTACTAAGCCTAGTACCCAGTAGTTATTTTTTCTTATCCTTTCCCTCCTCCCATCCTGCACCCTCAAGCAGGCCCCAGTGTGTGTTACTCCCCTCTTTGTGTCCATGTGTTCTCATCATTTAGATCCCACTTATAAGTGAGAACATGTGGTATTTGGTTTTCTGTTCCTGCATTAGTTTGAATTACTAGGTATATTACATTACTTTTAACAGGTATCTCAACACATTGATAAAGTGGCTGGTAGTAGAACAGCCATGTCTAAAACCCACTGTATCCTTGTTTAAGTATTTGCCAGAAAAACTCAGACCTGGAGATGTTTAAGGAGGAAACAGTCATGAGGTCTAGTCGGACTGTGTAGCAGACTGACTGACCTCAAATTTGAAAGGAGAAAAGCATCTCTCCTCAGAAAAGAGAGCACATAATTTGGGGCCTATCCAGGTGGGAATCTACCCGTGGAGTTGATTAAAGGAATCAACTGGTGGAAATGGAGCCCACCAGTCAGACCAGAACTGATTCAAGTTCTGGGCACAAAATGTCCTTGCTCATAACTTGTCCATGGGTGGGGTTAAAAGTGAAATCTCCAACAGATACATCATTTACCTATCTGTTAATAATGCCAGATTTTGGTCTTAATGCATTAGGAGAGGTCTTATTCTTATTAAATTGGCACAGCTCTCTCCACATAAAAGACAAAAGAGCACATCATCGTTCCAAGAGGGCATTTAAATCTCAAAAGATGCTTATCTGTATGTTAGGGAAGGTACTTGCAGAACCCCACACCCACCCTTTGGGCAGGTGACAACCGATAAGGCCTTATCTCAATGAGCATGAATTGGTGTATATTCATAAACAAAAAGTAGTTTTAAAATAGGTGAAGATATAAAACACAAGGGAGCCACACTATGTGTACAAATGCCTAAACTCCGACTCACCTCTCAGTTTATTGTATTTCAAATATAAAGTGCTTTGAAATATAAAATCTATGAGAAACATTAACATATTAGAGCCAACATATGGGTACATCATATAAAGACAATCTTAGTCAAGAATAGTATTAAAAACGAATTTGACAGATATTAATTAAGTCATTATCCTTTTTAAGATTAAAGTAAAATACAATTTTGTGATTGTGCTGACCCATAGCTAGTTTCTGAGGTTTTTAAGTCTCTCTGATTACAACATTCTTCTCAGGAAAGCACTTTACTTACACATGGACCAATATGCCACATATGTATGTGTGTATTCGCATTTTTTAGAGCTGTCATAACAAAATACCACAGACTGAGGGGCTTAAATCACAGAAATTTATTTTCTCACAGTTCTGGAGATTAGATGTCCCAGATCAAGGTGTCAGCAGGTTTGGTTTCTCCTGAGGCCTCCCTCCTTGGCTTGCAGATGACTGGCTTTTTACCGTGTCTTTGCATGGCCTTTCCTTTGTGTGCATACGTCTCTAGTGTCTCTTCCTCTACATACAAGAACATCAGTCCTATTTGATTAGTGCCCCATCCTTATGACATCATTTAATGTTAATTACCTCTTTAAAATCCCCGTCTCCAAATACAGTCACATTCTAAGGTACTGAGTGTTAGGGCCTGCATTAGCCCGTTTTCCCACTGCTGATAAAGACATACCCAAGACAGAGTAATTTATAAAGAAAAAGAGATTTAATGGACTCACAGTTCCACATGGCAGGGATGCCTCACAATCATGGTGGAAGGCGAAAGGTATGTCTTACATGGCAGCAGACAAGAGAGTGAGAGAGCCAAGTGAAAAGGGAAACCCCTTATAAAATCATCAGATCTCATGAGAGTTATTCACTGCCATGAGAACAGTATGGGGGAAACCGCCCCCATGATTCAGTTATCTCCCACCAGGTCCCTCCCACCACTCGTGGGAATTAGGGGAGCTACATTTCAAGACAAGATTTGGGTGGGGACACAGTCAAATCATATTAGGGCAACAGTATATGGATTTTGGGAGGTTGGAGGGGGCAAAATTCAGCCCATAACAGTGTGTATGTGTTTATTATGTGACTGCAATAAAGATTTACAAAGCAGTACTTACCCATACTCTATATTATGTGACCTGATATTGTCTTTCGATTCTAATACATTGTATTCTTCAAACAAACAAATCTTGGTTGTGACCCACTAGTTTAATTTTGTGACCCACTAATGAGTTGCAAATTGAAGTTTGACAACATTGACCAAGTATATCTGGACAAGTATATGGTCCACTGAGTTCTTGGAGTAGGAGAAACTGTGGGGATATTGGATGAGGTCGTATACATGGAGTAGTAATCACTAAAGAGTCAGCCAATTGAAAAATAATAGTAACAGTATGTTAAACATTATTTCAAAGTAGACTATGATACTGATTTTAAAAACTCTAGACTTCTGAATCATTGAGTCAAGAATAGGAAGGTAATTGCATTTGGAAAATTTCTAAGCTTTCTCGCTGCTGACTTAGAGAGGGATCACCAGTGTGACTTGGCAAATGCACTTCGAAGATGCAGGAGACTCTGCCAACCCAGTGAAAGGAGGCTGCTCAGCATAAGTACTAGATGTAGAGAAAGAGATCATGGGAGAAAAATGTGTTCAAGAGATGTTTCATCATAATCTAGCCATAAAGTCTTATTAAATCATCCTTCAGAGAAACTAGCCTTTCCATCTTTGGAAATATTATATTCTTCTAGGCACAGTGAGGACTAACACTCCATATGAAAGTATCCTGTCTGGGTTTCCTTGTGGTCTCTAGATTGTAGTACAATTTAGTAGTGGCAGCTTCTTATGTCCTAGATATGCCATTTCTCCCTTGGGCCTCGTAAGTTCATTGTTATTTCTATAAACCATTGACAGGCAAGCATTCTCTCTCCTTAACATCTGCTCCTCAACTGTTCTCTGTTCGTATAGTGCTTCAAATACTCTTATAGTCCTCTAGTGCAGGCACTGGGCTCTTTCTGAGAATAACACTTTAGAGAAAAGAAAAAAAATTAATATTTTTAAACTGGCAAAAAGAAGCATAATGTGTCACACTCTAAGACATCTACATTTGGGTAGGAGAGTCATGGCACAGATTTCCAAACTTCAGCTTGGTCTGTATTCCCTCCCACAAGGGTCCTGGTACAAGTAACTAAAAACTTGTTATAAACCCTAGACTCCTCATATTCCCAAAGGCAATCTGGTGCCTGGTTTTTCCCTTTAGATAAACACACAAATGTGTGTATGTATGTTTGCACACTTGTGTGCATTTGTGTATTTTTGGTGTGTATACCAACACACACACACACACTCACACACATGTATAGGTATACACATACATACATACATACACATGTGAATATACATGCATATGTTTATTCTGTAACGTCTTTTACATAAATATCAAAGAGCCATTCCAATGTCAATTTACCTAAACCCACTCTCCAGTGAGGTAGGAGATATTGCTTTCATTTTTATAAATAGACAACATATAGAACATAATTTTGACATCTCCCCCTTTATTTTAAAAGGTTAAAAATAGATCAAAACAAATCTCATCCCTTTTATTCTTTTCCTATAACAATAATTTCATTACTTTGTTAACTCTGAATATCTACCAGACTTTTCTTACTAAATTCAGTTTTTTAATGCTACGAAAGCAATCCAAGAACAACACTGAAGGGGAATTATCACAGTTTCTGGTGACTAAAATCACTCAGTTTTTGCTGTCTGGTTCATCCCTGAGGTTTCTTAAGAAGCTAAAATGTTTATTGTGACACAAAAGCCAAGTTCTATAATGTCTTCCTTCACAGCAGAGTTGACTAAATGCTTTCGTTTTCCCACATAGAGGTTTCAAGGCAATAACTTTGCATAGTAAGGAGAGTTGTCATAATGTCATTTTCAGGAAAGTCAAACACACATAGTGATGAAGCTGTTGACAGAAATATAAGTGAATTATGGCTTGGCAAAGCATGAAGCCATTAAAGGAAAAATGTCCTCCAAGTCATCCCTAAGGATCAGCAGATTTTATACATGACAGCTTTTCTTTGCTTAATGGAGTTTCAATGGGAATTATAGTAGCACAGTTTGCATTACACTATTCGTTATTTAACATGTTGAAATATGGCTCCTAGTCAGAGTAAGTTCTAGAGAGAAGCGGGAAATAAGGACCATAGAGACTTACCTAGAAATGGGGATTGAAATTCCATTTAAAACCCCATGTTCACACTTGGTGTAAGTGATATTTTAGGGAGAAACACTTCCCTAAATGAGTGATAGATTGGATGTTTCGATGGATTTTTTTTCCAACTCTAAGTTCTCTGAGTTTTTTAATAATTTTACATTAGACATTGTTAGATCTTTAAACTGAAGTTTAGAGATCCTTAAACTTAATACCGACTTGACTCAATCAACTTGACTCATAATTAGGACTAGTTGTTGTCTGCTTCATATCCAAAACATTTATTTGTAGAATCCAGCTAATACCACTGGCTTCCAAAGGACAAAGATTCAAAAGACTAAATTATAAAAGGTAACAACATTTTTTTTTTGAGACTGAGTCTCGTTCTGTCGCCCAGACTGGAGGTGCAGTGGCGCAATCTGCAAGCTTGCAGTGAGCAAGCTTGGCTCACTGCAAGCTCCGCCTCCCGGGTTCACGCCATTCTCCTGCCTCAGCCTCCCGAGTAGCTGGAAAAGGTAACAAAATTATTTATTGTGTACCTTGTTTTGGCCATATGCTGTGTTAAAGGTTTTATTTCACAATTAATCGTTTCAATTGCCCTGAGACAGCTGATCCTCTTTTTTCCCTTGGTACCAGAAACCAAATATTTTTAAAAATTACATGAAGACTATGAAAGCTGTTTTTTTGTGTCTTAGAGTTAATAGGGTGAGTGTTTATCATAGTGTTCTAATTTTATTCGAACTTTTCTTACTCAGTTTATTCCAAACACCTTTCCTTTCTGTAAAGTAGTTCAGAAAGTCTTCATGTCCTGGCTGAATTTATTCAGTCAAACCAAAAGGAGAAAATGCTGTTTAAATGCTGTTTAATACGTGTGTGTGGGTGTGTGTGAGTGAGTGTGTGTGTAGAGTAACATATATATATGTTTTATATATAAATAAAAGTTTATATATAAATATATATTTTTTATATATCAAATATATGCTTATATTTTATATATATATAATGTTTTTTTTTCTTTTTGAGACAGAGTCTCACTCTGGGATTACAGGCATCTGCCACCACACCCAGCTAATTTTTGTATTTTTAGTAGAGATGGGTTTCACCATGTTAGCCAGGCTGGTCTCGAACTCCTGACCTCAAGAGATCTACCCACCTCGACCTCCCAAAGTGCTGAGATTACAGGCATGAGCCACCCCGCCTGGCCAAAATGTTATATATATATATATATATATATATATATATATATATATATATATATATATATATACACACACACACATACATACATACATATATATAACTATATATAAACATATATATAACTATATATATAATTTTATTTATATATAAAAAGTTTTATATATATGTTACTTATTATACATCATACTCATTAAACATTATATTCATTCAACATTATACATTATACTATGCTTGACCAACTATATCACACCTAAAAGCTACTCATTTATATATATATATATAAATCTATATATATAAATCAAGCATAGTTTCTATTAAGAATGTGTCAGTGTCTTTGTGTTTATTTTAGAGTGTAAATACCTTGCTAAGGTCACCTGGATGATGGTTCTGCCATGAGCTCCAAGTTCTTTGTGATAACTTAGATGTCCAGCATCATGTACAATCATGTACAGATCCACTTGAATAGAGCATCACTGTATTTCTATGACTATAAGCTATTAAGGAGTAATCATAGATTGCTGAGTAGAAGATAGCAAACCAGTTTGACTGAATTGACATGGGTAAAACCCTTACTTGAAATACGGGAGTAAGTAGTATTGCTTATCTGGAAAACTAAAAGTTAACATTCAGGAGAGTCTAGAGAGATTCAGTATTGGCAGAGAAAGTAAATTGAAATGAGAATGAGAGGATTTGGTTGTTAGGGGACTAGGCTCCCAATCCTGGCTCTCTCCACCTGGCTTTGTGTCATTGGGCACATACTGGGTCTTAGTTTTACCTATAAAATGGGTTGTTGGATTAGATTTTTTTTACATCTTCAGTTGCCCCTTTTTTCTCCCATTTTAAATCTTTTTGGAAGCTCTAAAAATGTACTAAATTGAATACTTGACTACATGGACAGTTCTGCTGTTCCTTTATTTTACCCAGTTCTTCAATTAAAGCTGATTATGTCACAATTGATTTCATTGCAGAGATCACTGGTCAGGTAAAAACACAAATTGAGTCAGTTTAACTTATTAGCATAAGTTAATATATGGGAGATCTTGGCCATTTATGAGTTGTCTTATTCTTTCTTCTATGCACCTGCCACACTTTATATATATATATATATATACACATATATAAATATATACCAATTACATAGATTTTAGCAACTGATACGTTGTATTGTCCTGTTTTATACCTAAGAAGCCTGTAATTCTCACTGCCTGGATAATGTGGATAAATTTTTTAGTGTCTTGGATTGAGATTTGGCTATATTTCTTTATTTATAACTTTGTAGACTACAGTTACTGAAGTGAAGGTTTGCTACTGATTTATGAGTAATGGGTGCTAAAATAAAGTATTACCTCATATTTTATTTATGAATATGTTTAAATATACCTATTAGGTCAAGTAAATCCGAACCATGGAAACTAAATATCTGTAAAATAGTTAAAGTTGAAATTCGTAAGATCAGCAAATATAACTATAGCTCTTTCTACACACCAGATATTATTTTAAGTGCTTTAGAGATATAATCTCATAATTTCCACAGCAACCCTTTAAGGTCAGCACCATACTGAACCTCATTTTTCGGAGAGATTAAGTAACTTTCGACACAGCTGACAAATGGCAGAGTTGGGGGTTGAACTAAAGTAGTCTGAAACCAGAGTCCACATCTGCCTGAACATGAGAAATATTTTCCTGTCTTTAAGTTAACCAGTAAAAATGAAAATAGATGATTTTTTATAAGATTAATTTTTCTAGAGCAGTATTGGCAAACTAGTACATGAGGGAATTCTAGCCTTCTGTTTTTGAAATAAAGTTTTATTGGAACACAGCCATATGCATCCATTACATCTTGTCTATGACTGATTTCACATTACAATGTCAAAGCTGAGTAGTTACCACAGAGACTGTATGGCCCACAAAACTTAAAATATTTACTATGCTACCTATTACAGAAAACATTTGCAGACTTGTGATCTAGAGGAATCCTACTCAAGTTTCTTCTCTTTGAATAATCAGCCTTCTTCCAACCTTCCTCTTGTAAATCCATAATGAGAAAGTGTCACTGATAATATATATTCACATCCATTCTGCCCATGCCAGGATTCAAAACATGGCATTCTTTTTGCCTTTTTTTTTTAACCATTCAAGCCAACTTTCTTATCTATTTCCTTTTCTTTCAATCATTTAAAAAAATTTTAAATCTTTACTTTGTTAGCATTTATTTTATTTTTCATATATGTAATATTAAAGTCCACATTTAACTCTGATTAAAATATCTTTCATATCTCATATTTATTAACATATGTAGTAGGTAAGTGACTTTCTTTTTTTCTTCTTGTGCTGATCTCGAATCAGTCTGCTCTCAGATCCATTCCTTCCCCTTCTTTGGCTTTACTCTCTATCGGAGGGGACCTGATCCCTGCAGCCTTTATTTAAGAGATTCCTCAAACAGATGGCATCCAGCTGGATTCAACAATAGGAGGCCTCTGGAAGACGGGGAGGTAGGGAAAAGCCAAAGTATTTCTTGCCCTCCTTGCACCTACTCCATGGTTTATTGTGGTTCCAGTTTACTAGATGATGGGGTGGGAGACACGGCTACAGCTCATGGATTCTAATAACATCCTCTCCCCGCTCTGGTCCAAGCCTCTTGATATGGCTAATTTCTGTACTGTCTCATCACTCCATTTGGCTTTGTTGCCTTTCCATCTCTTGTATAACCAATTCCCCTGCATTTAATTACTTTGGGTTCTTGAAGTGATTTCTTTTTTTTTTTTTTTAATACTTTAAGTTTTAGGGTACATGTGCACAATGTGCCGGTTAGTTACATATGTATACATGTGCCATGCTGGTGTGCTGCACCCATTAACTCGTCATTTAGCATTAGGTATATCTCCTGATGCTATCCCTCCCCCCTCCCCCGACCCCACAACAGTCCCCAGAGGGTGTTGTTCCCCTTCCTGTGTCCATGTGTTCTCATTGTTCAATTCCCACCCATGAGTGAGAACATGCAGTGTTTGGTTTTTGTCCTTGAGATAGTTTACTGAGAATGATGATTTCCAATTTCATCCATGTCCCTACAAAGGACATGAACTCATCATTTTTTATGGCTGCATAGTATTCCATGGTGTATATGTGCCACATTTTCTTAATCCAGTCTATCATTGTTGGACATTTGGATTGGTTCCAAGTCTTTGCTTTTGTGAATAGTGCCGCAATAAAAATATGTGTGCATGTGTCTTTATAGCAGCATGATTTATACTCCTTTGGGTATATACCCAGTAATGGGATGGCTGGGTCAAACGGTATTTCTAGTTCTAGATCCCTGAGGAATCACCACACTGACTTCCACAATGGTTGAACTAGTTTACAGTCCCACCAACAATGTAAAAGTGTTCCTATTTCTCCACATCTTCTCCAGCACCTGTTGTTTCCTGACTTTTTAATGATTGCCATTCTAACTGGTGTGAGATGGTATCTCATTGTGGTTTTGATTTGCATTTCTCCGATGGCCAGTGATGGTGAACATTTTTTCATGTGTCTTTTGGCTGCATAAATGTCTTCTTTTGAGAAGTGTCTGTTCATATCCTTCACCCACTTTTTGATGAGGTTGTTTGTTTTTTTCTTGTAAATTTGTTTGAGTTCATTGTAGATTCTGGATATTAGCCCTTTGTCAGATGAGTAGGTTGTGAAAATTTTCTCCCATTTTGTAGGTTGCCTGCTCACTCTGATGGTGGTTTCTTTTGCTGTGCAGAAGCTTTTTAGTTTAATTAGATCCCATTTGTCAATTTTGTCTTTGTTGCCATTGCTTTTGGTGTTTTAGACATGAAGTCCTTGCCCATGCCTATGTCCTGAATGGTATTGCCTAGATTTTCTTCTAGGGTTTTTATAGTTTTAGGTCTAATATTGAAGTCTTTAATCCATCTTGAATTAATTTTTGTATAAGGTGTAAGGAAGGGATCCAGTTTCAGCTTTCTACATATGGCTAGCCAGTTTTCCCAGCACCATTTATTAAATAGGGAATCCTTTCCCCATTGCATGTTTTTCTCAGGTTTGTCAAAGATCAGATAGTTGTAGATATGCGGTGTTATTTCTGAGGGCTCTGTTCTGTTCCATTGATCTATATCTCTGTTTTGGTATCAGTATCATGCTGTTTTGGTTACTGTAGCCTTGTAGTATAGTTTGAAGTCAGGTAGTGTGATGCCTCCGGCTTTGTTCTTTTGGCTTAGGATTGACTTGGCAATGTGGGCTCTTTTTTGGTTCCATATGAACTTTAAAGTAGTTTTTTCCAATTCTGTGAAGAAAGGCATTGGTAGCTTGATGGGGATGGCATTGAATCTATAAATTACCTTGGGCAGTATGGCCATTTTCACGATATTGATTCTTCCTACCCATGAGCATGGAATGTTCTTCCATTTGTTTGTATCCTCTTTTATTTCCTTGAGCAGTGGTTTGTAGTTCTCCTTGAAGAGGTCCTTCATGTCCCTTGTAAGTTGGATTCCTAAGTATTTTATTCTCTTTGAAGCAATTGTGAATGGGAGTTCACTCATGATTTGGCTCTCTGTTTGTCTGTTATTGGTGTATAAGAATGCTTGTGATTTTTGTACATTGATTTTGTATCCTGAGACTTTGCTGAAGTTGCTTATCAGCTTAAGGAGATTTTGGGCTGAGACAATGGGGTTTTCTAGATATACAATCATGTCGTCTGCAAACAGGAACAATTTGACTTCCTCTTTTCCTAATAGAATACCCTTTATTTCCTTCTCCTGCCTAATTGCCCTGGCCAGAACTTCCAACACTATGTTGAATAGGAGTGGTGAGAGAGGGCATCCCTGTCTTGTGCCAGTTTTCAAAGGGAATGCTTCCAGTTTTTGCCCATTCAGTATGATATTGGCTGTGGGTTTGTCATAGATAGCTCTTATTATTTTCAGATACATCCCATCAATACCTAATTTATTGAGAGTTTTTAGCATGAAGTGTTGTTGAATTTTGTCAAAGGCCTTTTCTGCATCTATTGAGATAATCATGTGGTTTTTGTCTTTGGCTCTGTTTATATGCTGGATTACATTTATTGATTTGCATATATTGAACCAGCCTTGCATCCCAGGGATGAAGCCCCCTTGATCATGGTGGATAAGCTTTTTGATGTGCTGCTGGATTCGGTTTGCCAGTATTTTATTGAGGATTTTTGCATCAATGTTCATCAAGGATATTGGTCTAAAATTCTCTTTTTTGGTTGTGTCTCTGCCCGGCTTTGGTATCAGGATGATGCTGGCCTCATAAAATGAGTTAGGGAGGATTCCCTCTTTTTCTATTGATTGGAATAGTTTCAGAAGGAATGGTACCAGTTCCTCCTTGTACCTCTGGTAGAATTCAGCTGTGAATCCATCTGGTCCTGGACTCTTTTTGGTTGGTAAGCTGTTGATTATTGCCACAATTTCAGCTCCTGTTATTGGTCTATTCAGAGATTCAACTTCTTCCTGGTTTAGTCTTGGGAGAGTGTCTGTGTCAAGGAATTTATCCATTTCTTCTAGATTTTCTAGTTTATTTGAGTAGAGGTGTTTGTAGTATTCTCTGATGGTAGTTTGTTTTTCTGTGGGATTGGTGGTGATATCCCCTTTATCATTTTTTATGGTGTCTATTTGATTCTTCTCTCTTTTTTTCTTTATTAGTCTTGCTAGCGGTCTATCAATTTTGTTGATCCTTTCAAAAAACCAGCTCCTGCTGGATTCATTAATTTTTTGAAGGATTTTTTGTGTCTCTATTTTCTTCAGTTCTGCTCTGATTTTAGTTATTTCTTGCCTTCTGCTAGCTTTTGAATGTGTTTGCTCTTGCTTTTCTAGTTCTTTTAATTGTGATGTTAGGGTGTCAATTTTGGATCTTTCCTGCTTTCTCTTGTGGGCATTTAGTGCTATAAATTTCCCTCTACACACTGCTTTGAATGTGTCCCAGAGATTCGGGTATGTTGTGTCTTTGTTCTCGCTGGTTTCAAAGAACATCTTTATTTCTGCCTTCATTTCGTTATGTACCCAGTAGTCATTCAGGAGCAGGTTGTTCAGTTTCCATGTAATTGTATGGTTTTGAGTGAGTTTCTTAATCCTGAGTTCTAGTTTGAATGCACTGTGGTCTGAGAGACAGTTTGTTATAATTTCTGTTCTTTTACATTTGCTGTGGAGAGCTTTACTTCCAACTATGTGGTCAATTTTGGAATAGGTGTGGTGTGGTGCTGAAAAAAATGTATATTCTGTTGATTTGGGGTGGAGAGTTCTGTAGATGTCTATTAGGTCCACTTGGTGCAGAGCTGAGTTCAATTCCTGGGTATCCTTGTTACCTTTCTGTCTCGTTGATCTGTCTGATGTTGACAGTGGGGTGTTAAAGTCTCCCATTATTATTGTGTGCGAGTTTAAGTCTCTTTGTAGGTCACTCAGGACTTGCTTTATGAATCTGGGTGCTCCTGTATTGGGTGCATATATATTTAGGATAGTCAGCTCTTCCTGTTGAATTGATTCCTTTAGCATTATGTAATGGCCTTCTTTGTCTCTTTTGATCTTTGTTGGTTTAAAGTCTGTTTTTTCAGAGACTAGGATTGCAACCCCTGCCTTTTTTTGTTTTCCATTTGCTTGGTAGATCTTCCTCCATCCTTTTATTTTGAGCCTGTGTGTGTCTCTGCATGTGAGATGGGTTTCCTGAATACAGCACACTGATGGGTCTTGACTCTTTATCCAATTTGCCAGTCTGTGTCTTTTAATTGGAGCATTTAGTCCATTTACATTTAAAGTTAATGTTGTTATGTGTGAATTTGATCCTGTCATTATGATGTTAGCTGGTTATTTTGCTCATTAGTTAATGCAGTTTCTTCCTAATCTCGATGGTCTTTACATTTTGGCATGATTTTGCAGCGGCTGGTACTGGTTGTGCCTTTCCATGTTTAGTGCTTCCTTCAGGATCTCTTTTAGGGCAGGCCTGGTGGTGACAAAATCTCTCAGCATTTGCTTGTCTGTAAAGTATTTTATTTCTCCTTCACTTATGAAGCTTAGTTTGGTTGGATATGACATTCTGGGTTGAAAATTCTTTTCTTTAAGAATGTTGAATATTGGCCCCCACTGTCTTCTGGCTTGTAGAGTTTCTGCTGAGAGATCTGCTGTTAGTCTGATGGGCTTCCCTTTGTGGGTAACTCGACCTTTCTCTCTGGCTCCCCTTAACATTTTTTCCTTCATTTCAACTTTGGTGAATCTGACAATTGTGTGTCCTGGAGTTGCTCTTCTCGAGAAGTATGTTTGTGGCATTCTCTGTATTTCCTGAATTTGAAAGTTGGCCTGCCTTGCTAGATTGGGGAAGTTCTCCTGGATAATATCCTGCAGAGTGTTTTCCAACTTGGTTCCATTCTCCCCATCACTTTCAGGTACACCAATCAGATGCATATTTGGTCTTTTCACATAGTCCCATATTTCTTGGAGGCTTTGTTCGTTTCTTTTTATTCTTTTTTCTCTAAACTTCCCTTCTCACTTCATTTCATTCATTTCATCTTCCATCACTGATACCCTTTCTTCCAGTTGATCGCATCAGGTCCTGAGGCTTCTGCATTCTTCACGTAGTTCTCGAGCCTTGGCTTTCAGCTCCATCAGCTCCTTTAAGCACTTGTCTGTATTGGTTATTCTAGTTATACATTCGTCTAAATTTTTTTCAAAGTTTTCAACTTCTTTGCCTTTGGTTTGAATTTCCTCCTGTAGCTCGGAGTAGTTTGATTGTCTGAAGCCTTCTTCTCTCAACTCGTCAAAGTCATTCTCCATCCAGCTTTGTTCCATTGCTGGTGAGGAACTGCGTTCCTTTGGAGGAAGAGAGGCATTCTGCTTTTTAGAGTTTCCAGTTTTTCTGCTTTGTTTTTTCCCCATCTTTGTGGTTTTATCTACTTTTGGTCTTTGATGATGGTGATATACAGATGGGTTTTTGGTGTGGATGTCCTTTCTGTTTGTTAGTTTTCCTTCTAACAGACAGGACCCTCAGCTGCAGGTCTGTTGGAGTTTGCTAGAGGTCCACTCCAGACCTGTTTGCCTGGGTATCAGCAGCGGTGTCTGCAGTACCACGGATTTTCGTGATCCGTGAATGCTGCTGTCTGATCGTTCCTCTGGAAGTTTTGTCTCAAAGGAGTACCCGGCTGCGTAAGGTGTCAGTCTGCCCCTACTGGGGGGTGCCTCCCAGTTAGGCTGCTCAGGGGTCAGGGGTCAGGGACCCACTTGAGGAGGCAGTCTGCCTGTTCTCAGATCTCCAGCTGCGTGCTGGGAAAACCACTGCTCTCCTCAAAGCTGTCAGACAGGGGCATTTAAGTCTGCAGAGGTTACTGCTGTCTTTTTGTTTGTCTGTGCCCTGCCCCCAGAGGTGGAGCCTACAGAGGCAGGCAGGCCTCCTTGAGCTGTGGTGGGCTCCACCCAGTTCGAGCTTCCCGGCTGCTTTGTTTACCTAAGCGAGCCTGGGCAATGGCGGACGCCCCTCCCCCAGCCTTGCTGCCGCCTTGCAGTTTGATCTCAGACTGCTGTGCTAGAAATCAGTGAGACTCCGTGGGCATAGGACCCTCTGAGCCAGGTGCAGGATATAATCTCCTGGTGTGCCATTTCCTGAGCCCATCGGAAAAGCACAGTATTCGGGTGGGAGTGGCCCAATTTTCCAGGTGCCATCTGTCACCCCTTTCCTTGACCAGGAAAGGGAACTCCCTGACCCCTTGCGCTTCCCGAGTGAGGCAATGCCTCACCCTGCTTCGGCTGGTGCACAGTGCATTGCACCCACTGTCGTGAGCCCACTGTCTGGCACTCCCTAGTGAGATGAACCCGGTACCTCAGATGGAAATGCAGAAATCACCCATCTTCTGCGTGGCTCAGGCTGGGAGCTATAGACCGGAGCTGTTCCTGTTCGGCCATCTTGGCTCCTCCCCCTAAAGTGATTTCTTTACTTTGGTTTGACATTGACCATTATAATTCTATTTTGTATGATATTTAGAGATAGACTATACTCTTAACATTTTGTTAATTGTCAAGCATGACTTTACAAAAAAAACAGGCCTGTGAGAGTTAATTACCCAAGTCTTTTACATGAAGTATATGTTTGCAAAAATATACCACTAGTGGAACAATCTTATAAATTGAAGGCACACACACAGACACACACACACAAGACTTTCCACTTACTTTGAATTCTGTTCAAGCACAACAGATTGCCAAATTCCATAGAAAAAAAATAATAAACCCAATCTTCCTTTGCAAGCATGATACATTTCATCTTAACCAAACATATTTCAAAGTTTCAGCCTTTAGACGCAAAGAATTACTGGAAAATTCAAAATTAAATATAATACATGAGAATTTAAGAAAAAAAAGCCTCTTTCTGCTATTTCCTCATTCTGAAGCTGAACACTCAGTCAGAACTCAGCATGAAGGCAACATGAATGCCTCCCTTAGGATTCTTGCCTTTCCCAAACATAGAAACCAAATGTGACCTGTAATGTGATGCTGAAGTGAAAAAGAATAATCGTCAATAGATATTTTCAGATTTAGAGTTTAGCATGCCTTGTTCTGTAAAAAATGGTTTCATATATATATCACATTTTACACATGACATAGTTTTATATATTATATATAAAATTTTATGTTTTTCTTTTCAAAAAACTGCAAAAATTTGAGATAAAATACATTATAGGTCATGTACATAAACTTTAGGAATACTTATATGAATACACAGTGTCTTTTTTATTATCAGAAACAGCAATCAGTGTTAGGAAATACATTTTAATATCTCTTGATGCTGAAAGCAGGATGACATTAAGGATGTTTTTTATTGGCTGAAAATTTACTGAATTTCTTATTATTCTTTCCTTCCTCCTCTCTCATTTTTTCCAACTTCTCTTTATTCTTATTTTAAGTATGCTTTGTAATGTTATGGCAAGAGTAGGGATTTTGGAGTCAGGGACATTCAGATGCAAATCTCAGATTCTCCACTTCTTATCTGGGACAATTACATACTTCTTTGAAAGTTTTATTTCCTCCCTTGCAAAATATGTGTAATGCTATCTCTTCCACAGAAATTTTTAGAAAAAATATATTCAATTCCTTTCAATATGCGCACTCAGTATATCTTAGTACCCTCTACTTCATACCCTTTTCTCCCTGCTACCTTCAGTATTTAACATAAAAGCCAACAAGTGCCATACACACCATTATCTGTGTTAATTTTCCCTCTTGTAAGCTTGGATTGCCTTTTTATAAATATATCCATTTGAAGAATTAGAGGAAAATATGAATATGCAAATTTGTAATTCTATTTTATTTCTGTTTATTCCTTTATATCTCTACCTCCAGCTAATTTTAATTTAAACAACCATTTAGAAGGTCTATAGAATTCTCCTTCTTTTTTTTTTTTTTTTTTTTTTGAGACGGAGTCTTGCTCTGCCACCCATGCTGGAGTGCAGTGGCATGATCTCTGCTCACTGCAAGCTCTGCCTCCTGGGTTCATGCTATTCTCCTGCCTCAGCCTCCTGACTAGCTGGGACTACAGGTGCCCACTACCACGCCTGGCTAATTTTTTGTATTTTTAGTAGAGACGAGGTTTCACCATGTTAGCCAGGATGGTCTCAATCTCCTGACCTCGTGATCTGCCCGCCTCGGCCTCCCAAAGTGCTGGGATTACAGGCATGAGCCACCACGCCTGGCCTCCCTTTTTTACTTACTCCTCCAATCCATGCATAGTAAGCCTCTCTTACCCTCACCACCACCCACACAACTTAGTAGGAAATGCACAGCCAGACATGGGAAGATAAAAAAGAGATATAGATAAGGGAATTTGTAAGCCTGACAGGAGAGTCAAGGCTTTTGCTCCAAAAGACCTGTAGGATGAGCCACTAATTAGAAAGGCCATTTACTTGGAGCAAGTAACAGGTTGTCATAGGTGAAATTCTGGTAATTCTATTAGAATAACATGTGTGTTGTCAATTATAGACAGCTAACTCCCTGGAGATGCTAAAGCCTGAAAACGAGGCAAATTATAAATATTCAGCATGAATATTGCTCAGGAGGTGAAAGCCAATATTTGAAAGACATGTTCTCATTTTACTGACTTTTGTTCCATTGTGATAGAAAAATCCTACTCTAGACTGATTATTTATGCAAGTCCCTAAACTTCAATGAAACATAAGCAGGATATATTTCCACATGCCTATACCATCCATAGCTCTAAGTTCCTAAGTTATCTCAAAGGGGATGGTTTAGCCAGTTGCCAATTGCCATACATTACTTGTTTTTGTTGCACAGGTATAACTTAGAATCCTACTTTTTATACCACTTAGATATTATGGGGTGCTTTCTAATAAACATTTTAACTTTTCCATTGAAGTATTTCATTTGATATCAAGCCAGGCACTTTTAAAAGTATATATTTTTACTAATAATGCAAGAAAAGGCATGGTTGGAGAGAGGGGTGGGGGATTAAGGAACTGGGGAAGATACTCTTTGCTGTTACTCCCAGGAAGGGTAACAGGCCTTGATGTTTTCAAAATACAGGCTTTCTTTGTGAATCCACTAAAATTCATTGTTTTAGAAATTAAATGATTGTGAGAGTGAGAGAAGATATAAAATAAACCTTTCATGTTTCAAGAAGTTAAAAACAAATTACCTAAACCCCTGGCATAAAACTGACCCACTTCTTGCCTCCCACGATTGGGAAGGTCTCAGTCTCTGCTGGTTTTACCAGGTGAGCAATTTAAACAACTCTGGGGCCAGGACGCCTGAGGTGTGTGGTTTTGAAGGGAAAGGGCTGTTGGGGGTGCTGCCAGGAGAGACTCAGAGCTGAGTCATGGGGACACAGCCAGAAAATTCAGAGGAAACATGGCTATTTATGACATCTCCTTCTTTGGACATAGAATCCAGGAAGGAGACTTGATTACACTCTACAGCACTAGTGCCAGACAGACTGGGCAGAATTGGATTAGCTGGTGTTGGGACAGCTAGACTAGAAGATACCAAGTGCAGTGGAGAACTGAGGAATTCTAGGGCTTTTTCCTGCTGGAAAGGGAAGTCAGGTGGATCTCCCTTTTGGATTATATAGGCCCCTTGAGATTTTAATCATTACAGAATGGAGAGCCAGGGGAGGGTGATACTTCTTGCCAAACAGGTAAGGACACAGAGTTGATTCTAGCTTAATGTGAAAATTAAAAGGATCATTGAAACATTACCAGTACCCTGATTATCATGGAATATTGTATATCTGTTGTTTTTAATTAACCTCAATGACCATTAGTTAGTTTTTTCAGCTTTCACAGGAGTAGTAAATAAAAAATCTCTTTTGATCTATAATACCACTTTTGCTGTCAAACTGCGTAGTGATGGGGGACGTACAGTAAATTTGAATTATCACTCAAGCGGCTGTTTCCAAATTACCCAACTTTCTTCACAATATTATATATCTCAGCTCTATTTCCACTCCATTTGCAAAACTGCATAATTGTTTGAGGTTTGTGAACAAATTGCTACATAATACCACGGAAAAATCATGTGTTGTCATCATGGCTATACTATTTGCAATTATGCTTTAATCTGTCTTGATTCTTTGCTGTCTGATCAAAGTGTGACCTTGTCATCCAAATGGCTGGATAGTTCTTGGCAGAGCCATGAGCGGTAAAAGACAGAAGTGTATATATAAAACATTTTATATATATACACACATACACGTGCACACACATATCTTTACACTATACAAACATATATGTCTATATGTTTCTACCTTTCTGCTGAGTCTTATGTAGGTTTTGAGTTTTAAAACTGATATAACTAATACAATGAATTAGCAAGGTATTTGGAAAATATTCAGAAAGCAATACTATTCTTTATCTTAAATTGTCCATCCAAGCTTGGCAGGTTCTTTCTCTGAGTCCGGGAGAAATTTTAGTCAGATTTCCTATAATCTCTAACAGCTTTGATAAATAATGGGCATACAGTAGACTGCATATACTTAAAGCACATAATGTGATAAGCTGTAACATCAAATATATAAGTATGTACTTTCAAACCCATTATTTCAATTAAGGTGGTAAATCTCCACCAAAAGTTTTATCATGCCCCATTTTAATTTCTCTCACCCACCCTTTTCATTCTCCATCCCGAAGCAATCACTGATCTGCTTCTCTCACTATGTTAAGTTTTCTAGAACAGTATATAAATGAAATCATACAACATGTAATTTTGTTTGTCATATATCTTTCATTCCACACAATTATTTTGAGATTCATCCATGTTGTAGTGTGTATTCGTATTTCATTCCTTTTTATTGTTGAGTAGTATTTCATTTTAAGGATATACTATAATTTTGTAAAACCAGTTACCTGTTGATGGGCATTTGTGCTGTTTCCAGATTTTCACTAAAATTACTATGAATATTCAAGTACAATATTTTATATGCACATATATTTTATAGCTTTGGGTAAGACAAAGATTTTTTACATATAAAACTAAAAACAATCTACAGAAGAACGAATTAAAAATGTTTGCTTTTTAAAAAAACACCGTAAAGAACATGTAAAAGCAAGACAAAGACTAGGAGAAAATATCTGCAAATCATATACATGATAAATGGCTTATTTGCAGAATATATTTTTTCAATCACAAAACTCAATAATAAAACAAAATAAAAATTGGGAAAAGATTTGAATAGACACATTATCAAAGAAGGCTTAAGGGTGGCAAATAAGCATATGAAAATTTGGCAAATACTATTAGTTATTAGGGAAATTCAGAGCAAAACCTCAGAGAGATACCACCACATACTTACTTACTGAAAGTAAAGACTGATCATACCAAGTATTGGAGAGATTGTAGAATGAGAACTCTCATATAATGCTGGAGGGAATTTAACATTGTTATGATCACTTTGGAAAACAATTAGATCATTTCTTAAAATGTATCATTCCCACAGTTTTACTCCTGATATTTACTCAAGAGAAATGAAATAATAAGTCTGCAACATTTTTTTCACTCTCAGGTAATAAAAGTTCATCTAGCCATATTTAGTCATCAAAAGTTTTTATCACTCTCAGGTAATAAAAGTTCCTCTAGCCATATTTAGTCATCAAAATAATCTTTTTATGCTGAGTAAAATTTCCATTTTCACATAGTAATGGAAACTCTAAACTACAGTCAAAATCAAAGCTTCTTCTCTCCCCAAGCTCAGCCTTGCTTAAAGTTGATAGCCTGAAGAGGAAAAGGGTTGCATGACTAACCTCTTCTTAGTCCCTCTTCAGCCATCAAATCCTTCATCCCTACATCACTAGCTGAGAGTTCTGTTCCTTCTGAGGGACTGGCCCAGGAGAAAAACATACCAGGATCTCATATGACAGTATCAGAATAATATGGTTTCCTTTGGTTTAGGTCGAACTGACCTTTTCCTTTTTTTTAAGAGATTATTTGTGGGCTTCAGGGAGATATTCCTTCCATACCACTTCCAGTTGCTGAAATGTCTTGTTGCAGATCCCTGACATCTCTGGCAGGATACTTGTGACTCCTCATCAGATTTGGGAAACCAGATACCATGCCCCTATACATATTCTTCATGGACTAGCTCTCTCATCCATGGGGCTCATATCTCATCCTCAGAAAGTACTAATGCATGGTTCAGCTTAAGTAACTCTGGGAGTCAAGGTTATTGCCAAAATGACAACCTCTTCTCAGAACTGGACACAGTGTCTCAAGATGATGGCTCACAGAAAAGTTTTCTGTAACCCCTGACCTCCAGGGACACAGTTCAAGCTCTCCAAGGCCTTAAGGTGAATGGAATATACCACTAATTTTTCCTCCGTGGGAATTGGCATCAGGACTCTTAGTGCCCTTTTTAAATGTGTTGATGTTAGAGTGTGAAGAAATACTTCTATTTTCCAAACAACAATAACTTCAGCAACTTGAACTCTTTTGACCTTAAAAGGACATGCAGAACTATTTATCACAAAACTGATTTTTGAGCATGTCTTTATAACCCTATTTCATTATGCTCACACCTTACTTTAGAATGCAGAAGTGCTTGCCATATATATATATACACATATATTCATACCTATATTCATACATACATATATGAAAAATTATATAATATATATACACACATACATATATATATGTATACACACATACCTATATCTATGTGTGTGTATAGATACATATATATGAGAAAAGAAATTCTCTTGGGACCAGAAATGGAGATGCAGCTCTAAAAGAAAGAAGCCAACCAGAGGTACAGCTCTAAACAAAAGTAACCTCCATGGATCTGAAGCTGACTCTGCACTAAAGCAGTGAGGAGATCTTTTCTTTAAAAAGAAGAATAATGAAGACATAAAGCACTTGAGAATCCCAAAATATGTGAGGAAATTCAACACCAGCACGTTCCCAGCTAAGGTGGAACAAGGTGACACTTCGACTTCTTGTTTCAATTCTCATACCGTGAACAACTGTCATGGTCTATATAGTGCCATGTTTTTCACACTTTTGTACTTTTTGTTGGTGATTCCCTTGCCTAAAATGGCCCTTAAGCATAATGCTGAAGTGTTGGCTAGCATTCCTAAGAACAAGAGGACTGTGATGTGCCTTTCAGGGAAAATAGGTGTGCTACATGCAATTCTTTCAGGCGTAAATTATAATGCTGTTGGCTCTGAGTTCAATGTGAATCAATCAATAAGACATCTTAAGTAATGTTTGCTTAAACAGAAATATACATAAAACAAGCTTGGGTATTCATCAGTTGATGAAAATGCTGTGACCAGAGGCTTACAGGCACCTAACCTTGTATTTCTCCTAGAAGCAATGGTTCAATAACTCTTAAGTCAGTGTTCCCGGAGCCATTATAGCATATAATTGCTGTGAATAACAAGAGTCAACTGTAAATAAGTAAATAAATAGCAACCATATTAGAAAGAAAAACATGAAACTCCTTATTCACAGACAAATCAGCTCTACCTAGAAAATCCTATAAAAATGGTACTAGAATGTATTAGTATGTTTAGAGAGTTCATGAGATAGTTAATACACAAAAATAAATTGCATTTCCACATAAAAAATCAAGCAATCAGAAACTGAAATTTTTGAAAAAAAATAACAGCACAAAAATATATATATTGCTTATGGATGACCTAACAGAAGAAGTGAAACACCTGTACACAAATACAAAGTATTGCTGAGAGAAATTAAAGACCTATATAAATACAGAGACATATATGTTTATGGAATAGAAAACACAATATAGTAAAGAAATCAATTATCTCCAGACTTATCTAAAGTATCAATGTAATCTCAACCAAAATTCTATCAGAGACTTTTGTAGAATTGACCAGCTGACTCAAATTCACAAGGGAATTCATTAGAACTTAAAATAGCCAAAAATATCTTTAAGTATCTGTGTCAAAAACTTTGGTTCTCAGAACCTCATTTTTCTTATCTGTAGAATGGTAATACAATACATTCCCCATGAGAGCTGTTTGTTGAAGATTCAATGAAAGATGTATGCAGAAACAATTTTCTACAAAAAAAAAGCAGTTTTGATCTGTAATCATGAGTACAACAATAATAAGCTATGATAGTCCATCCTTTAAAGGTAAAAAAGAATACTCCTGAGATCCACATGTGCTCATATCATTTTCATTTCTAACCAAATTACAGAATACTTAAAAAAGAATAAAAGGTGACTTTTACCTGAGAGAGTTCAGTAACAAAGCAAATTATAATATGTAAACTTCAGAGTCATTTTAAGTATAATGAGCAGAATAGACAAAAAGAAGATATGTGGTTGGTTGTTACACTATGGGGCAAAAATGTTCTTGAGCAAAATGTCACAGAGATACAGAATCTCACTAATTAGAATGAATTAGTATTGGTAAGGCTCCCATCAAATAGATTTAAGACTGGCTGACATGTAATCAACGAAGAGTAATGATAAATGATGGTGTGCTGAGTTGGGGTGATGTGATTAATAGAATCTACAGAAGTCCAGGCTGCCTTTTATTTGGCTTAATACTTTCCTGAGTGAATTCAAGAAGAAGTTTTTTCAATCACATCAATTTAAATGAAGAAGAAATAGTGGAGATGATGGACGTTTTAAACCCAAGGGAAGTCAAGCAAAAGATAATATTACTTCCTCAAGCTCTTACAGGGCTATTTACAAAGGGCTCCTGCATTCTATTATTTAACCCTCTTACTGACATAATGAGTTAGGCAAAACAGGTATTAACCCCCATTATATAGTTGAAGAACCTAAATTCAGAAAGCCCAGGCTGCCTGTCCAAGTTCATATCACTAGTAAATTTCAGAACTGGGACTATAGTGAGTCTCTGCAATATTTTCATCTGCTCAGAATTTATTATGTATTCTGAAAATAATACTCTTATTTTGGGGGGGAGCTACCATCCCTCTCTCTTCCATCCTATTTTCTTTACTCAACAGTCATGTAATTTTATTTTAGCAAATTAAAATAGAAGATTAATGAAAAAGAAGCAATATGTTTATAGCTAAAAAATTTACCTCCGTAACAAAACTACACTTGTACTCCCTCAATCCATCATGTGGTTTTAATATGACAAATACCATTCACAGGTCTCAGGGCATGTGTTAGAACTCCAACTAGATTTATTAGGGGAAACAAACATCTATTTTTTAAATATATCTAAAAATATGTCTAACCAAGGAGGTGAAACGTATCTACAAGGAGAACTACAAAATACTGCTGAAAGGAATCATAGATGGCACAAATGATAAAACATTCTGTGGTCATGAATTGGAAGAATCAATATCAATACAATGGCCACACTTCCCAAAGCAATCTGTAGATTCAATGCTATTTCTATCAAACTACCAATATCATTTTTTACAGGATTAGAAAAAAACTATTCCAAATTTCATTTGAAACCAAAAACAGCCTGAAAGGCCAAGGAAATCCTAAGCAAAAAGGATCAGCTGGAGACATCACATTACCTAATTTCAAACTATACTAGAAGGCTAGAGTAACCAAAATGGCATGGCACTGGTACAAAAACAGACACCTAGACAAATGGAACAGAATAGAAAACTCAGAAATAAAGTCACACACTTATGGCCATTTGATCTTCAACAAAAATTAGGAATGAGGGAAATAAATGGTGCTGAGATAACTGGCTAGCCATATGCAGAAGATTGAAACTGGACCCCTACTTTTCACAATATACAAAAATTAACTCAAATCGGATTAACAATTTAGATCTAAGACCTAAATCTATAGGAATCCTGGAGGAAAACTCAGGAAACACCATTCTGGACATTAGCCTTGGCAAATAATTTATGGCTGAGTCCTCAAAAGCAATTGCAACAAAAACATTGATAAGGGGGTACCTAATTAAACTGAAAAGCTTCTGCACAGGAAAGCAAACTATCAACAAACAGACAACCTACAGAATGGGAGAAATATTTGAAAATTATGCATCTGTAAAGGTCTAATATCCAAAATCTATAAGAAACAACAATTCAACAAGCATAAAACAAATAATTTCATTAAAAATTTAGCAAAAGACCAGACACTTCTCAAAAGAAGACATACCAGCAGCCAACAAACATATGAAAAAAATGCTCAATGTCACTAATCATCAGAGAAATGCAAATCAAAATCACGATGAGACATTATCTCACACCAGTCAGAATGGCTATTATTAAAAAGTCAAAAAACAATAAATGTTGGTGAGGCTACAGAAAAAAGGGAATGCTTATACACTGTTGTTGGGAATATAAACTGGTTTTCTCACTATAGAAAAAAGCTTGGAGATTTCTCAAAGAATTTAAAACAGAACTACCATTAGACCCAGCAATCCCATTACTGAGTATATATCCTGCCTTTGCTTCAAGTCATCCTGCCTTTCCAGACTGAACCAATGTACTTCTTGCATATATTAATTGATGTCTCGTGTCTCCCTAAATGTATTAAACCAACCTGTGCCCTGACCACCTTGGGCACACGTTGTCAGGACCTCCTGTGGCTGTGTCATGGGTGCGTCCTCAACCTTGGCAAGCTTTCTATGTTAACTGAAACCTGTCTTAGATTTTCTGGGTTCGCATTTTGGTAACCATAGGGGGATTCTGAGTGGAGATGCCCCTGACCTTTGACAAATCTCCTGTTGGTGCTTGGTACCAGTGGTACCGGGGGTTCCTTGCTCCCAGAGCTCCCAAGATGGTGGTGGGCCACTTCCAAAATGGCAGCACGCCACTTCCAAGATGGTGGCAAGCCTCGTGTTCTCTGACCTGGGATTCTTGGCCTCATGGATTCCAAGGAATGGAATCTTGGGCCATGCGGTGAGTGTTATAGCTCTATTAGAAGCCGTGGGTCACAGAAGAGAACCGTGGAACACAGTGACTAGTGTTCAGCTCGATTAAGACGAACCCAGGCACTTAGCCATACAGGAATAATGGCAAGTCTTTAGCCTGATCGGGAGGGGCAATGGGAGCCTCACTGGATCAGGAGCACAGCAGACACCCTGCCAGATCTGGAGGGATGGAAGTCAGCGGCGGCTCTGCAATGGGGGCAAACAGCAGTGGTGGACGGCGAGCGAAAGCTCAGCTCCAGCCATAACAAACACGGACCAGAAGAGTGCAGTTGCAAGATTTAAGAGTGAAATAGAGTGAAAACAGAGCTCCCATACAAAGGGAGGGGACCCAAAGAGGGTAGCCATTGCCTGCTTGAATGCCTGGATTTATATCCCCATCATTGTCCCTCCCACTGTGCTCTCAGGCATTAGATGATTGGCTATTTCTTTACCTCTTGTTTTTGCCTAATTAGCATTTTAGTGAGCTCTCCGATTGGTTGGGTGTGAGCTAAGTTGCAAGCCCTGTGTTTAAAGGTGGATGCGGTCACCTTCCCAGCTAGGCTTAGGGATTTTTAGTTAGCCTAGGAAATCCAGCTAGTCCTGTCTCTCACCAGCATGAGCTAACTTTATGACTCAAACCAATAGGACAATTTACTGAGGTCTGAGAGCACCCCCTCCAAACAATCCCTCATCTCCCAAAATTTGGTTGAGATCTAAAGTTTATTTTACTGTACAACTCCTCACTCCTCTTTTTTTTTTTTGGAGTTTTACTTGCTTCCAACAGGAAGGCAAGTCTTCCTGCTTCCATGACAATGGAAGGCAGGTAACTCCTTTATGGAGTTTGAGCTCGTTTGGAACAGAGAAAATGAGTTTTTGTTTTGTTTTTATTTTTTCTGCTTCTAGGATGGTAGAAAGCAGTCTACAGCTTGAGACCCATCACTAGGTGACAAACTGGTTTGGGATTCGGTCTTGCAAATTCCTTTTAAATGGCTGAAGTTAGCATTTAACAACCAGTTGGTGTTAATTCCTGCTTATACTTAGAGTGCTCAGAAATCATATAATTTGTGTGATCATTGTTACCTTAGCAGCATTTTGTCCTAGCTGAAATATGGCAATAAGATTAAAAAAAATGTTTTTTAAGGAGCTCAATGGTTAAAAGTCAGCTTAATTAAAAGGCTAACATCCAAGATATGTGTGTGTGCGCGTGCATGCATGTGTGCATGTTTGTATTTGAAAGGCCTTCATGTTTTCGGGTTTTGTTTGTTTGTTTTTCTCCCCCTAAGACCCTTTTTCTTTTTAAGCAAAACTCTTTTTTTCTTTTTCTTCTCAGTTGACTGAATTCTGTTTTCACCTGATTTTTTTTTTTTTTTTTACTAAAATAATTATTGCAACAGTGGCTGCTCTTGGGTTTTTAAGGAAGAGGTAGTTTAATTTTACGATTAATTTGGCTCAAAGAAAAATCAAATTGTCTCCCTCTAGCACTGCCAGACTTTGTCCTCTCCTCTCTGTACTTTATGATGTAAATTTTGCTATTTGATTTTCTCTTGAGTTGTTTCCTTTAATGTGCAAATTTAAGGCTATTTAGCTGATAACTGCCTAGGGTTGTGAAACAGGTTATCAAGAATCTGAAAGTCTAACATAGGAAAAAAAAAAGGGTGGGGAGTTCTTTATAAATCTATAAAATGTACTACCGTTGGCATGCCTAAAATGTTTTTATATGTATTTATGTGTTGTGTACAGGGTGTTTCGCTACTAAAAAATATATAAAAGAGTGCTAATTAATTGGCTAAAAAACTAAAAGCACTTAAATTGACACTAAAGAAAGAAAAGACTAGTAAAATCCTTTTTCAAGCTTATGTAACTTAAGTTAAATCTTTAATAAATAAGATAGCTTTAAAGTTATTGGTAAAATAGTATTAGAAATGTCTTAAGAATTGCCCAGCATACATTTTTGTGTTTATTAATCGAGCAATTTCCTACTTATCCCTGCCAAACACTGTAAGGTGTCAAAATTTGGCATAGGGGTTATAAAACTATAAACCCAGCCCAAAACAGAATGATCTTTGTTTATGTAATTTTTAATGAATAAGACACTGATATGGGTTTAATGAAAATAGCTACATTTTGAATTTAGTAAGATTACCATGACTTCTAATCCTGTGGCTTTAAGCAGCCTGGTCCACAGACAATAAGGAGGCTTGTTTTGGAAAAGGACAGTTATCGTCTTTGTTTCAAAGCTTAACTGTAAACTAAGTTCCTCCCAAAGTTAGTTCACCCTATGCCCAGCAATGAACAAGGACAGCTTGGAGGTTAAGAGCAATATGGAGTCAGTTAGGTCAAATCTTTTCTGTTATAATTTTGCAATGGCAGTTTTATAACTTTAAATCATGACTATCATAGTTTTCATAAATAATCTAGGTAAACAATTAAAATAAAACATTTAGGTAAATGTAATGGGATAAATACTTGTAAACAAACTGGTCATAATTTAGAAGATAAAGTAATATTAAATTAAATAATAGATATTTCATTATTTGAGTATTTTCCAATGAATATATACTGTAGAAAGGCATTCTTGCTAAAGAAAAAACAAAGTGTGTCCTTTTTTATATGTTTTTTTTTTTTTTTTGAGATGGAGTCTCACTCTGTCGCCCAGGCTGGAGTGCAGTGGCACAATCTCGGCTCACTGCAAGCTCCACCTCCCAGGTTCACGCCATTCTCCTACCTCAGCCTCCTGAGTAGCTGGGAATACGGCACCCGCCATCATGCCTGGTTAATTTTTTGTATTTTTGGTAGAGACGGGGTTTCACTGTGTTAGCCAGGATGGTCTTGATCTCCTGACCTCGTGATCCTCCCGCCTCAGCTTCCCAAAGTGCTGGGATTACAGGCGTGAGCCACTGCGCCCAGCAAGTGTGTCCTTTTTTAAATAAAATTTAAAAAGGTAAACAAGTTTTGTCTAATTCAAAGCTTTTTTTAAAGGTTATGTATAAAATAAGGTGAAAACACCAGGAATTTAAAAAAAAGATGTAAAGAAAGTTATAAAAATAAAGAGGATTTTTTTGAGGTAAAAAAGCTTAAAGATAAATAATTTTATATAAGAAAGAATCTTGTATAGTAAATATAGTCCTAAAATAAAATAACTGGTTGTTTAAAAAGGAGGGATGTTCAGAACAAATCAGAAAGTCTAAGCATGTCATGAACAGTCAGTATAAGTCACAATAAGAAGATTTATATATTTAAAAAAAACTTTTATATAATCAAGTTGTCATATTATTATTGAGTTTTAGTTTGCTTAGAAAAAAACTGAGATAAAATTTTTTAAAAACAATTAAGGTTATTACATCTGTGTATTTTTCTATATGTGCCTTTAAAGTCCTTGTAACACTGAGTTACAGGGTTTTAACTCCTGGGTCTGAAAAGGACACCAAGTCCTGCTAAATCTTAAACACAGACAGCCATTAAAGTCTTATCTTCAGGCCCCATAGAAGATGCCAATCAAAACAAACTGCATTCCTTGAGACATGGCAAGAAATTAAAGCTATTCAACTCCTCAAGATCCAGGGATGATCACAGAAGAGGCGGGTGTGTAAGATTGTAAGATAAAATAAGTTCAGTTTCTCTATAAATTAACTGTTAATGTCAAAGGCATACTGATGCAAAACCAGTATATGGACCCCTGTGTCAGATTAACAAGCTTCTCTTGAAGCGCATTAACCAACTTTGTTGTTGTTGTTGTTGTTATTGTTGTTTTTGAGATGGAGTCTTGCTCTGTCACCCAGGCTGGAGTGCAGTTGCGTGATCTCAGCTCACTGCAACCTCCACCTCCCGAGTTCAAGTGATTTTCCTGCCTCAGCCTCCCAAGTAGTTGGGATTACAAGCATGTACCACCATGCCCAGCTAATTTTTGTATTTTTAATAGAGACAGAGTTTCACCATGTTGTTCATGCTGGTCTCAAACTCCTTACCACGTGATCTGCCTGCCTTGGCCTCCCAAAGTGCTGGGATTAAAGGCATGAGCCACTGCATCCATCCACATTAACCAACTTCGTAATAAAAGTTATAAACGTTATAAAAAGGCTTATGGAAGTTACATTTTATAATCAAGATTAAATTTTATAGATTGTTTACAAAATTTTGAAAAACAAATGTAATTGGCTTTATGCTGCTTTTATTAGGGTTTCTTATTTAGAAAATTAAGTCTCCTCTCTCAAAGAATGAAGGTTTTTGCTTTTTTTTAAAGTGCTTGAATTATCGCTTTGGTTAAATAAATGACTTTATGATGATCTGTAATCCTATTTTGTAATATCAAGTGTTTTAAACCTTTTATATTTGACAAACTTTCCAAAATCAAATTATAAATTATGTCTTTTTCTAACCTAATTAATTCTTTAAGACATTAGGTTCCCTAAAGTCCAAAAATGACATAATTTGGCTTATTTGATATAACAGTTATACACAAAGTATTGTCAAATATGAAAGTGTGTTTGGTTTTCTTTGGGCTGTATTTGTTTAAATATGTTACTGGTATGTGTTCCAAAATTATTGGAAACTCCTGCAATTCTGATATAACTTAGTGTGCATTATCAGTAATAATCATAATTGTTATGGTAAAATTATTGTGTGCCACAGAGGTAACAAATTTCTTTGTCAATTGTGTCTTTTAACTATGAGTGCCTTAAAACCTTTATTTATCGACAGATAATTGTCTTTTTTTAGACCCTCTTTGAAAGGTGGGTTTATAATCAGCTATAGGACACTAACAGGTGCACTTAAATGCAGGTTTTCTGGTAACTTTGGTACTTGTGATATTGGAATAAAGGAAAAAACTTTCAGAACTCTCATGGAGAGCTGAAATGTTCATGACTATCAAACAAAACAGGAGTTAACTGAATTAACTGAACCAATAGAAAACTGAAGTAATCTTTTTTAATTTTTGCTTAAAATGTTTGCCGATCTTTTGTTTTGTTTTTCAGTCTCAAAACTTTTCTTTTGAGCTATTGACAGCCTTTAATAATTTAGTAAACTCCTATGAACACAATTCAAAGCATATTTGTTTGTTTCTACCTGATTTCTCAAGAATTTGAAAACTATTTGTGAGTATTCTTAACTTACGGCAATACAGCTATTTGCTTCAGTGCAATAAGAATCTGTTTTCACTTGGAACAGGACACAGTTGGAGAAATTGGTTACTTTACCAAGGCTTTGATTAGAATTGTATGCTTTCCTTTAAGGAATCAAACTTGACTTATGGAGGCAAAAAAGCCCTTTGGAAAAACTGGCCTCATATATTTGTGTACATAGTCCCTGTACAGGGTTTCTCACCTGTGGTAAGTAAAGAATGTCACTTTCTGACAGACACAGAAACTCCAAGTTTATCTTGGAACCTCAAGAGGAGAGGAAATTCACCCAACTCATTTGATGGCACAAATCCATGACTGGGCTCAGCTATAAAAAAGTCTTATCTGAGATCCTTTCTATGGAACAAAGTTCCATAAAAGTCAATTTAAAAGCCTATGTAAAAAGTAATTATTCTTGCTGCATTGTATATAAATAATGAGGCTAAGTAAAATAAAGCAAACTAGTCCTATCATAATTTGTCTTTAGTGAAAATGGGAAACTGGAGAGAGAAAAATTATGGTTCAAAACTACAGTAGACCTCTTACTAGATTCTAGTCTTGTCTAATTTTTTTTTTCAATTTTTATTATTTTCTACAGTTTGGACCAAATTCAATTTTTCTTGGCTGCAAATCTTCAAAATAAATGTTTTCAATTTTTTTTCCTTCTTTTTTCCATTTTTCCTAATTTGGAGTCACTGAAAACTAAGCTGTGCTTTCTTGAAACCATGCAAACTGAAGCCAGACAACTTAAACTTCAGAAGAAAATAACAGCAACCTATTTACATACATAAGCCACTTTCATACCTGCCTACTGATGTATGGACCTCAAAGTAATGAGGCCTACATCAAATTTTCCAGGATTATTCTTTTGTTTCTTGTTGTTGTTTCTCCCTTCCTCCCTGCTATTTTCTCCTCACAGGACATGAGACTTCACAACCTTCTAAAAATGAGATTTTGGGACATATGCATCTAGAAATAAACCATCCTAGCCATGAGAGATCAGACAAAACCTGGGACCAGAGACTCATTTTCTTGTAAAATGCTTTCTCCAAAAGATTTTTAAAAAGAAAAGAGAGGAAATGTGAAAGGTAAATATCTTGGGCCCCCGAAATCACTAAGGAAAACTCAAACTGAAAACTGCTTAGGGCAAACCTGCCTCCCATTCCATTCAAAGTCACTTCTCTGCTCACTGAGATGATGCATATCTAATTTGCCTCCTTTGGAACGGTTAATCAGAAATTCAAAAGAATGTAACCGTTTGTGTATCACTTACCTATCTGTGACCTGGAAGCTCTCTCCTGGCTTTGAGTCTTCCTGCCTTTGCTTCAAATTGTCCCACCTCTCTGGACCAAACAAATGTACTTCTTGCATATATTGATTGATGTCTCATATCTCTCTAAATGTATAAAACCAAGCTGTGCCCTGACCACCTTAGGCACATGTTGTCAGGACCTCCTAAGGCTGTGTCACAGGTGCACCCTCAACCTTGGCAAAATAAACTTTCTAAATTAACTGAAACCTGTCTCAGATATTCTGGGTTCACAATGAAAATACAGATCTACCAAAAGTCACCACATGTCATCTGGGAAATGCCAAAACTCATATCTTGAAGCCTAATCCCCAATGTGATGATATTGGAGGTGGGGCCTTTGGGAAGTGTTTAGGCCAAGAGGTCATGAGCCCTCCTGAGTAGGATTACCTCCCTATAAAGGAAACCCCAGAGAGCCCCCTTACACTTCTATTATGTAAAGACTCATCAAGAGGACAGCTCTACATGAACCAGGAAGCTGGCCCTCAATAGACACTGAATGTACTAGCAACTTAATCTTAGACATTCCAGCTTCCAAAATTGTGAGAAATAAATTTCTGTTGCTTATAAACCACCCAGTTCATGATATTTTGTTATAGCAGCCCAAATGGACTAAAACAGATATATTTATGTGTTCTTGTACATTCTGCTATATCTTCATTCATTTAAGTGGTAGACAGTTTGTTCTATATGTCTTTGCTTAAGGGAAATGTTGTAGCAGCACTGAAAGCCAAAGTTTTATCTGAAAGATATCTCCCTTCTTAGCTCTTGTTTCCCAAAACCAAATCCCCTTGCTAGGAACAACGCTCAAAATCCTAAAGAAATTGAGCACTTGAACAAAGGGTTCTTAGCAAAGCAATTTTAGTTCTTCGCAGAGGGGTGCCTTGTTGGCCAGTCGCCACGAGAGCACACCTGAAAAAAAGGCACAAGAGCCTTTATTCCTGATGCAAGTCCTGCCCCTGTACCCTTTCCCCACTGGCCGGGTTCGGGTCGTACAATCTAAACTAATGCCGGTTGGCTAAACATTTGACATTTTTTAGATAAGGTGGGCACGTAAAAGAAAGTGGAGAAGAAGGGGAAGGGGTGTCTGTAAAGAGCTAGAAAGCTAGTCCTCTTTCCAAATAAGGAAAGGAATGTGAGCTGGTACTGATAACGCCTGGTACTGTGGAGTGCCTGGGCATCTAACAAAGGCAAAAAGGAAAAAAAAAAAAGGAGAAAAAGGAAAAAAGGGAGGGGGTACTATGAATTAAAGAATAAAAGATTGATCAGATTATTTGAAGAGAAACCTCATCATATCCCACAGCTTCCCTCTTTTCCTTCTGTTATAACTCTTTCTCTTCAAATCTTTTTAGCATAATTTGGCTCCGTTGTTCTACTTGGTTTTCCAGGAGGAAAAGCTTATTTGAATCAGGGGGAGGAGGATCATAAGAAGTTTTAGTGAGAGCTGTTACAATAATTCTTTGTATTAATCCCCAGGCACAAGGTATGATGCAGCATCCTATGAGAATAAGCAACCCTATTCCAATGGCCAGAGAGATGAGGATTGAGGACGTAAGTCCCTTCCATCTACTGAACCAATTTCCCATTAAATTTGTGCAGGAATCATTTAGTCCAGAATTTTTGGCTAGCACATTTGATAGGGCAGTAAGACCCTGTAATGCTTTACTTATGGTCCCACTGGGAGCAGTGTTATTAGGGATATAAGTACAGCATTGGGTCCTGATCATGACACAAATTCCACCTTCTTTTGCTAGTATCATGTCTAATGCTATCCTGTTTTCCCGGGCCATTTGACTGGCGGGTCCTAATTGTTCAGCTATTCCTTTAATAGCATCTCTAGTATAATTAATAAATCATTGCTGATTGTAATAATTGTAATTTATCCAATTCACATTTTTATTTACAGTTAACCACCAGAAGAATGTAGATTCAACTCCAGAAGTTATTTGGTTTCAGGCCTTAAATTCATTTGGCACTCCTCTTGGGACCCCAGTGGCATCTATATAAACATGAGAATTGAAGGACCCATGGGGGCCCTCTCTTGTTTGACGATGTTTGGTTCCTACCCTCTCTGGTTGATGAAATGCCAGTGTGAGATGGATGGCCAATTGAATTAGAGCACAAATTCCACTCCAGTTACTTGGCAGAGTGTCCAGTATTGGTCCACCACAATACCACCACGCATCTGCTCAAGGATGGCTAAGTGCAGACTGATGGGTAAGCTCTTGGAAGGGCATAAGCTCATTGCATCCCGTTAAGGCTCCCAGGAAAGCCAAGTTCTCTCCCTGTCATGAGAGACACGAAGTAAAATTGGCATTGGGAGATGGACGCTGAATGGCCCTTGGGGGCCGACCCACAGGGTGTTTAACTTCAGGGAACAGCAGAGAAAGAGCTTGGCATGATTTGTTGCCCCAGGCTGAGGAGTTTGGGAAAAGAGCTGCCATACAGCTCATGCCCAGTCGGCTGGAAGACAATCCAAGTGGAAAGGGGACAATCTGGGCCTATGGTCTACCATGTGCACAAGCATAACATTCACTTTTGTTTAAAGTGTGAACGGAATATTTAATCCATTCCAGCCAAGCATTTGCATCTTGATACCCTGTCTCTAGAGCTATAGTTAGCCTTAAATTTTCTACCTTCACAACCGTTACCTTGGTTGGGTCATTTTGGAGATGGTAGGAGGATGTTGAGCTCGCTATACTTGGGGAGAGCGTTGGGTTCCACGTGTCTCCCAGACTTTGGGTCTGAACTCTTTTATTATTGTTAACCAGTGGTTTAACTAACCTTAGGGAGAAGATTCCTATAGGGTCCTGTCCCTCAACGTCTGCACCTAACCCATATCGTTCGAATATAGAGGGCTCTTGGGCCATTGTCCAGGGATTATTCATAATCAGCAACAAGGGGTTACAGTGTAATGGTTTACAATTTAGTGAGGTGGGACCACGGACTAGTTGGAGTTTTTATTTCAGTCCCCATAACTTATTTGAAGCAGGGGGCTTGGCTGTCCACCCTTTGTACTTAGTAGTCCACCAAACATCCGCCCAGTCACCACAGGGACTTTTTAAGGCTCCACACTTATACTTGCTTGATTCCTTGAGGTATGGACATAGATACTTATCAACACGGGATGGCTTCCTTTGAGCTTGCTCATCTCCACGCGGGATGACTGAACAGGCATCGAACTGAAGAGTTAAAGGATGACTAGCCTGAGTTACATTGATGACAAGATGACCTTCTGTCGAAAAGAAAAAAGAGAATAAACAAGTGATTATTAAGCTCTTTTTAGAGTTAGTTTGGTGGGGGTGGGCCCTGGAGTGACAGTCCATTATTCTGGAGGTGGTCGCGCCTTCTTGACTCGGGTGTGATGAGTCCATCCTCTTTCTACTGTCCAGACTGCAGTCTCAGTAGTTAGGAGCACTAGGTAGGGTCCTTCCCAGGCTGGTTCGAGCTTCCCTTCCTTCCACCCTTTGATGAGAACGTGATCTCTAGGCTGATGCTGATGTGGCGGAAACTCCAGGGGCGGCGCCTGTGCTAGGAGGCCTTTAGTCTTAAGGGAAGAGAAGGTAGAGGATAGACCAAGTATATAATTTTTGAGGAACTGATCCTTTCTTTCAAATGTAGGGATGTTAGCAGTGGAGTGTGTCAGTGACACAGGACCTGGACGCCAGTCATGTGAAATCCACAGTGTGTTGTATTTCCCTGGAGAGAGCGTGCTGCAGCAATGATGCATTGGATTTCCTGCCCACCCAATAAAAGGGAAAGGGAAGCTCAAAGGTGAATTGATTTTAAAAAGCCAGGAAGTGTACTATTTATGTTAGTTTTTGAACAAAGATTCTTACCTGGTTCTACCTCTCTTCTACCCTTTTTCTAGAACACCTTTTGTTAACAACATATTGAATAAATTGCCTGAAAATACTACCTCCTGATCATTGTTATATGTACAGCCCCTAACTCCCTACCCACCCCCAGAGAAGGAATCAAACTCAATTGCTACTTCGTTATTTGTTATCTAGCAGTAACATTTTATTGAATCTACTCCTTCTATAAGGTCACCAAAGAACTTCCTGGCTTGTGGGTTCAATGACAACCTCTGCAAGATGATAACACTGAGCTTTCAACTGTAGTAATTTGGTTATATTAAATATACAGCTCCTACTCTATCCACCCCCAGCATAGAAATCATGCCATATACAGTACTGAGAACCCAGATTGCAGGAAGGAAAGATAAAATGAATGACTGAGAAAATGTACTTCTGTGTACAGGCATGGTGATGAGGAGCAGCTTTTACACCAGAGTGGGAAACTTATCTATATAATATTCTATTGTAACCATACAGTTTTGCCTGAAAAATACATTTTAAAACTTTCTTTTCTTTCTTCTCTTTTTTGACTAGTCTCAAGTTGTAACCTTGAAGCTTACTGCAAAAGCCTTTTTTTCCCCATCCTTAGTCTTAGATTATAGCCTTGAAATGTACTTTCTTTGAAATACCATGTCCCTCTTTTCTCACCATATACTCCCTTACATCATGCACATTTATCTCATTGTATGCTAATCATTTGCTTACTTAGAAGTTCCAGATGCTAATCTTAACACAGACCAAGCATAGAGACCCAGTCGTAAAATCCCAGAGATTATCTCAAGGCAGTTATTCAACAACCTGGCCATTGTTGAGATGATGCCACCCTTCTGAAATGGGAAAGTTCCCTGACTCCCCTAACAGGACGTGGGACAGGGGTGTGGTTCATCTGTTCAGTCGCCACCGCTGCTCAAACCCCTTACAGGAGGGGGAGCACACAGATGGACAGGTGCAGGAGCCCAAGTGGCCATGTGTTACAGTGCACTCTTTTAGCCTTGCTGTCCACGGATGGCTTAACTGTTAACCAACTCAGTGGACTGTCTGTCTTTTTGCAAGGGTCTTATCCAGTGTCCCAGAAGAATCGGGTCACACACAGACTTGAAGAGTGAATGTGTGGGTTTTATTGAGTGGTGGAGGTGGCTCTCAGTGAGATGGATGGAGAGCTGGACAGGGGATAGAGTGAGAAGATGATCTTCTCCTGATGTTTGGCTGTTCAGTGGCTGATTATCTGACCGTCCCCAGCTGAACTCCTCCTGACATTCAGATGCTCCTTCTCTTCTCTCCTGCTCTGCCGTGCTGTTCTGCTACTCGTCAGCCCCTCTGTTTGTTCCCTTGTGGAGCCTGGGGTTCAGGATTTACATGAGTAAAGGATAGGGGGCGTGGTGAGCCAAAAGGCAACTTTTTGGATACGAAAACAGGAATACCTGTTCTCACTTTAGGGCCCCAGGTATCCAGGCTTGGCAGGGGGCGGCCTTTGCTGGGGACCCACCCTCTTCTACCCAGTATTTCCCCACCTCCTGTCTGTATTACTTGCTCCTAGTGGACCATGGCTTCAGATAGCCACCAAAACAAAATATGTACATCCTGTACTCAGCACCCCTCCCTCATGCCTCCCATTTCTAGCTCCCCTTTTTAGCCCTATTCCCCAGCCTAAAGTTTGAAGTGATTCCTAGAGGCATAAGCCAGCTGCCTCCCCCAGTGCTAGCTTTGGAAAATAAACTCACTTTCCTTTCACTGCACTTTGTCCTTGTCATTGGCTTTGCAACTGGTGGGCAGCCAAGCCTGCGCTCAGTTATACTGCCCCTAAAGTTGGTTTAGTGATAGAAATTGCTTATTTTAGAAATAATATCAAGAAAGAAAAAGAAATATCTTGACTTTCTTTGAAATTGAATGATTCAAAAATAAGTTGTCCAGTGATTTCTATTTTGCCGTAGTCGATCCTGAGCTCTTCTTACTAAGAAGGGAGACTTCAGGGACATTATATTTTAGAGTCAATCCTAGTTTGTGATTGGCAGCAAAAAGCTCGTTATTTGCATATCAGAGCCTACTAAATGTTCTTATGGCTTGATGTGTGTGAAGCAGACTGGAAAAAAATGTAGGAAAGATGTGCAGCAAAGTGACAATGACAAAAAAAACAATGCTTTCTATGTGCTAAGTACTTTTTAAAGACTTTATAAGTATTATCTCATTTAATTTAACTGATCAAAAGTTTTAGCAAGAAATTATGTTAGCAACAAGGAGACTTGTTTCTAACATAAGAAACAAGTAAGCTCAACTTTATTTATGTGTTACATAAAACTGTTGCTATTATAGCAACCTTATTTCTTTGTACATATTTACCTTGTGAATTGGTAATATTTTAATAATACCTCACATCAATGAAACTGTTATGAATTTTATTGCACATATAGCTATTAAACTTTAATCTCTTTAGATTTTTACTTAAACAATTAGAAACATTAAATAATATGAACAGACACATTTATAGATAGTGCTCAAAGTCCAAAAGAACAAGGCCTATATTTTTCCTTTTATTCTGGCACATAATATTTAAATACAATACCTCTTTCTTTTCTTCTCAGTGACATTTTGAGATCTGAATCTGCATATAATTATTCTTTTTTTAAAACCCCTGAAATGAAAGCTGAGCTTACAAAAGAATATTTAAATCTAAGAACTTTTGAACAATTTTCTCTGAGTCAGCTAGAAGAAACTTTATTTTATTAATATTTTAATTGTTTTGAATTTTTGACTTCCCAAGGTGAATAGAAGGTCTCTGATATGGGGGAAACAACTGTAGGATGGTACTGAGAAAATCTGTGGCTTAAACAATCAAAGTAAGGTTTTCTAGAATGTTTGGAACTAAAGAATACTAAAATCCAGTTCCTTTCCAGTTCCTTAAAAGCACAGAGACTTTTGCCACCTAAGAGTTTTCCCACAAGCTGCCTCCTCTCCTTAGAGTACCTGCCCCATCCGGAGCCACACCCAATTATTTAACTGCCTAATTTCCACTTATTCTTTTTTTTTTTTTCTTTTGAGACGGAGTCTTGCTCTGTCGCCAGGCTGGAGCGCAGTAGCACGATGTCAGCTCACCACAACCTCTGCCTCCCAGGTTCAAGCAATTCCCCTGCTTCAGCCTCCCGAGTAACTGGGACTACAGGCGTGTGCCACCATGCCCAGCTAATTTTTTGTATTTTAGTAGAGTTGGGGTTTGACCATGTTGGCCAGGATGGTCACCACCTCCTGACCTCTGCCTGCCTCAGCTTTCCAAAGTGCTGGGATTACAGGTGTGAGCCACTGCACCCATTCAATGTCCACTTATTCTTTAAGTCAGCTCAAAAGGCACTTCCTCAGGCAAACCTTTCTTCCTGGTAGATGCTCTAATATAACCATACACTTTCACAGTTTATAATTATACCTTTAGCTATGTACATTTTTATTTATCTCTTTTAACAAAATTGTAAGCTCTACTCCATGAAGTTAAAAGCTGTGCTTTTCTTGTTCCCTGCTCTATTTCTATCATTGGAATGTCTAAAATATAATATATGGACCATAAGTATTTGATAAGAAAAAAATGAGAAAGATAACAGGGATCTTCTAAAAAACTTCAAAAGATTATTTTTTAAAAAATTTATTTTATTTTATTTATTTATTTATTTATTTGAGACAAAGTTTCACTTTGTTGCCCAGGCTGGAGTGCAACCTCCACCTCCTGGATTCAAGCGATTCTCCTGCCTAAGCCTCCCCAGTAGCTGGAATTACAGGCACCCGCCACCATGCCCAGCTAATTCTTGTATTTTTAGTAGAGACGGGGTTTTACCATGTTGACCAGGCTGGTCTCAAACTTCAAACTTCAGGCAATACACCTGCCTCGGCCTCCCAAAGTGCTGGGATTACAGGCATGAGCCACCGCACCCTGCCAAAAGATTATTATTAGTAAAGCAATAATGCAAAGAATATTTTTATTTTCTACAATCCTATATTAATTGGTAAATAATATCAAATTTATTCACTTAACAAATACTTAGCACATGCTACATGCTACACAGTGTGTTAAATGATGGTGCACAAGACATGATCTCTGCACTCAAGATACTTGCAAGTCTATGGGGAAAACATTCAGTAAGAAACAATGATGAGGCACTGTGACAAGTATGACAATAGGATAAGGACAGAGTACAGTGTAAGCATTATAGGAGGGGCAGTAATTCTAGATTCTGGGTCACAAATTATCCCAAAACATAGTGGCTAGAATATTGTGTTAATGTTGATGCATTAGAAGCCTACCATTGAGACACTGTAATCTTCAGAGATTGGGAAAATATTAGAGGTTTCAGATAAGACGCAATGGCTCACACCTGTAATCCCAGAACTTTGAGAGGCCGAGGCAGGCAGATCACCTGAGGTCAGGAGTTCAAGACCAGCCTGGCCAACACGATGAAACCCCGCCTCTACTAAAAATACAAAAATTAGCCAGGTGTGGTGGCGCACGCCTGTAATCCCAGCTACTAGGAAGGCTGAGGCAAGAGAATCACTTGAACCCAGGAGGCAGAGGTTGCAGTGAGCCAAGATTGCACCATTGCACTCCAGCCTGGGTGACAGAGTGAGACTCCATCTCAAAAAAAAAAAAAAAAAAAAGCAATATGCCATTATCCACTCCACATTGCCACATTGTCAAAGATCTAAACAGAACATTTGTAGGTAAGGTGAATAAGCTACAATTGGCCACAATTGTTTATTCACATTCAAGAAGCTATGAAGTGTGTTTTACTGGCTAGAGAGAGATTTTCTGACTGGAAAGAACCAAAATCACAAAGCAAGCAAGGAAAAACAATAAGGATTTAAATAGTAAGATAAATTAATATAGTACTAAAATCTTTTTCAAATTTTTTCTGTTTTATTAAGGGATATTAATGGGGGAAAAATAGGCAGAAAACTATTCTGGTACAATCAGCAATGGCAGCATACAAATTATTGTTCAGCAATAGCCATTGGTGAAGAATTAAACATTTCTGATTTTAAAGTTACAAGCAAAATAGATCTATGTATAAGGATCATAAGCCATGTTAATGAAGAGCCAAATCCCTAAATAGCCTCTGGTGATTTGTTTTCTGTCTTTGGGAAAATTCTTCATAAACTTCTGGTTTCAACTACTTCATCTCATATTAGGAGCATTTCCCACCTAGTACTTTCTAAGGGCAACAAAGTTAACTCAACTGTTAATCATTTGTGTCAAAAATATCTATTGAACTCTTTGTAGTCACAAAACCCAAAGCTTAATTCAAGTGATTCAGTTTTGAAAAGACAGGAACCTACACTCAATGAGTATAATAATTAAGCAATTAATTAAAAGTAAGCAAGTAATCACAATACAGTACAGTAAGAATTTCAATATGGGATAATTACTGATCTAACTTGACAAACATTTATTAAGCAACTTCTATGTGCCAACCAATATTCTAAATACTGATAAGGATACAAAATAAACTAGCACTATTGCTAGCAGGATGTAATCCAGTGCCAATATGTGTGACCCTGTTTATTCATGATTCAGAGTATGTCCTAGGGTGTGGACAGATACCTAGAGATTTAGCTCACAAGTAGACACAGGAAACTCCAACTATTCTTCAAACATAATGCAACTACAGAAGGGGTTATCTTTGTATAGTGTCCATATCAGGAAGGATTTCTCTGCAATGACTGTTATTTATGCCTTTTTAAGTCTATTAAAATATTTTTTATATTATAACTAGACACATTCAATTTACTTTATTAACACGGTTATAATTGGAAAGAATTGTTACTGTTTGTAGCTTATGACTTTTTACTAATGTTGGAGGTTACATAAAGTTTGTTTATACAGAAAAGCATTTGCAATATGATACTTCAGAATGGTAAATGGAAGGTATAGTTTGGTCCCAGCTGCCAGGCCTTGTGAGGGAAAAATAAACTGGTTTTTAAATGCTTCTCCAAAGATTTCTTCAATTTACTATACTCTTATCCCATTTCAGTTACTTTGTAGACTCTATTTCAGAATTTTGAAGCTTAAGAAATTCATTATAAGGTTTCTGATTTTTTAACTAAGTAGCAGAACACATGATTATGGATCCTTAAATGCCCTGATATAAAAAGTTTTTTATCATTAATGATAAGTTAAAATGATTCACTTTTGGTATTTTAGTTATGAAGTCAAGCATAATATGAGCCAAGTGCTAATGCTACTATAGACCTTATAATCTCTACTAACGCTCTAAGAGCATGACATAAGTGAAAAACATCAATTAAATTTGTGTAAATATATGTTATGTATTTGGCTTCAGTTAGAGTAATTTATTTATCTACTATTAGCATGACAAAAAGTTACTAATGAGTTGGTGGTTGGAAAGTCCTAGACTATTAGTTTGCATGTGCAAAAGAGGTGAAAGAAAATTTGGCCAACATTCAGACAGTCCACGTGCTGGTGGCCAGGTGAGCTATACGTCCTATGGGTGACTTCTAATTTCTCGAAGATTCACCACACTCCTAAGATCAAAAAATCAGTCAATGTCTGATCCTTTTATAGTCATGTGTCATTAATGACAGGGACAGGTTCTGAGAAATATTTCATTAGACGATTTTGTTGTGCTCTCTATGATGTGTACTTACACAGACCTAGATGATACAGCTTACTACATACCTAGGCTATGTGGTATAGCGTATTGTTCCTAGGCTACAAACCTGTATAGCATGTTACTATACTGAATATTATAGGCAATTGTAACACAATGGTAAGTATTTGTATATCTGAACATATCTAAACATAGAAAAGGTTTAGTAAAAATACAGAATAAAAGATTTTAAATGGTAGACCTGTATAGGGTACTTACTATGAATGGAGCTTACGGGACTGGAAATCATTCTGGGTGGATCAGTGAGTGTTGAGTGAATGTGAAAGCCTAGGAAATTGCTGTAACACTACTATAGATTTTATAAATAATGCACACTTAGACTACACTAGCAATTTTTTCTTTAATCATATACTAACTTTAGCTGACTATAATATTTTTACTTCATAAACTTTTATATTTCATTTTAACTCTGTTTTGTAATAACACTTAGATTAAAAGACAAACACATTATATAAAAATATTTTCTTTATATTCTTATTCTATAAGCTTTTCATACTTTTATTATTTCTTTATTTATTTTTGAGACAGGGCCTCGCTCTGTCATCCAGACTGCAGTGCAGTGGTGCCATCATGGCTCATCACAGAGTCAAACACCCGAGCTCAAGCAATCCTCCCACCTCAGCCTCCTGAGTAGCTGAGGCTACAGGCACACGTACCACCATGCCAGGCTAATTTTTTTTCTTTTGTAGAGACAAAATCTATGTTAAACAGGCTAAGGTTTTCCAATTTTTTTTTTGTTAAAAACTAAAACATAGACACAAACATTAGCCTGGATATACAGAGCGTTGAGAAGATCATTAGTAATGTGTTGCACTACAGCTATGATATCCCAAGGGGAGAGAAATTTTTCAGCTGCATTATAATCTTATGGGACCATTGTTGTATATGTCATCTGTTATTGACCAAAATGTCATTATGCACCCATGACTGCATCTGGTAAACTTCAGTAAAGGTTGGCCACTAAAGAGATAATCATGTAAGAAAAAATGTTTTGACTAAAGGAGAGACATCCTAAGATTGAATTAGAACCAGGTAAAAAGTTATTGAATCTATAGCAACAGGTCAAAAACCCAACATCTGGCATGAGGTCAATTTATGAACAAATAATTCTGTTTAGTCTTCTTTAACTTATTCTTGAAACAATTTCTCTGATGTTAATTTAGGCAGTAAAAAGCAAATTTTACATTTAAACATTTGTTAAATTTTGTACTTTTGCTGACGACAAAATCAGCCAGCTTGAGAACTATTCAAGCGTTCGCAGGACAAAGCCTGCTCTTGGAGAATGCATCGACCTCAGGACACCCATACCATAGCCATAATTTAGTTATGAAGCCTTAGGCACAATCAAGACAATACTGTGTGAGGCATATTAGCCCTGTGGTTGTTGATGAAGGTAAAATACAATAGAAATCAGGAATTCTACTTGATAGTAATTCTTCATAATGAGATGTAGAAAAACTCTATTGTTTTTGCCACCTCACTTCTCTTCGGTCTTCTTACAGAACAGTACTTTCAATTTCCTGTGGAAAGCTACTTTGTACCTACTTTACTGCCATGCTGTCATATTTGGGGGGATTAGTATTCAGCAGATTTACCTGGCTACAATAATTAGTAGAGGGATGGACACATCAGCCATTGAACCACTGGGGCATTTGCTAGGATTTCTAGGGGAAAAGACTCCATCTTAAACTTGGTTGAAGTAGACAGTAGCTCTTACAACCAACTTGCCCTTCATTGAGCCTGAGATAAAGACAACATTCTAAGAGCAAGTGAAAAAGAAAAAATAAATAACATGGAACAAGGCTCTAGCTTGGCATTGTGTCTTCATCAAGCTGCAGCGGAAATGAGATTCATCAGTTGAATAAACCAAAAAATCCTCACTTTTATTAAGCAATTTAATTAGTACTAACTGATGCATGGACCTCTACCCAAAATATAAAGAGGCTCTCTAGCATAGTATAGGAGATTTAGAATCCAGCACCTCTGGATTCGAAACCTAATTCTGCCACTACCTAAATATATGACCCTGGGTAAGTGACTTAATCTTTGTGCAATTAGTTTTCTTATTGTAACACACAAGCAGTAAAATCTGAAATATCCATGACAAATCTATGAAAGGCTTTGAATACAGTATGTGTTGGGCTGGGTGTGGTGGCTCATGACTGTAATCCCAGCACTTTGGGAGGCCGAGGCAGGCAGATTACCTGAGGTCAGGAGTTCAAGACCAGTCTGACCAACATGAAGAAACCCCATCTTTACTAAAAATACAAAATTAGCCAGGTGTGGTGGCGCATGCCTGTGGTCCCAGCTACCCAGGAGGCTGAGGCAGGAGACTTGCTTGAACCCGGGAGGCAGGGGTCACAGTGAGCCGAGATCATGCCATTGCACTTCAGCCTGGGCAACAAGAGAAAAACTCTCTCTCAAAAAATAAGTAAATGAATAAATAAATGCAAAAAAATTTTGATTATTGTTATTATTTTCTACACAACAGAAATGATGAACCATTCTGAAAATCCTTATTGGTATTCATAAGAAACTAAATATAAATCGTAGAAAAAAAAACAAGAATACAGAACTTTTTTTTCTGGTTTTGTTAAATAAATTCAAATATTCCAATGCTACCAATTGTATAGCTTTGGGAAAGTCATCTCACCTCTTATTACTTCAGCTCTAAAATGGTTTGTTTGGAAGATGAATGTCAATCAGTATCTCTTCTATTTCTAAACCTCTGATTCATTCATTCATATAACTGAACAGTTCCAGGTGAATTTGTATCAAATCTTATAAATATATTAATCAACATGCTCCTTACAGGAAAAATGAAAAAGTCATAGCTCATTCTTTCGACCTGGTTAGTTATCTTGAAGGAGTAATTTGGGAAAACAGTTTTTACTAAAGAAAAGCTTCTTGGAGATAATAATTGTTTTGATTATAATGGCAGTTGCTTGCCTATCTTCTTTCCTTCCTTCCTTTCTCCCTGAATAATTTGTCCATTAGGAGGGATCAAGAAAGGTAGCTGTCAGTCAGGGTTAGGGGAGGTGGCAGCCATTTGAAATAATATGTTGTAGCCAGAACAAAATGAGGACCATGTCCTTGCACTGGTATCTAGTACTGAAGGTTGTTGACAGAGCCTAAGTAGGGTGAAAAGAACAGGCACAAAAGGGATAAGGGGACAGTGAGAGTGGCAAACAGACATTGGTAACATGATGGGAGAATGAATTTACTAAGTAATATATTGAAGATTATGGGATATATGTTTCTCCAGAGAAGAGTTACCAATATAGAAAAGAAAAAAATTAAAATAAATACTTCCTTGCTGAACTAAAATTAAAAGTATCAAATGAGGCCGTGTGCAGTGGCTTATGCTTGTGATCTCAGCAGTTTGGGAGGCTGCAGTTGAAGGAGGATTATTTGAGCCCAGGAGTTCAAGAGCAACTTGGGGAAAATGTTGAGTCTCTGTCTCTACTGAAAAATGTAAAAATAAATTTTAAAAATGTTTTAAAACTAACCAAACATGATGGTGCATGCCTGTAGTCACAGCTACTCAGGAGGCAGAGGCAGAAGAATTGCTGGAGCCCAGGTATTTGAGGGTGCAGTGAGCTGTGATTGTGCAACTGCACTCCAGCCTGAGCAACAGAACAAGACCTTGTCTCTAAAAACAAAAGTATCAACTGAACTAATGTTTATATAGATATAATGTTATATTACATATAACACATATATAATTAAATGTGCATATACATACATATACTACCTAATTCTGTCTACTGAAAAGATGCCAGAAGCAGTGACACCCAAGAGTGATAAACACATCTAGGGTCCAGATGTTGGTTTCTAAATACTCCTGTCCACTAAAAGGACCCAAGACTCATTGGTGATATCAGGGTAATACTGGCCTTGTAGAGTGAGTTTGGAAGTATTCCCTTCTCTATTTTTCGGAATAGTTTGAGGAGGATTCGTATTAGTTTTTCTTTAAATGTTTGGTAGAATTCAGCTGTGAAGCCATTGGGTCCCAGGCTTTTCTTTACTAGAAGATTGTTCATTACGGCTTTGATCTTGTTACTTGCTATTGGTCTGTTAGGTTTTAGATTTCTTCTTGGTTCAATTGTGGTAGGTTGTATGTATCAAGGAATTTGTCCATTTCTTCTAGATTTTTCAGTTTATTGGCATATAGTTGCTCATAATAGCCAAAAATGTTACTTTGAATTTCTGCAGTATCAGTTGTAATGTCTCCTTTTCCGTTTCTGTTTCTATTTATTCGGATCTTCTCTCTTTTTTTCTTAGTGTGGCTAAAGGTTTGTGATTTTGTTTAACATTTCAAAAAAACCACTTTTTTGCTTTGTTGATCATTTGTATTGTTTCACTCATTTCAATTTCATTTCTTCCTGCTCTGATATTTATTGTTATTTTTATTCTATTAATTTGGGGTTTGGTTTGCTCTTGCTTTTTTTTTTTTTTTTTTTTTTTTTTGAGATGGAGTCTCACTCTGTCGCCCAGGCTGGAGTGCAGTGGCGCGATCTCGGCTCACTGCAGCTTCCACCTCCCGGGTTCACGCCATTCTCCTGTCTCAGTCTCCCAAGTAGCTGGGACTACACGCGCCGGCCACTACGCCCAGCTAATTTTTTGTATTTCTAGTAGAGACAGGGTTTCACCATGTTAGCCAGGATGGTCTCGATCTCCTGACCTCATGATCTGCCCGCCTCAGCCTCTCAAAGTGCTGGGATTACAGGCTTGAGCCACTGCGCCTGGCCTTGTTCTTGCTTTTCTAGTTCTTTAAGATGCATTGTTGGATTGTGTATTTAAAGTTTTTCCTCTTTTTGATGTAGGCGCTTATACCTATAAAATTCCCTCTTAGTACTGCTTTTGATCTATCCCATAGGTTTTGGTATGTTGTGTTTCCATTATCATTTGTTTCAAGAAATTTTTCAATTTCCTTCTGAATTTCTTCATTGACCTGCTGGTCATTCAGGAGCATATCATTTAATTTCCAGGTATTTGTATAGTTTCCTAATAGTTTCCTCTTGTTATTAATTTCTAGTTTTGCTCCATTGTGGTCAGAAAAGATGCCAGATATTTCAATTTTTTTGAATGTTTTAAGACTTGTTTTCTGACCTGACATATGATCTATCCTTGAAAATGATCCATGTGCTGAGGAAAAGAATGTGTATTCTGCAGCTCTTGGATGAAATGTTCTTTAAATATCTATTAGATCTATTTGGTCTATAGTGCAGATTAAGTCTGAGGTTTCATTGTTGACTTTCTGTCTGGAAGATCTGTCCAATGCTGACAGCGGGGTGTTGAAGTCTCCAGCTATTATTATATTGGGACCTACCTCTCTCTTTAGCTCTAATAATATTTTTTTTTGTATATCTGAGTGCTCCATTGTTGGGTGCATATATATTTAAAACTGTTACATCCTATTGATGCATTGACTCCTTTAACATTACATAGTGAACTTCTTTGTCTCTTCTTACAATTTTTGTCTTGAAATCTATTTTGTCTGATATAAGTATAGTGACTCTTGCTCTTTTTTGGTTTCTATTGGCATGAAATCTCTTTTTCCATTTATTTATTTTCAGTCTGTGTGTCTTAATAGGTAAAGTGTGATTTGCATAGGGAACAGATCAATGGATCTTGCATTTTCATCCATTCAGTCTATATCTTTTAGTTGGAGAGTTTAGTCCATTTATATTTAATGCTATTATTGATAAGTAGGACTTACTCCTGCCATTTTACTTGTTTTCTGGTTGTTTTGTGGTCTTCCTTCTTACTTTCATTTCTGTCTTCCTCTAGAGAAGATGATTTTCTCTGGTGATATTATTTAGTTTCTTGCTTTGGTTTTGTATCCACTGTATTTTTTGTTTGTTTGTTTGAAGTTACCATGAGGCTTGCAAATACTCTTATAATCAATTATTTTAACCTACAACTTAACACTATTTACATAAACAAGCAAACAAGCAAAAAGAAAACTAATAAAGACTTGCCTTAACTTCATCCCCCTGGTTTTTAATTTTTTGTTTTTTCAGTTTATATCCTATTGTATTGATTATGTCTCAAAAAATTGTAATTATTACTTTCATTCATTCATTGATTAGTTTTTCTACTTAGGATAAGAGTTGTTTATACACCACAGTCATAGTGTGATAATATTCTTTATTTTACTGTGTAGTTATTATTATCCATGAGTTTTGCACCTTCACGTGATTATTCATTGCCCATTAACATCCTTTACTTTCTGATGGAAGTTCTCCCTTTAGCATTTCTTTTAGGCCAAGTCTGGTATTGATGAAATCCCTCAGCTTTTGTTTGTCTCAGAAAGTCTTTATTTCTCCTTCATGTTTAAAGTATATTTTAGCCAGATATACTATTCTAGGGTAAAAGTTTAGTTCCTTCAGCACTTTAAGTATGTCATGCCACTCTCTCCTGGCCTGTAAAGTTTCTATTAAAAAATCTGCTTTCAGGCGTATTGGAGCACCATTGTATGTTATTTCTTTTCCCTTGCTGCTTTTAGGATCTTTTCTTTATCCGTGGCCTTCGGGAGTTTGAATATGAAATGCCTTGAGGTAGTCTTCTTTGGGTTGAATCTGCTTAATGTTCTATAATCTTCTTATACTTGGATATTGATATCTTAATCTAGGTTTGAGAAATTCCCTGTTATTATCCCTTTAAATACTCTTCCCGCCCCTATCTTTTTCTCTACCTTCTCTTTAATGTCAATGACTATTAGATTTGCCCTTTTGTTTCTTGGTTTTCTATTCTTTTTTCTTTTGTCTCTTTTGACAGTGTATTTTCAAATAGTCTGTCTGCAAGCTCACTAATTCTTTCTTCTGGTTGATCCATTCTGCTATTAACAAACTCTGATGTATTTCTCAGTATGCCAAGTGCATTTTTCACTTGATTTCTGATTGATTCACAAAATTTCTACTTGATTCACTGTAATTATTTCAATCTGTTTGTTGAATGTATCTGATAAAATTCTGAATTCCTTCCCTGTGTTATCTTGAATTTCTTTCAGTTTCCTCAACTCAGCTCTTTTGCATTCTCTGTCTGAAATGTCACATATCTCTATTTCAACAAGATTGGTCTCAGGTCCCTTACTTAGTTCACTTAGTGAGGTCGTATTTTCCTGAATGGTGTTGATGCTAGTAAATGTTCTTCGGTGTCTGGGCATTGAAGAGTTAGGTATTTATTACAGTCTCCACTGTCTGCACTTATTTGTAGCCAGCCTTCTTAGGAAGGCTTTCCAGATACTTGACAGCACTTGAGTGTTTGGACCTAAACTGTTTCTGCTTTAGGGGGCAACCCAAGCTCAGTAATGCTGTGGTTCTTGCAGACTCATAGAGGTACCACCTTGATGGTCTGGGACAAGATCCAGGAGAGTTCTCTGGATTATCAAACAGAGACTCTTCTTCTTTTACTTTCTCTCAAACATACAGAGTCTCTGTCTCTGCTCTGAGCCACCTAACACTGGGGTTGGTGTGACTTAAGTACCCCCGTGGCTACCACCACTATCACTGTGCTAGGTCAGACCTGAAGCCAGCACGGTACGGGGTCTCGCCCATCACCTGCTGTAACCACTCCCTGGCTATTGCCTATGTTCATTCAAGGCCCTGGGTCTCTACAGTCAGCATATGGCAAAGCCAGCCACAACTATGTCCTTCCCTTCAGGGTGGCAAGGTCCCCCAGGCCCTGGGTGGGTCCAGAATTGCCGTTCAGGAGTCAAGGACTAGAGTCAAAAACCTTAGAAGTCTACTTGGTGTTCTATTTTGTCACAGCTACGCTGGCATACCACAAGATGCAGTCCTTCCCACTCTTTCCTCTTCTTTCCAAAGGCAGAGAGGCCTCACCCCATAGCCAATACCACCCCTGGCCACAGGAGTACTGCCAGACTACCACCACTAGGTATATATGGGATAAGGCCCAAGGTCTCTTAAGTCAGCTTGTGGTGAATGCTGCCTGACCTGAGATTCATCCTTTAAGACAGTGGGCTCCCTGCCAAGGGCAAGTCCAGAAATGCTATCCAAGAGTCAAGCCCTGGAATCAGGGACTCTAAGAACCCACTTGGTCCTCTACCCCCCATGGTAGTGCTGGTACCTAAGGTGCAAGACAAAGTCCCTTTTACTTTTCCCCCTGCTTTTCTCAAGCAGAAGGAATTTTGCCCTCTAGCCACCACACCTGGTAATGTGCTGAGTCTCACCTGAAGCCAGTAAGTCTCAGAGGCTCACCCAAGGCCCTCAATGTAGTATCTGGGTATCGCTGCTGGTTATTCAGGGCCCAGGGGCTCTTCAGTTAGCAAGTAATGAATGCTGCCAGGACTGGGTCCTTTCCTTCAAGGCAGCAGCTTCCATTATGGTCCAGGGTGTGTCTAGAAATGTCATCTGGGAGCAAGGGCCCAGAATGGGGAACTCACAATTCTGATTGGTGCCTTATCCTACTGTGGCTGAGCTGGTATCTAAGATGCAAGACAAAGTCCTTCCCACTATTCTCTCTTTTCCTCAAGTGAAGGAAGGGGGTCTCTTTTGGATCCATGGGCTGTGCAGCCTAGGGCAAAAGAGTGGTGATGCCAGCACCCTCTTGGCTGCTTCAGCTGGTGTCTCAGTATGTCACATGCCCTTCACCCCTACCCCAGTCTATTGTCTCAGGGCCTAGTTCAGCCCCAAGACTCACCTAAGAGTTGCAGTCCTTATGGCCTAGACTGCCTTTTGGTAAACTCTACGTGTACTTAGAAACCAAGAGTACTTTGGCCCTTGTTGACAAGGTTTGTGAGCACTCAAGTTCAGACAGCTGGGATAGGCGAGTCCCCTCTGCAAAGGCTGGTTTAAATGCTCTGTCTGTGAGTGGGTTTTGGCTGAGTTTGGTCTGGTTTTCTTTTCTTCTTTAGCAGGACAGCACTGAGTTCAATGCCTCACAATTGCTGTGTTCTCCCTCCCTCAGTGCCCAGAGATGCTCTCCACACCATGGAGCCACCACTTCAGGGGATCGAGGAGGGGTCGTGTTGGTGATTTAGGACTGTTTTTTCTATCTCTTCTGTGCCTCTTTCAGCAATATGAAGTTAAAACCAGGTACTATGAGCACTCACCTGATTTTTTATTCTCATAAGGTTTTTTTTTCTATGTAGATAGTTGTTAACTTGGTGTCCTTGCATGGGGGATGATCCATGGAGCTCTCTGTTCTGCCATTTTGCTTCATCCCAAGACTCATTGGTGAAATGATTGATTTCTGGTTTTAGAGCAGGGACAAGAAAAATTAAAAATAAGCCTGGAAAATATTTTAGCACAAAGAAAAAAGTACTCAAAAATAATAAAGACATGTTAAAGAACAAAAAGACTAGCTTAAAGGGACTCTTAACTGAGCAGATTAGGACAATTTACCAGTTAAAAGTCATTTAAACTTTAAGAATCCATGAATCCATACTAATATAAATAAGCAAATAAATAGGTGCAGATAAGAGAACATATTTGCTTTTGGCATAAAGTCAACCAATAAATGTAAAATGAAAGATAGAATTAGAAAATCACAATTTGGCACAGTAATATTCATTTAGCCCAAACGTATCTAATGCTAAAATGAGTAGATTAAATTTTGATGAGCAATGGGAATTTACACAGTCTCAAAGTACCTCCCTACAAAATACTTATTAATCACAAAAGGTCACATGGGTAATTTTACAGTGGAAAAGCATAGCAGATGCCACCTTAATCAAGTGATCAAAATTAACATCACCAGTAATGGACAAATTAAAATTGTTTAGTAACTGATAGGATACAATGACAAGAATGTAATATCACTTCTCTCATATTCTTGCCAAAAATATGTAACTTTAATCATGGAAAAACATTAAGTAAATCCCAATTGAGGAACATTCTACCAAGTAATTGGTTGTAATTCCAAAAAATATTGAGATCATGAAAGGCAAGGAAAGACTGAGGAACTATCACTGATTGAAGGACATTAAAGAGATTGCAACATGCAGTCATGGTTTGAATCCTTGGGACAACTGATGAAATTTAAATGAGGCCTGTAGATTCAATGACGATAATGTATCAGCATTCATTTTGATGGTCATATTGTGGTTTTGTAAGGGAATGTCCTTGTTTACAGGAATCACACATCAAAGTATTTGGGGTAATGAAGCATCATATTATTGACTAATTATTTAATGATTAAGGGAAAATGAAATTATTTGTGCTATTATTATAACTTTTATCTAAATTGGATATAATTTAAGAATTGAAATCATCTTAAAATAAAATAAATACCACAAAAACCCAAAGTTGGAAAGAACAGAAATATTCATCAAAAGGTGAATAAAGAACAACTTACAGTGCATTCATATAGCATAATACTATTTAATAAATAAATGCAACAAACTACTAATGCATGCAATCGCATTGATAAATCTCACGGGTACTGTGCTTAATAAAATAAGGCAGATACAAAAAATAATTACTGTGTGATTTTGTGAATAAGAAATTCTAGAACAAGCAAAATTAATCTATAATCAAAGAAATCAGATTTGTAGTTTCTTGGCTCTGGAGGGTGGGGAGTCATAGGGAACAGGCAGCAAAAGGACACAAAAGAAGCTTCTGGGTGATGGAAACGTGCTCTGTCTTTATGGAGATGGTCATTAAGCAGGTGTATACTGTTGTCAAAAGTCATCAATCTATACTTTTAATGTGAAAATTGTTTTATGTAAATTACACCTCATTAAAACTGATTTTAAAATAAAATATTGCTTGTCATAAAAAGTAACAACAAAGGAAATAAAACAGAAAGTAAAATAATAGAAACAATAAATTTTAAAGACCAGGTGCAACTGTTCTCTGTGGAAGTATTTTTAATAAACAGTCATGAAATTGTGAATTACCTGTTTATTTACTGAAACTTAATCAGCTAGTAATTTTAAGGGGCTTATAAGTATTTAATTTACTTATCTCTCTTCATTTTAATGTTACATGTTTAATAAAATCTTATTATAAAATTAAAATTTGTAAACCAAACCACTTCATTATGTAAATTTGTTTATTTAATGTGTTCCTTATCATCATAGCTTAAATTTATTTTAATTATGCTGTATTAAAACAGTGTGGTGTGTTTTAAAACTAAACAATTCAATTAGCATAAATATGTAAGCAAATGCCTTTCTTGGCTTGGTCAAATAGAGTTGCTTAATCCATTTGTGCTACTCTCACAAAATACCAAAATACAGACTGGGTGATTTACAATGAATAGCAATGTATATTGTTTATGATTCTGGAAGCTGGAAAGTCCAAGATTAAGGTGATGCAGCTGGTTAGGGTCTTCTTGCTGTATCATAACATGATAGAAGACATCACCACACAGCAAGAGAGAGCAATAAAGGGCCATACTCAATTTTATAACAAATCTGCTCTCCCAATAATGATCTCATGCTCATGATAATGACATTAATCCATTCCTTAGGCAGAGCCCCTATGACCTAATCATCTCTTAAAAGTCCCACCTCTCAACACTGTTGCACTGGGGATTAAGTTTCTAACACATGAACTTTGGGGAACACATTCATCCCCCTCAATCCACATTCTTCTCACATGCAAAATGAATTTCATCCCAATACCCCCAAAGCCTTAACTTATTCCAGCATCAACTCAAAATTTAAAAAATCAAGAGTCTAATCTAAATCATATATGGGTGAGACTCAAGACACTATTCATTCTGAGGCAAATTCTCCTTTAGCTTTGAGCTTGTAAAGGTAAGTTATCTACTTCTAAAATACAGTTGTGGGATAGGCATAGGATAGACATTTATTTTCTATGAAAGAGAACACAGACAATAAAAAGAGGTATCTGGTCTCTGGTAAGTCCAAAGCCCAAGAAGAAAAACAATATAAAATTTTAAGATGCCTTAATAATCTCCTTTGACTCTATGTCCCATATCTTGGACACACTGGGACAGGATTTGGGTCCCTAAGGCCTCGGGCAGTCCTGCCTCTGTGTTGTTACTGGGCTCACCCCACCCAGCCACTGTCTTGGATTGGAGACTCATGCTTGCAGCTCTCCCAGGCTACAGCTGCACACTGATAGCCCTACAGTTCTAATATCTCAGAGACTGCCCTGCTTCCATGGTTCCACTGTGTATTGACCCAGTGGGGACTTTCTGCAATGGCTCAGCCCTTTGACAAGTCTGTGCCTGGGCCCCTCAGGTTGTTTGTAACATCCTTCAAAATCCAGATGGAGGTGTCCCTGCCCCCACAGCTCTTGCATTTTGCATGCCTACAGGATTAGCACCACATGGACATCACCAAGTTTTAAGGCTCATACCTTCCAGAGTGGCTGGTCAAGGCACACCTGGGCCTACTTGATTTATGGCTGGGGCAGCTGGGGATTGCTGTGTCAGAATTCAGGGAGCAGAGTCTAGAGTCAGTGCAGGGCAATGAACGCTGAGATTCTCCAGGCACCTCTCTGGAAATCTTAACCTTAGTAGAAGTTCTAGGTTGCCTCAAAGATCTCTGAAATGCCTTTGAGTCATTTTTTGATTGTCTTGGTCAGTAGAACCTGGCTTTCTTCTCTTAATATTAATTTCTTTAGTAAACAGTCCCCTGGATGCAACCTTAGTTTGTTCTCCTAAACACATCTTTTTATTCTTTACATGGCAGGTTGAATTGAACATTTTCAAATTTTTTACTTTCTACTTTCTTTTTAATTACAAATTCCATCTTTAAATCATTTTTCTCTTCTCTCATTTTACTATAAGTGGTCAAAAGAAGCCATGCAGCATTTTGAACATTTTGCTGTTTAGATAGCTCTTCTGCCAGATGTTCTAGTTCATCACTCCTAAATTCTGCTTCCATAAAACCCTAGGAAATTGACACAATTCTTCCAAGCTCTTTGCAACTGTAAACAAGGATAACCTTTACTCAAGTTTCTGATACTTTATTCCACAGTTCCATCTGAGACCTCATCAGATGGACTTTACTATCCAGATGTCTACCAGCATGTTGAATACAACCATGTAAGTCATCTCTAAGAAGTTCTAGATATTCCCTACAGTTCTCATCTTCTGAGCCCTCATCAAAATCATCCTTAATGCTTTATATATGGTAACTGAGGCTTTTTCTAATTTGCTCCTCTAAACCCTTTCAACCTCTACTCATTGCTTAATTCTAAAGCCACTTCCACATTTTCAGATATAGATGCTTCTCAACTTCTGATGGGGTTATGTCTGGATAAACTCATCATAAATTGAAAATATTATAAGCCAAAATTGTATTAAATGAACCTAGCTGGTCAAGCATGGTGGCTCACATCTATAATCCCAGCAACTGGGGAGGTCAAGGTGGGAGGATTGCTTGAGTCCAGGAGTTCAAGACCAGCCTGGGCAAAACAGGGAGACCCTGTCTCTACAAAAATTAAAAATATTAGCCAGGCATGGTGGCACGTGCCTGTGGTCCCAGCCAATTGGGAGGCTGAGGTGGGAGGATCACTTGAGCCTGGGAGGTTGAGGCTGCAGTTAGCCCCACTGCACTCCAGCCTGTACAACAGAGCCGATCCTGTCCTTAAAAACATAAAAATTAATAAAAATTTAACTTAATTTTAAAAATAAACCTAACTTACTGAACATCATAGCTTAGCCTAGCCTACTTCAAATGTGCTCAGAATACTCACATAAGCCTACAGTCAGGCAAAATCATCTAATGCAAAGTGTATTTTATAATAAAGTGTTTAATACCTCATGAATTTATTGAATATTGTACTGAAACTGAAAAACAGAATAGTGGTCTGGGTACTCACAGTACAGTTTCTACTGAATGTATATTATTTTTGCACCATCATTAAGTCAAAAAATCCTAAGTTGAACCATTGTAAGTGGGCACCATCTGTATTTGTTTACAGTAACAGCCCCACTTCTCAGTACCAATTTTCCATCTTATGCTATTTTGTGTTACTCCCACAGACTACCACAGACTGGGTAATTTTTGATGAACAAAAATTTATTTAGCTGTGGCTCTGGAGTTTGGAAAGTCCAAGATTAAGAGGCCACATCTGACGAGGACCTTTATAACATGGGAGAAGGCATCACATGGCAAGAGAGAGCAAGAGAAGTCTCAACTCCCCTTTATAACAAACCCTCTCTCACACTAATGAATCTATTCCTGGTATAATGACATTAATCCATTCAAGAGGGCTTGGCCATCATGATCTAAGCACCTCTCCAAACTGTTGCACTGGTCATTAAGTTTCCAACACATGAACATTAGGGAACATATTCAAACTATAGCAGAGAGAAACCTTGTGAGTTTGTTACCCACAAATATTTTATATTATTTGAAATGTTTACTACAAGAACATTTTGTCATGACTCTAGTTCACCTGAACACAACTTAACCTATTCTCCTGTTTGATATACAGTATCAAAAAGATGAAAATGATTTATGTGACCTGAGCCTTGCAGGAAAAGAATAACAAGGCTTTATTCCAGCTGAGCCTTAGATTGGGCTATAATCTTTTGGCTCCTTGCAGAGGACTCGGTCCAAGTGGCACTGATGAGTTGCTAAGAGCTGATATTTTAAAATTCTACACATAACCCATTCCTTTTAAAACAATTCTTTTTCAGATTCATTATTCTGGAATAAAAGACAAAAGACCTCTAAGATTTAAATATCAAAAATTATACACCACCATTTTGCTACTCAATTCATGGGTGGATTGATTATTCAGTGCCCTTAAGTGCCACCCCTAAATTATTTAAAGGAAACTAAGCAATCTAAATTCTTCCGCTGCCTGAATTATTTAGGTCATAAATGTTTCCTGTTGAATGCTTTTGTGGTCACGTTTTATGTTTTGGTCTAAGTGAATAAAATTAGCTTTAATGCAATAATACGAAAGCAATGGCTAGAAATAATACATGAAGTGACAGTTATTGTTTTTGTTCTTATGAAACTGATGAAGCAGATATCAGCAATAATATGCATTTTTAATGTTTTAGTAAAGTCTTGCACCAACAAGAAATCATTCCTCTGTGTGTGTGTGTGTGTGTGTGTGTGCTTGCACATGCATGTGTCTTTTATCTTACATGAAAGCCAATAGCAATAAATGTTCCTCTGCCAAATTTTTAACTTACTTGCTAAATCTGCTGTTGCTAGCTCAGGTTTCCATACCTATTACAATATTTTATGTTGGCCATAATATACTTACCACAGTGGCCAATTACCTTGCTGAAGAGAAGCTGGCAATCTGTCATTTTATGTGAAATCTCATGCATTCTCTCTGGAGTGTAGCTTTGATTATATTGCTAAAAGATAACATTGTGGTTCATTTGCCCCTCAGGTTTAGGAACAGACTACTTTGAAGCCTTACTAGAGCCTCGTTTTTGTCATTAAATTTAATTGCCTCTCATTTACTGGTGTTTTTAGCAAGTCCAGGCCACATGATTTGAATTTCAGATTTTATTTCTCTTCTCATTTTCTTGTTAGGGAGGTGGGAATAGGATAAGGAAGGTCAGTTAAAAGTTACGAAAATAAATAAATGAATCAGAAGTAGAATAAGTAATAACAAAATTATTTTGTTCAAGTGATACACTCAAATTAAATTGAATCAAAAATATTTTAAATGTAATGACAGTCCTTTGACAGAGATTTATGTTTGCAGGTAACAGAAGCCAACTCAAGATATTTTAAGGAAAAAGAAAAAAAAACCTAGATGGGCTGGGAAGATAAATTTATTATATGGACAAAGAAATTTATCATAGAATCCAAGGGAAGCAATTCCAGGTCTCCCAAAGAGACTGCAACAGGAAGTTGGAAAGTTGTAGCATTCTCACTACATTTCCTAAGTCTGATTCTCTTTGGACTTTCTTTTTATTTTCCTCTCTCAGTAGATGGCCTTTCCTGTTTGCATAGAATGCAGAACTTGGCTAACCCAGAGTTCTGAAGGTTAGATTTGGAAGTGTCAGGAGAAGCCCAGACTCATCTAAAATTTCTGAGAGAAGAATCTCATCAACCTAGCTGGAGCCAAATGCCTTTTCATGGTCAAATGAACTGTGAACAAGGATTTCATAAACATTATGTGGCTTGAGGGACTGGGGTTGTAATAAAGCTGCAGAGGAAAGGAGACTTTATTGTTTTATGAGCTGGACAGATACTCAAAATATGCCCACCACAGAAATTTGCAGCTAATTCCTTTTAAAGTTAATTGTCCTTTTAAGTCAGTTCCTTTAGTAACTTGCATCCTTAAAATAATGTGCTAAACACCAAGAAGTTAGACTTCTAGAATTCTACGTTTTGTCTGAACAAGTGCAAAAACTAAACTTTCATTTTATAAAGTGTTGTATACTTTGTAAATTGAGTGTTTTTCTCCCTCCAGTATCTACTTTGACAGTAGTTTTCCTGTTTGTCTATCAGAAACACAATTTCCTGTACTTCCCTGAAATACCCTTCAAAAACTGGCAAGTTCACCATCAATTTACCATGACCTCTACCCGCTTCTAAGGTCTAATTCAGGAATGCAAGTAAGATTATAAATGCAGGCTACAGTTCCTATAATCTTTCTTGCGTGATTCCAGGTTAGTTTGCCAACAAGAGGTCTTCACATGAGATTTGTCAGATAAAAAAGGAGAAGCCATTGTGTTTTCAAGGCATTTGCAGTCCGAAGCATGGACAAACATGAGACCCAGTGACTTCCTACTAAGCTCTAGAACTACAAGCCTTACCACTGTAGACTGAGTATGTTGATAAAAGCTTCCTGGAGATGCCTGAGAAATATAGCGCCTCCTGGTGAGCTCTTGACAACGATCAAGTATTTTATAATTTCAGGTTGAGGTTTTTCATGTTAGCTCCCTTGATATCAGCTCTTCCAACAATTACATACCTCCTTGATTCATATATTAAATCTTATATACCTAGAATACATGCGTCACCTCTGTGTTCTTGATTGACCGATGTCAGATAAAAAGATTGTTAAAATCTATTATCAGATTTGATTCTTTTTCCTATGCTATACAATGTACCTGACCTCTGGAGTCTGTGATCTTAATCACTCTAAAATTAAGTTCAAAGGACTCTGTTGTTTTATTTTCATCTCAAACAGTACTTTTACTTGTTTGATGTGGAGTTTGATTAACTAACTTAGGGTGACCAAAGTTTTAATTCTTTTTTTTGTTATTATTATTATTTTTTTTGAGACAGGGTCTTTCTCTGTCACCCAGGCTGGAGTGCAGTGGCGCAATCTCAGCTCACTGCAAGCTCTGCCTCCCCGGTTCACGCCATTCTCCTGCCTCAGCCTCCCTAGTAGCTGGGACTACAGGCGCCAGCCACCAGGCCGGGCTAAATTTTTTTGTATTTTTAGTAGAGATGGAGTTTCACTGTGTTAGCCGGGATGGTTTCGATCTCCTGACCTTGTGATCAGCCCACCTCAGCCTCCCAAAGTGCTAAGATTACAGGTGTGAGCCACCACGCCTGGCCCGAACTTTTAATTCTTAAAGTAATTTGCCAAACACCAAGAAGTTAGACTTCTAGAATGCTACATTTTGCCTACACAAGTGTAAAAATGAAGCTTTCATTTTATAAAGTAGCATATACTTTGTAAATTGAGTGGCTAATTTTCTCCCTCCCATGTCTACTTTGCCAATAGTTTTCATATTTTTATATCTGAAACAAGTTTCAGAATACTCAGAATTCTCACAATTCATTGTATTTCTTTTCAGAAGGTTCTAATATCATTACTTTTTAAATGTATTACTTCTCCTTAAAATACCGAGAATTTTTGGGGAATGAACCTTGGCAATTGTTATGTTAGTCTTAATGACTGCCTATCATCCAATAGCTGCCTTCAAAATTGCTACCTTTCTATCTTACGTACTACTTTGGATATGACTGCCAACTCAACTGTGTTCTCTAAAAGTTTCAGAGGCAAATGTAGTTTTACTTTGGAACCCCTTTGAAACCCTCATTGCTTCCTGCTGGTAGGGTCTTGAGAGCAGAAAGCATAACTCATCTGTCCATACTTTCCTTGTATGCTTCTGCTTTCATTAAAACCAGTTTTGGCTGCTAGATTTGCCTTGGATGTTGAATTTTTATTAAGTTCACATCAGAGTACTGGGAGAAATAGGTGCAGAATAAATAAATCAAATCAAATGAATAAAGCATTAGGTGGGCTGTGCAATGGGGCAGAAGTGTCTGTATGTTTGCAGGAAATTCGATATGAGATGAATGGCTTTGGAGAGCATGTGCACAGCTAGGGAAGGGTTCCAAATGAGCAAGCCAAGAGCAGTTAAGTCTTACATTCACAGTTCAGTTGCCCATAAGACTCAAATTTGCATGGTCTTTGAAACCCAGCTGTTGAAACTCTCTTTTTCATTTTGAAACCAAAGGCATTGAATTCTACTATGAATTTCACACAATGAAATAAACATCTCCATTGATAGTTTATTATTCTCTTCACTAGAATTTGTGAAAGTGATGAGATGAAGTTTACAGTAAATTGGAAGATGTTGATGAGGGTAGATTCATAATTATCAGTGGCTTTCTTTACTCCAGCAGTTGCTTGTGTTATATGGTTACAGTCCTACTGAAGTTTCAAGCTAAAATTTGTTTTTCAAAAGGCAGTAATTTTCTGAACTTGTTTTCTACATTAAAACAAAACATACTTCTAGGATGTGATATGTCAAGCTGTGAAAAAGCAGTAGCATGTATTTCACCAACATCCACAACCTTCTTTTAGATCATGAAAAATGTCACTATCTTTCACTGGTGAGTTGGCAAGAGTTTGAGAAATGTCAGTAAGGCTGAAAAAACAAAAAACTGACTGTGTTTTTTCACTTACATTTCATTTTCAATGTGTTGATTGACCTCCCCGTTCACTGCTTGGGGAAAAAAGTTATGAACCTAATTATATGTTTTGGTTTTAATTACCTTTTCCCAGTAACTTTATATAGATATTTTATTACAAATTATAAGGCATTCTCACTTATCAAAAATCTAGATTTTGGCTTTTTAGTAACCTGATTTATCTTTTAAACCACAGGAAAATGTTTAGTACATTTTCTGAACATAGCTAAACAACACGTTTTTACCAACCACTCTAGCTCATCGCCTGGATTTTCTTAAGACAGCAGCTTGAGGAGGGAGAAAACATGCAGGAAAATGTAAGATTTCTGTACCCATCCTCTGAACTAATCTTCAAAGTAGAGGAAACAGCAAAAATTCAGAGCAATGCGGGATGATTGCAGGAGGCTGTTACTGCTCAGAAAAAAAGTTAGCAAAACTGAGAGTCCTTTAAGAAGAGCTAGTGTCATCCCTCTCAGGCTGTATACAAGAAGCAACAAGAATTTTAAAAGAAAGCCTATCTTGCTAAAAACTTGCCATCAATTTCCCTGGCAAAATTACCTAATCGTGATTTTTGTTCAGATCTCAGACTGTCAAGTCTCTCATTCTATGTTTTAGCTCATAATCTATGCGGCAGCCCCCACCCGCAACACACACACATACACACACAAATCTAGAAATACTAGTGTCCTTTGTGTTAAGACTGATAAGCAAGGGAGAATTGGGATAATTATTTGGAGCAATATTATACCAATTCAGTCAGTGAAATTATATGGAGGGGGAGAATATTTATTCATGTGGATTTCTCCCTTATATATTTTTTTCACTGGATCGTTATCCCTACAATAATTTCACTCATAAAAATTACTAAATAACACAGTTTAAGGCCTCTTTTAAAGTTGTCTAGTTTCTCCAGATCAAATGTCAACACTAATACAATCTACCAAGTAATACTTGAATCCTATATCACTTTTCCTTAGTAAGGACAGCTAGATATTAGAAGATACACAAAGGAATAACATTTCATTTCTTTATTTTTAAGATGTGTCTAATTAATTCAAATAACAGTAAATGTTTTTTATTCTTTATTTTTTGTTTGTTTGTTTTTTGAGTATCTTCTGTATTATCTGCACTATCTCCCTGGATTTCAGATTGAAAGATTGCTGGTATAAGGCAAGCATCACAGTGTACTTAGAACTAGTGAGAAAAATATTAACACCCTTAAGCAGCAATAAACTCCAAAGATGATTTCGATATTCTAAAATTCAACTTTGTATTTATTATATGTTTATCGCATGCCAATTTTGAGCATGTCAGAAGGTGAGAATTCTAAAGGGCATTTCCAACACCTGGAGAGAAAAATGGAGGAGCTAGAATACTGGTCAATATGTTTGAGTACAAAGAAGTCGCCCAGGGTATCAGAAACTGCAAGATATGTGTCAAAATTTTACTTCTGATGCTACTTAAAGCATATATACAAAGGTCTTGGAGATTGTTTCTTTTGTTTTATAATCTAAGTGCTTCTAATTCTGTTCTATAATTTTTAAATAATTTTCCCAGATGAGTATTCCAATGAGTTGCATCCATATGCCCCCTTTTAGCATCTCAGTGCGGTTTAGAACGTACATTCTGTTTTTTTCCGTACCAGGAATCAGGAATGAGCTGGCAAACAACAGGGAGAATTCTCTCTAAGGAACAACAAAAGCTCAGTTGTCAACTTATGCCCTTATGTGGGAAATTCTAGGTAATGTCAGAAAAATCTTTCATTTATAGTCTGAATAGGGATTTTTCTATCTCTACTTAGAAAAGTGGGGGGAGGGGGGGAGGGATAGCATTAGGAGATATACCTAATGTTAAATGACGAGTTGCTGGGTGCTGCACACCAACATGGCACATGTATACATATGTAACTAACCTGCACGTTGTGCACATGTACCCTAAAACTTAAAGTATAATTAAAAAAAAGAAAAGTAATAATTTTTCCATTCAAGAAGTAAAATTTAAGAGTGAATAACTCTTTTGCACTTTTTAATTCATGTTGTTATAGCTGCACTCCAGGCTATAAAATATTTATGTTGTTCTGAGGAAGGTAATATATACCAAACATTATTGGCAGAGATTTCAGCTATTCTGAAGTACAAAGAAAGTGGAGTTTAGCCAAGGGCTTTAAGAGGGTTAGAAGATTGCAGCCTTGAATCAACTTCTTTCTTATATTGAATGCATCAATGGGTGTAGTTTGAGTGGTTAAAAGATTCCTTTAATACATTGCACTCAGTAGTAGATCTTGAGAAGCATTGTCACCGCTACCAACCTATCCTGTGAAAAATCTTTGAAAAGGATTCAAACACAATATATATTTTACAGTGGATTTCCTGGCCACTATACCTATTGAGGGGTGACTGCACTTGAATGCAAAGATAGATAAACGCTGCTGACTTCATGAGTATAGTTTATATTGCTCTTTCTAAGTCACTAAACACTGCTCAGAATGGAACTGGGGAGAATAAAGGGAGAACAGGAGCCTGAAGTTCCTCAATCTGACAACAAATATAGTTATTTGCACAGCAAGGCCACATATGAGGTAACTAACTTCTATATTTACTCTTTCTCCTCCACCTACTCTATAGGAGGATTTGAATGGGACCAAAAATATGGAAATTATCGGCTTACAGACTTCAACCAGTTGTCAGAGCCAGATCCCATGTCTCTTCTTTCTTGTGTTATATTTCCATACTTGATAGGATTTGGGTAGCAGGAGATGTAGAGTCGTGTGGGCAATCAAATAGGCATTCAGCAAATCTTAGTCAGAAATACAGCATGAGTCAAGTATCATGCTTGTCATTTCTGATATAAAGGTTAAAAAATATTACCAGCTGACCATTTGCAATCTGAATCTGAAATCCAAAGTGCTTCAAAATCTGAAAATTTTTTAATAAGAACATGATGCCACAAGTGAAGAATCCCATCACCTAACCTCATGTGACAGGTCATAGTAAAAATGCAGTCAAAACTTTGCTTCATACAGAAAATTATTTAAAATATTGTATAAAATTAGCTCTACGCTATATGTATAAGGTATATATAAAATATAAATGAATTTAGTGTTTAGATACGGGTCTCATCCCCGAGATATCTCATTATGTATGGGCAAATATTCCAAAATCAAAAAATTAAATTTCAAAACACTTCTGTTCCCAAACGTTTCAGATAAGAGAAATTCAACCTGTATTAATATCAGCAAGAAGGTTATAATCTATTCAGAAGACTCTGTGAGCTTACCAGTCAATCATTTTCAACATCCAATATACTAGTACATATCTACAAAGTTCAGTATATTTTTAGATATTAAATAACTATTTTAGAATATTATTTTTAGAATTACCACTAAGAATTGCGAAAATTGGTCAGATACAAAGTAATTTTACAAATCAACTTTTCAAAAGCAAACTATCTATAAATCACTCAGAAATACATTTGGAAAACAAAATTATTCACCATAATAACTTTAACAAAAGAAAGGAATAGGACACATAAAATTAATTCTACCATAATAACAATATCCAAAAAAGCAGACTACATAGCAATATATTAACAAAATATTTGAATTACCTACATCAATAATAAAGTTTTATTGAATTATATAAACATTTGAATAAATTTATTCAACAAATATTTAATGAGTTTTTATTGCATAACTGTTATTGTTCTAGTATTGAAGGATAAGGCAGTGAATGTTTATCCCTGCCACGATAAACAACTAAATATAGACTACAAGAAGCTCTCTGGCTAAGACGACATTTGAGCCACACTTAAAAAAGTGTTGAAGAAGAGATGGTCTGTTTCTTGATTTGAAGAATAAAAATAAGTAAGAAGAAATATATTTACAGAATGATCCAAATTTATACTGCTCATGCAAATGTAGGCAAATGTCTGGTGTCAGTCTGTTTTTGCATCACAATAAAGAAATACGTGAGACTTGGTTATTTATCAAGAAAATATTTAATTGCTTACAGTTCTGCAGGCTATACAGGAAGCATGGTGTCAGGATCTGCTTCAGCAAGAGCCTCAGGAAACTTACAATCATGGCGAAAGGCCAAGCAGGAGCAGGTACAACAAACACATGGTGGGAGCAGAAGTGAGAGAGAGACAGGAGGAGGAGCCAGGCTCTTTAAACAACCAGCTCTCATGTGAATGAACAGAGTGAGAACTCACTTGTTACCATGGGAAGAGCACCAAGCCATTCATGAGGGATGTGCTGCATGGTTCAATACCTTCCACTAGGCCCCACCTCCAACATTAGAGGTCACATTTCAACATGAGATTTGGAGGGGAGAAACATCCAGACCATATCATGTCCTGAAGGAAATAATTTCAAGGACTGCATTTGTGCTGGGTTTGGGTTTTCTTTTTTCTGTATTTCTTTATTTTACAAGAAAAAAGATACGATGATGATGTTTTAGTTTAATATTCAGAAATAAGTAATTTTATGCATCAAAAATTACTCCTATTTCTCAGATATGCAAAGAAAATGTTATGCATATGCCTTCTATAACATTATTTTGGTTTATCCAATCAATTGCTCAAATCTCCATTTTTCTTATTAGCAGGGAGTAAATCTCTCACATGTAAGGGTTTCTTCAGTCACATAGATTTTTCACAATCCTGAGAGGATCCTGCTTCCCTGAACTAGTATATGATCATTCCACTAGTGGCATATTTTTTGCCACAACATGAGGTCACTGTTGAAGACACATCCTGTACAGTTTGATAACTGATGCTTGTTACTTCCTACTAGGTTACACTTGCTATTCCAGATTCCTGTCCAAGCCAGAAAAAAAAAGGAACCAAATGTATACCTATTTTTAGCTTATACTCCAATCCCCAGACAGTATTCTCCAAAGCACAACGCTATACCAGTGTTTAAAAAATGTTCTCATCAGCTATATGCTGTGCTGAAAATATCTCCCTCAACAGTAAAAAACCATAAATCTTTCATTTTAACCCAGATTTTCCCTGGATTCAAAATGAAATTGTGACTGAACTACAGAAGGATGAAGCTGACCCAGAGATAGAGACAATGGCTGACAATAATTAATGGGGATTTGATTGGAATTTACAGTTAAATATGGACTCAATTATCAAGTTACTTACCAACTCCATATTCTGTAAAACAAATAGGGGAAAGTGAGAGGGGAAAAGTAGGGATATTGGTTGATACTTATATACGTTGAGATAATAGATAAAGTTATAATACGGATAAGTATTCTCATCTGTATTTCCACACCTGATCATCATATTTGGTTTGTATTTATAAACTTCTTTTTTTATGTTTTCCATGTTAAGCCTGCACCTCAGTGGAATGGGCTCTTCTCCTAGTAGGATAATCTAAAATCTAAAACTTTCCTTCTAGAAGCTCTTACCTTCTGGTTGTCCTGCTTTTGCTGCAGTACTGTAATCTCCCATTAGCTTTTATCTCCAGATGTGGTAGCACTAGGTGGTGTCTAAGAAAGAGTCTGGGTTCTAGACATCCTTCTTCCTGCACACATTGTTTACCAGCAATACATGTTCCATTGATAAATAGGATCAATCATTCAGCCAAACAGTAGCTTTTTTTTCTGTGTGATTGATAGCATCTGAAACTAAAAATGGCCTTGTGAAAGAACCATTGTCAACAGAACCATTGCTTTTGCCTTATTAGAAGAACTTTTCTTTTGAATACTAAGATAGCTATATCAATAGTCTGATATAATGGGGGTGGGAAACAAAAATATGTTGAGCAAAATATTAACAGTAATATTTAGAGGATCCATTCCCATTTTTAACTTTTGGTTCCCAGACTCAAGTATTCTGACGATGCAAAAATAGTGCCATATATTGTCATTGGTTAAGAGTATATATTGCACCCCAAATCTCAACTTATTTTTTCCCAGACCCCTCAATTCCTTTAATATATAATTACTTTCTTTTTCTAAACCAACATCTCATGGAATAAATACCTTGACTGAAAATGCCTTGATTGCCTACAGGATAAATATAAAAGCCAGCACCTTCAAAGCTTGTCACTATCTAGGCCTAGATTATCTCTACTCATATGTGGTGGGTATTGAATTAAAGACTTCATCCATAATAACCTAATCACCAAAGAAAGCCATTTAATTAGATACTAGTATTATTTTCATTAACAATAAGAAAACTGAGGCACAGAAAGTATAAGTTACTTACTTAAAAACATACAGCTAGTAAATGGCAGAACTGGGATTGAAAACCAGAAAGTCAGGATCCAGAGCCTAACCACAGTGATACACTACCTATTACCGTCACCTTTGGGAACATTTGAAGCATGCAGTGAATGCTTGCCCTCTTCCAGGCTAAGTACTTTGCGCTAAGCATTTTGTTTTCCACCTGCCTGATTCCATAGCTGAGCTATGACTTTCCACCCATATCTTTGCTGTAGAAATCCTAGCTGTTATCAAATACACTCCTTTAAGCGAATTTCACCAACAAAGGCTCTCATGTTTATATATTCTGCTCCTTTGAGCATCCTCTAATATTTATAGTCTCCAGCTGTCATCTAATAATCAATAACCGGCATAATACAGTTTGTGTTCTAGTTATCTTTAAGATGACTTATCTTCCCAATCATGATAGGGCCAAAACCATGTCAGATTATGTATATTCATCTCCCTCACAATGCCTAATATATTTTTGAACTGAACGTCATGGCTAGTAATGATTCCAGAAACTCTGGGAGTTTTCTATAATTACTTATCACCGTAACATTACTAACAAATTCAAATATTTAATTTAGAGACAAAAGTACTCCTACCTCATAAATAGACTCAAAATTTGTCCCCAGTTCCTATTTTTTGCAAACGGAAAGAGAGGAAAATGGGAAGAAGCACACATGGGGTGGGGATTAGAGCTACTGGTAGCTGTTCACATATTTATAACAGCAAAAGAATGTACAGCAACTACTGAAAAAATACAAAGATTGTAGCAGTTTTACCTTAGGGAAGAATATTCTAAAAAACAGTTTGTATTTCTTTTTACTAAAAATAAAGCATGCTATGATATTTCCTTCCCAGAATACAAAAATGTAATGGAAAATATATTGACAATTCTGTCTCTAGGTAAAATCTACAGCAGACAAGTAACTCAGAACAGACATTTAAAGGTCAAAGCATACATGTAAACTTCACAGCAATAAAGTGGCATCCGGTATTCCAGGAAACAGCACCTTAGATTTTGTACCAGTGCTTCTTCTAGGGTCTTCAAGTTTCACAATGTCTTTATTCATCCAATGAAATGTTCAAAATAGGAATGAAAGCAACCAGCAATTCAGAAGAGCAAAAATTAAAAGATTACTGTTTTCCATTGGTTTTAACTTCATTTACTGCAATAAATCAGCACTGCACCATAGCACCATTTTCTAGATTATGCAAACATTTTGCTTTCTAACTGATTGATGACCTCTATTCTGGGTACTCAGATAACATTTATATTTATATTCCTCCAACAAGGTGGTGCAAAGAAAAGGATTAAGACCACAGAAAATATAGAGAGAGAAAGGTAACAACTTCTGGGCACAGAATGCTAAATGAGGCATGTGCACTGCAGAGAATCAATATGGATTTTCTAGATATTGATTAAAAGTAGGCTCCAGTTTTACTATATATAGCCAATGCTCTTAGGACATCTTATATTCCTCTATGAAAGCTTTGTTCCAATTCAAAGTCACCTTGCCGCCAAATCATACATTTTAAATTTTTCCATATATTCTGTGCTAGGTTTAATGGAAGAATTCAAAGACTTCAAAATAGAACCAGAAAAAAGGTTTCCATCAGAACAAGTAATCCTTCTTTTCCTAGAGGAATTGTGCTTCAAGACATGGATACTTATACATGAAAAATATTTTTATCTCTATTGTCCAGAATTATTATAGCTTGTCAAAGAATGCCCAAGGAAGAAGGTGCTTCTTGATAGGAATCCACTGCAATCACTTTCAGTAAAGCATTAGTCTGCTGCTGCTGCAGCATGCTGAATGAGACTGTCTGTTTCTAAGTGAAGAAGGTGCACAAAGAGCAACATGTCTTCCAAAGTGATTGAGCCTCCCATTAAGCATGGTCAGCATTAGAAATGCTGGTACCTAAGTGATGCCAGTTGCCGATGAGCCTGAAGGGAGGTCAGAAAGGCAATGATGAATAACCTTGAGCATATCATTAATGATGCCCTTGGTTATTGTCATGGCCACATAAGTTAGCTAAAGCTTTCATAGCCAACTTAGACTTCACATACTTTCAAGGTTGGTCGACTTTCCCCATTCCCTCTGTGACACGTTCCTTCTGATGCTCCTGTCTCCTGAATGTTCTCCGACCCAGAGAACCACTCTTGTCTGCTGGTACACTTCCACTACCAGTAAACAAATTAATATCCTAAGAGTCAGTTTTGTTTCTTCCTAAGTTTGATAGCTGTATAATTGTGTTTATAATTATACATACATATAATTATACATATAATTGTATAACCTAATAACATTAATCTTAAATGTAATAGTTAAGGAAAGAAAGAAAGCTGTTTATTCTATGAAAAATAACTTTGATACCTTGGAAATAACTAAGTCAAATACTTAGAAAAAATACTGTCAAATTAGTCATGGATAAGGAAACTGTAAAAGTTCGGGAGAAATAATCACAAAAATCCAAAACGGTATTACATTCTGATTGCTTTCTAAAAGAGTCTTTAAATTTTCACTCCACTTTGAAGGAGCCCAGAGTAGCTTCTTTACATGTGTGAGGTTTGTGCATGAAAGACCAGATAAAACTTTAATCAATATGCTAATAATTTATCTTTTTAAAAAAGACCTTATGACAGATTAGAAAAATAAATATGTATTTCTATTATTTAGGTATATGTCATTTTTTAAGATCCCTCCCTTAATCTTTTTTTTAAGTTTATGAGCAAACTCCAGCCCTGATTGCACTACTATATGTCCTTTGCAAACAACCAGCATTGTTGACTTTTGAAATCTATTAAGAATTGCCAAGAGGAATGTACGAAGTTGTAAAAGCATAGAAGCTCAGGACAGACTTTTCATTCCAACTTTATTGTTGATGTCAGGTTTATCTTTGAGCAAGTTTATTGTTTTCTTGACTGCTTTCCCACTTTATACCAGACATAAAGGCAACTCACATGGACACAGAAGCTACAACAAATTAACATAAATTTCCAGACTTTCAGAGAAGTAATTAACACTCTGAATCACAGTTTCTTCATCTATGAAATTATGGGATACTGTGAAGAATAAATGAGGTACCTTCTACAAAACCTAGCAATCAGAAGAATGTTCAACAAATATTAGTTCTTTTTTTAATCTGGCCAATAAAAAGATGTGTTGCTAATGCATAATTTTTGTGTTAATTATGAAATTATTCTATGCCTCATAGTATGCTTTGTCTTTTTTTAAAGTACTTTCCTATATATTTGAATTAATCCCACACTATGACAGTGTGAGGTAAATATAGCAGTTATTATTATTTGCCATATATATATCATAAAACTGAAATAGATAGATGTGAAGTGTCTAAAGCAAGTTATCTCAGAAAGTTAACATAAATTTATGTTTAAATGAGCCTATTCTAAGCTTGTTCTGAGCCTATTACTCTCATTAACTTTTGCAATTCTAAGAGGTATCTGAGTTTATTTTTTTCAAGTTTCATTACTCTTTCATAATGTTCTTCCTTAGAGCCTTACTAATAATCAACAGAAAACACAACCTTTAATCTCATGGCAATGCATGCAAAAAAGGAATAAAAGATAAAAATAATTTTTTTAATATAATTAAGAGTCAAGAAGCTTTTGCCCTCAGAACCCATGGTTTAGGATAGGGCCTAAAAATTAGATTCCCTTGTGCTATTCTAATTCTCCAACCTGATTATTATTACCTCAGACAAGGAGGACATTGAGACTATGTTTGGATTTGCAGAAACGGAGCCAGGGCTCAAGTAGTGAGAAAATTTTGAGATTCTACTTAGAATCTCACAACGATGTTGGAACAGTGATGAGAAACTCTCCCTGTTATAAGAAACTCTTTGCCTCTGTAATAGTCCATTTTCCCCCTGCTGATAAAGACATACCCAAGACTGGGCAATTTACAAAAGAAAGAGGTTTATTGGACTTACAGTTCCACATGGCTGGGGAGGCCTCAGGGTCATGCCAGGAGTCACGGAGCAGCAAGTCACATCTTACATGGATGGCAGTGGGCAAAGAGAGAGCTTGTGCAGAGAAACACCTGTTTTTAAAACCGTCAGATGTCGTAAGACCCATTCACTATCACAAGAACAGAACGGGAAAGACCTGCCCGCATGATTCAGTCATCCCCCATTGGGTCCCTCCTACAACGTGTGGGAATTATGTGACCTACAAGATGAGACTTGGGTGGGGACACAGGGCAAAACCATATCATTCTGCCCCTGGACCCTCCAAAATCTCATATCTTCACATTTCAAAACCAATCATGCCTTCCCAACAGTACCGCAAAGTCTCAACTCATTTCAGTATTAACTCAAAAGTCCAAAGTTCAAAGTCTCATCTGAGACAAGGCAAGTAAGTCCCTTCTGCCTATGAGCCTGTGAAATCAAATGCAAGTTAGTTACTTGCTAGATATAATGGGGATACAGGCATTGGGTAAGTACAGCCATTCCAAATGGGAGAAGTTGGCCAAAATGAAGGGGCTACAGGCCCCATGCAAGTCCAAAATCCAGCAAGTCAGTCAAATCTTAAAGCTCCGAAATAATCTTCTTTGACTCCATGTCTCACATCCAGGTCACACTGATGCAAGAGGTAGGTTCCCATGGTTTTGGGCAGCTGCACCCCTGTGGCTTTTCAGGGTACAGCCTCCCTCCTGGCTGCCTTCACAGGCTGGTGTTGAGTGTCTGTGGCTTTTCCAGGTGCATGGTGCAAAGCTGTCAGCGGATCCGCCATTCTGGGGTCTGGAGAATGGTGGCCCTCTTCTCACAGCTCCACTAGGCAGTGCCCCAGTAGGGACTCTGTGTGGGGGCTCCAACACCACATTTCCTTCTGCACTGCCCTAGCAGAGGTTCTCCATGAGGGCCCCACCCCTACAGCAAACTCCTTCCATACATCCTCTGAAATCTAGGCAGAGGTCCCCAAACCTCAGTTCTTAACTTCTGTGCACCTGTAGGTTCAACACCACGTAGAAGCTGCCAAGGCTTGGGGCTCCCACCCTCTGAAGCAACAGCCTGAGCTTTTAGTCATGACTGGAGCAGCTGGGACACAGGACACCAAGTTTCTAGACTGCACACAGCAAAGAGACCCTGGACCTGGCCCACAAAACCATTTTTCCCTCCTAAACCTGCAGGCCTGCAAAGGTTTCTGACATGGCCTGGATACATTTTCCCCATCATCCTGGTGATTAACATGTGACTTCTCATTACTTGTGTAAATTTCTGCAGCCAGCTTGAATTTCTCCTCCGAAAATGAGATTTTCTTTTCTATTTAACTGTCAGGCTGCAAATTTTCTAAACTTTTATGTTCTGTTTTCCTTTTAAAACTGAATGCCTTTAACAGCACCAAAATCACCTCTTGAATGCTATGCTACATAGAAATTTTATCCACCAAATACCCTAAATCATCTATCTCAAGTTCAAAGCTCCACAAATCTCTAGGGCAGGGGCAAAATGCTGCCAGTCTCTTTGCTAAAACATAACAAGAATCACTTTTGCTCCAGTTTCCAACAAGTTACTCATCTCCATCTGATACCACCTCAACCTGGACCTTATTGTTCATATCACTATCAGTGTATTGGTCAAAAACTTTCTACAAGTTTCTAGGAAGTTTCAAACTTTCCCACATTCTCCTGTCTTATTCTGAGCCCTGCAAACTGTTCCAATCTCTTCCTGTTACCCAGTTCCAAAGTCACTTCCACATTTTCGTGTATCTTTTCAGCAATGCCACACTCTACTGGTACCAATTTACTGTATTAGCCATTTTCATGCTGATGATAAAGACATACCCGAGACTGGGCAATATACAAAAGAAAGAAGTTTATTGGACTTACAGTTCCACATGGCTGAGGAGGCCTCACAATCATGGCAGAAGGCAACGAGAAGTAAGTAACATCTTACATGGATGGAAGCAGACAAAGAGAGAGCTTGTGCAGAGAAGCTCCCATTTTTAAAACCATCAGGTCATGTGAGACTCATTCACTATCATGAGAACAGCATGAGAAAGACCTGCTCCCATTGATTCAATTATCTCCCACTGGATCCCTCCCACAACACATGGGGATTATGGGAGCTACAAGATGAGATTTGTGTGGAGCCACTGCTCCTAGCCATATATTCTTATCTCTATTGAGTAAGTAACTAGGAGTAAACTGGTGTTTGGTGTATATTTACCTCATCAGAGGTTTTCCCAAGTGGTCGTACCATTTAACATTCCCATTAGCAATGTAGGAGAGTTCTAGTTACTCCACCTCCACACCATCACTTAGTATTTTCAATCTTTTTAAACAAATTTTAGTCATTCTAAATATTGTGCAGTAATATAACATTGTGGTTTTAATTTGCACTTCTCTAATGACTAATGATGTCATATTTTACTAAATGTTTTTGGCCAGCCATAGCCTCTTTTGCAGGCACCTGTGACCCATTTCTTCATTAGATTGTCTTTAGGGTGTCTTTTTATTTTTGATTTTTCAGAGTTCTTCACATATTCTACATATTTTGGTCCTCTGGCAGACATTTAGGTTGTGAATATTTTCTCCCTGTTATGGCTTCCCTTTTCATTTTCTTACATGTCTTTTGTGAGAACATTTTAATCTTAAAGTCCAATTTATGGTTAGGTGTTTTTGACTTACTTGCCCAAAACATCTTCACCTATTCCAAGATTGTAAAACTATTATCTTGATTTAGCTTCAACATTTAGATCAGGGTGTCTAAGTCTTGGCACTACTGACATTTTGGATTAAATAATCCTTTTTTGAGGCAAAGGGTTATACTGTGTTTTGTAGAATTTTTATCAGTACCCCTGACCTCTACCTACTAGGTGCCAGGAGCAGCAGTGGTAGCAGTGTAGTAGTAGTCATTGTCATAGTCATTTTTTCCACATGGAAATCTAGTTGTTCCAGCACTATTTGTGAAAAGACTTTCCCTTCTCCATTGCCTCAAATTGGCATCTTTCTTGAAAATCAGTTGATCTTAATGTGTGTGTCTATTTCTATATTTTCTAATCATTCTATTGATCTATTTGTCTCTCATTATTTTACTCTACTTGTTCAAAAATATCTAGGTTATATGCATTTTTATATAAAATTAGATTTATTCATCAAATTCTACTAAGAATCTGGTGAGGTTTTAATCGAGATTGCATTGCAAATATACAGACCTTTAAAATGTGAAGTCTCTCATTCCATAAACATTATATATTTCTCCATGTATTAGGGTCTCCTATAATTTCTCAGCAAAATCTGCATTTTAGTTTTTGATGTTGAAGTCTTACCCACCTTTGGAAAAATGTATTCCATGTATTTTGTTTTCTGATAGTGCTTTAAATTGGACATTCAACATCCAACTGGATATTAAATTGGAAATTTTATATTTAATTGTGTGTTTCTTATATATTGCATTTCAAATTTCATATAATGTCCTTGAATCCAATAATTTTGCTAATTTCAGTTTTTAGTTCAGTTGCTTATAAATTTTTTTAGATTTTCTACATCCCAATTACATTGTATACAAATAGTGAGCTTTATTTTTTCCAATTTTTATGACTTTTTTCCTTGCTTTATTTGTCTAGCTAGGACCTCCATCACAATATTGAATAGATGTGATGAAAATGAATATTCATTCACTGTTTCTGATCTTGGGGAGAAGGCATCCAATATTTTACCATTATGTATGATATTAGCTCTAGCATTTCATATTCAAAGAGTTCCTTTCTATACCGAATTTGCATGTTGAGTTTTGCTCTAGCATTTAGTCAAATACTAAAAGATACCATAAAACCATGGAGGTTTGGTTACAGGAATTCTACCGGCAGCAGCCGATCTCTCTGCTCAACTTTCTGGTCCCTTGGCTATAACTTTCCTCTGCCTGTGTAGGTTAGGAATCAGCCCAGGATTTGGGTGAAATTAATGAGCAGATGTTGGGGCCCCCTTATGTTTGGTCCCCTCATTTCTTGGAAATTTCCCCTCACTTCCAGACACTCTGGCAGCTCCAGATTCCAACCTCTATCTTTTTCACCCAGTAAGACTACAGTTTCTTTATGAGGCATATTCTATGAAAACTGGAAAGTACCTGCAGAGGAAATGCTGGATAAATGTGAGGTTCATTGTGTTTCCAATCTTTCAGTGAATGAATCCTCTCCTGTTTCTTTTCATTTGGGGTTGTTTTCTAGTACTTCAACAATTGTGTTTGTTTTTTATTATTTTGTTCAGTGTATATGCGTTATTAGCAGGAGGTTTATTCTGCTATAAACTGCTCCACTATTATGAGACACCCACTCCTACATTGGATTTGTTACAGTTCTTCAACTACACACCTTTCCTCTGACCTCGGGTCACCACATATGCTATTTCTCTACCTGAAGCACTATCCTCTTGCTTGTTGACTAACTAGTTTCCAATTTCCCTCATGTCTCAGTTAAAATATCAGTTGCTCGGCAAAGTCTTTCTAATCATTTTCTACCTCATGTAGGTTGGTCCTCCTGTGATACTTTCCCATAGCACATTGTACTCCTTTTGTAGTTTTTTTGTGTGGTTTTTGTTTTGTTTTGTTTTGTTTGAGACAGAGTCTCGCTCTGTCACCCAGGCTGGAGTGCAGTGGTGCGATCTTGACTCACTGCAGCCTCTGCTTCCCAGGTTCAACCAATTCTCCTGCCTTAGCCTCCCGAGTAGCGGAGACTACAGGCGCTGCCACCACGCCCGGCTAATTTTTTGTATTTTTAGTAGAGATGGGGTTTCACTGTGTTAGCCAGGATGGTCTTGATATCCTGACCTTATGATCTACCCGCCTCTGCCTCCCAAAGTGCTGCGATTACAGGTGTGAGCCACTACGCCTGGCCCTTTTGTAGTATTATAGGACTCATCGGCTCATATTTATTTGTTGAATACTCCTTACTTCTTAAAGTGTAAGCTCCATGAAAGCAGAAACCATCCCTTACACTGGGCCTAGCTAATTAAAAAGTACTCTGTAAATATTTGTTGCTTTTCAGAAAACCAAGGAGCAAAATATTTTGATTACCTTATCACAAATACTGTGAAGGCAATTTCTAAAAATCATTGATAAGCAAATCCATCCGAGTACAGACATGTATATAGGTAGTCATCAGCCAATAATTGCAGCAAATTTTCTTTTTTTGCACATTCTTACCTAGAATGTGTTCAAACGGTAGAGTGCTCTGGTGTCCCGCTAAGAGGACAATAAAGAGCCACCTTTTTGAATGGCTTTCAAGTGACAATGGCAGAAGCAATTCTATGTAACAAACCTTCACATGTACCCCCAAAGATAAAATAAATAAATAAATAAATAAATAAATGTCCAGATAAGTCTTCTGGTAGCTTTTGTATCAACACCAAGAAATCCACCTGATAACATTATGGTTTATCATTAAGATCATCAGCTTTGAGACTATTCTGCAGCTTAAAAAAAAAGAAACTATTCTACAGCTTAAAAAAAATTACTGCCTAAGTATAAAGGTGATCATATTTTTTCCACTATCCAGAGCTCTCTTCTTCCTTGTAGAATGCCTAGGAATATGTTCTGCTTCTAGGTAGTTGCATTAACTCATCCTAGTCAATAGGGTGAGGTTGCAATAGGCACCATTATCTAGATTTTGTTATTTTCTTTAGACGAGCAAACACATTAAGGGAATCAGACTTTAGATATCTTGGAATGGTTTGGGGTACTCCATTAATTCCAATTAGAAACCAGGGTCTAGCACAGGGCTTGGCACATAGTAGTTGTTAAATAAACATTTATTTAATACATCAATGAAAATGATTGCAGCAAAAATTCACCACAAAGACAATTATAATAAACAAAGTTTATTGATTAATCCATAAACATAACCATTTAAAAATATATATATAAACCAAAGTATTGCCTTTGATTAATAAAATGAGGTTTTTCCTGGGTAGAAGCTCCAATTAACCAGCACAGTTCTTACAACGCTGAAGACCATTTTCATTGCAAGCCGTACACTTCAGGGCTTTGAAAGAGTCTGTGAAGCAGTTTCGAAACATGGACATCTTGCTCCCATGGCACACGGAGCATGGAAGAAAGCCAAAGCCTCCACAAGAGGGACACTCATGTGGATGCTGTACTCTCTGTATAAGGTGGCAGGGGAACAAGAGAAAACAGAGGATGTGTTAGCATGAACAACTCAATCAGCCTCCCGGTCTTTCTGAACTGTGAGTGGTCATAAAGCAATATTGGCATAATATGGCTATACACTTGAATTCACCTACCATTAATACACATTACACCCAGGAAAGTAATTAGTTGAAATTCTCCTTCATTCCCCCGCCAATGGCCATCTATACCACAGGCTTGGTTTGTAAAGTGGGTAAATTTTAGGTTGAAGGGCACATAACTTCAAGAAATCCATCATATGAAAACATCTGTCTACAAACCAAATAATTCAGAAGCTGGCTTTTTGTATTAAGGGAAAATACTTTAACTTTCCCATTAGTATCATTTAACAGTTTCATGTCTGTTTATAGAATAGCATATTAATAGCAAGTCTGGAAAATCAGAAAGCTAACAGCTGAAGTGTGCAGGAGCCACTATAAACTGAAGATTACTAATTATATTGTACATTTAGAATAATACTTCTTTTTTCAAAGCACTTTGAAATGCATTTTTGTATAGAATCTTCACCCACCCTAACAAGTACACATACAAACACCTTTTTCAGTAAAGACTTAATTCGAGCATCATTATCCTCATTTTATCTTTAAGAAAACAAACACAGAAATTTAGAGACATTTCTGTAAGTCTATTTAGCTTCCCACAGTAGCTATCAACCTTTCTATCTCAAGCAAAGGTAAAGTATCTCTGATAATAGAATGAAAATAGCCCGATAGTGTGTTGAGAGTAATACTTTTAAAATCATTTACATGCATTTCTGTTTGCTTTTCTGAGCATATAACCTTTACTGGTGTCCTCTAGTGGCATCCATCAGTTTAGGGGAGATTAGGTGCCATTACAGAATGAATACAAAGAGAAAATAAGTAAATTGATACTAAGCTTCCGACTTGCAAAAAAGGAATTTGCAGCAGTGTTTGAAACCCTGGCTTTGTGAAGGGAATAATTGATAAAATAAGCTCAGGAAATGTGGATACACACACACACAAACACATACTCAGACAAACATGCTTAACATATTGACACATACATATAGCTTTTCTCCAAAGATTTATAATTGCACATATTAAAGCCTCAAAAATATTCAACCTAAAAGAAACCTGATAAACTGAGTTTAACCCATGATTGCTTCAGCACATATAATTATGAGAATTTTTATCGAGTCAATAATATAATTCTCTCATAATTAGTAACCTGTGGGATGTACTTTGGTATTCAAACATTAGGATCTAATTGATACTTACAAAACATCAATCTAATATTGATATTTTAAGACAATATAAATGGGCATTTTCTGTATATAGCAGGATTCACTTGCAATTATAGTTTGACTTGACTATTATATCAAGATGGCTAAACTCATATAATATCTCGTTTCTAATGGCACTGAATCACAGAAAGTAGTTGTTGTCAATCTGAATAAAACAAACAATTAATTTTGTCAAGACTGTAGAGATTTAAAGCTCTTCCAAAAAGATAGATTGAATATGTACAGCAATTTGGTCACTTTGTTGATGGATTTTTGTCATTTCTTTGTGCAAGAATTGACTTAAAAAAAGGATGCACTGCACTTAAATTTTGTGTAATATTAAAATAGAAAAAAGAAAAACTTTGAGTAAAAACAAACCCAATGATGGAAAAATAGTGTACTTTAAAAGCTAAATATGAGAAAATTCCTAAGTAGTGGAGTTCTTATCAAATACTAGAAAGAATATAATGTAGATAGATCCTTGTCATTCACTATTGCTATGACATTAAATATGCTAAAAATATTTAATGACTTGTACAACAAGTGCATCAAGTCAGAATAAATGCTGGGCTGGCCAAGGTCCTACAGTAAGGACCTGCAGGGACCCTGAGTCCAGCCCTTTACTCATTACTGCTAGATTGTAAATAGATCTGAGTTCCTAGTAAAGTAGAGTTGTCAGATTTTGCAAATAAAAATACAGGACGCTCAGTTAAATTTGAATTTCAGATAGACCACAAATAATTTTTGTTTAAGTATGTACTAAATATTGTATGAGACATACTTAAGCTAGAAAATTATTTATAATTTATCTGATATTTAAATGTAAGTGGGCATCCTGCATTGTATCTGGCAAAATTTATAGGTTAGAGTTGACATAGAAGAAAAGAGATATTAATCCATCTTGGGCAATGGCTATTTACCAACCGTATAAATTATTTCAACATCTCTTTTTTTTTTTTTGAGACGGAGTCTCACTCTGTTACCCAGGCTGGAGTGCAGTGGTGCGACCTCAGCAGCTCACTGCAACCTCCTCCTCCCAGGTTCAAGTGATTCTCCTGCCTCAGCCTCCCAAGAAGCTGGGATTACAGGTGCATGTCACCACGCCTGGCTAATTTTTGTATTTTTAGTAGAGATGGGGTTTCACCATGTTGGTCAGGCTGGTCACAAACTCCTAACTCAAGTGATCCACCCACCTCGGCCTCCCAAAGTGCTGGGATTACAGGCATAAGCCACCATACCTGGACCAATTATTTCAATATCTTAATGAGTACAAACATATTTCAATATTTTCAATAACCACAACTGCTGTACCAGTGCACACTAGGTGAATATCAACTCCTGCTATGACCCAAGACACTTGTGAATGACCATATTCTTGAATAGCCATATGGTTTTCTCATGAAATATATTTGTGACTACAAGCAAAGAACAACAAAGCTGGAATGAAATGTTAGTGCTATGCAGCTTTCTGAGCTCCTTGTCTATGTGTGGCACTTCAGACACCAGGCTCTGAGCACACAAAATTCAAAATAGTAACTCAACACAATTAAAAATTATTTTACATAATGGGCCTACAACATCACTTACAAATATTACTTTCAAAGGCTAAAATATCAAATGTTAAATTCACTAATACCAAGAGTCTACTGTTTCTTCATAATTTATCCCCTTGTCAGAACAAATTTCCTAAAATAAACTTAATATATAAATACCAAAGCTACATTTTTATTTCTAAAAATAATCACAAATACAACAAGGCCATTCTAAAATAGGATCCTCAGAGTCTGCAATTCTGTGATTAGATCTCTCTTTCATTCAAAGGATTGTTGAGAGGATTCAATGAACTAATTCATGGGAGGTGAACAGCACATTGCCTGACACATAGTAGGCACTCAATACAGTTAGTTATTATTAGCCATTATTTTATTAATAAATTCCTATTGAAATGATTTTTATTAACTGCTACCTTAAGCTAAACTGCTTGTGGTCACATGACACAACCATTTTCTACACTTCTAAGAGTCATTCAATTTAAACACTTGTTCCATACTTCGCCTTCTGGTTTAAGGTTTTGCCACTGTAAGAAAGGGAGAGTAAATGTGTTTCAATTCATGTGCTATTTCTGTTGTCTTGGAGAATAGTGCTGGAAAGATTCTCGGGCTACTTCCATTCTCAGGAAAAATTAGCTATTTCAGCCATAAACGTAAGAGAGGAAAGGGATGGCTTATATCTTGTGTGGAGGAGTCTTTGCCCCCTTCTCACACCAACCTGATGTGATAGACACCACCGTTTTACAAATGAGGAAACACAGCCTCTAAGCTGGTTTTTAAAAAGTAATTATCAAGTTATAACTAGAAAGTGGAATATTGAAGAGGTCTCTTTATGAGCAAAATCTATGGTCTTCCCTCTATGATAGTAGTTTTCAATGTTTATTTGCATCCGTTTTTTCCCAAATTATCTAAACATGAGATCCCCAAATGTAAAGCAGTTGAAAGGATAAACGCTATGACTAAAGCCAAAGTGGTGGTGAGGTGGGTGGGTCTTCAGGCAACCCACTAAAGCTCCCCAGTGACCCCTCAGCACCCAGGAATCTCATTCTTGCTTGAGGCAACCCACTAAAGCTCCCCAGTGCCCCCTCAGCACCCAGGAATCTCATTCTTGCTACATCTTCCAGCACAATTTATGCTATTTATTATTCTAATAAGAATAAATAATTTAGTCATGCCTAGCCATGTCTTTCAAAGAGCAATTTGTTATACTGGAAGTCTGGTCCTAATTTAGAGGGTTCTGTACAAAGAAAACCCAGTTGGGTTATATTGGATGCTCTTATATTAGTGTTGCTCTGAAGTCTAACCCTTCTGTAGACAGTTTTGCCCACAGATCAAGATAGAAAAAGAGCTAGGAATTTCCCAAAGAACACGGACAAAGTTTGGAGTTGGAGGAATAACTGAATAACTGAAGTTGATGAAACAGACTTCTACTTTACTAATAATATTACTAATTATTAGTAACATTACAACTAGTAACAAAACAGGCTTCATTACTATTAGTAACTATTAGTAAAAATACTGACTTCCACTTTTTTTTTTTTTTTTTGAGACGGAGTTTCGCTCTGTTTCCCAGGCTGGAGTGCAGTGGCACGATCTCAGCTCACTGCAAGCTCTGCCTCCCTGGTTCACGCCATTCTCCTGCCTCAGCCTCCCGAGTAGCTGGGACTACAGGCGCCCACCACCCTGCCCGGCTAATTTTTTGTATTTTTAGTAGAGACGGGGTTTCACCGTGTTAGCCAGGATGGTCTCGATCTCTTGCCCTGGTGATCCGCCCGCCTTGGCCTCCCAAAGTGCTGGGATTACAGGCGTGAGCCACCGCGCCCGGCCCTGACTTCCACTTTCAATGAAGAGATTGACTGCTGCGGAAACGTTGACCTGCAAGCAATTAAGAATCCAGGCAGACCTGGTTGAGAATAGCACACAGAGTACTGAATCTACAGACTGTGTCTCCTCTCCTCTGAATAGTGGTTTGGGTTGAGACAAGTCACTTTGGAGTGGAGCTCAAGAGAAAAAGAATGAGAAATCACCCTCCACTTTACCTCTTTCTGTTCATTTATTCCTGTGAGTGAGTTTTAAAAGATAGATACTCAGTGAGTGAGACCTTTTACTTATTCATTCCATTCCACAAATATATATTGAGTATTCACTAGCCAGGCACTGTGTAAGGCAATGGGAATATAGCAGTAAACCAGACACTTCTCTGCTTTCCTAGTAGTACATCTCAGCCTCACCCCTGAGTCTTGGATAGGTCTGCTCCATATTGCAGTCATCTCAACTAAAGCACACGAAATGTATTGTGTCTCTAACAAAGGACAAAAACGACAAACGACAAAGATAATGGCAGAGTTTATGAATGATTGTGAAATAGACTTCCTTTGTAGCAAAGGAAATTTGAGTTTCAAATTTCAAGATGTAAGTTTACCCCCAGTTATGCAATATAGAAACAGGATGCTAAGATCAAGAGTCTTCATGTCTTCTTTGAGATCAGGAAATGAAGCTCTTATTATTTTTAACCTCAGATCATCAAATCCTATTCCAATAGAGCTTGAAAGTCCGTTAAGTATCCTATCAAAGAGGAAGCAACTTATTTGACCCTCTATGACAATACACCTCATTATCCAGATTGTCTATGAAGCAGTATTACCCATAAAACAAATTGTCAGAGTACACGCTTGGCATTATAATCATCTCTGGATGATTCATCTTGGTCTATGTATTTTGTTTTAAACTAGATTCAAAAATTTAATTCAGCAAACTCTTAAATGCCTACTAAACACCCCTCTGCCTGACCAAGCTGCTAAAAAAATAAATAGAATCTTTTCTGATCATCAGTGTTTCCGGCATCCTTAATTTGCAGAGTTGAGAAAGAAGCCACTGAACAAAATGCAGACAAGGGAAATTTGTAGCTCATAATTCTAAATGTATAAGCCTGGATATAGGAGCCTGATTCTTAAACCAGATGGGATGAACTGCCATAAACCTACTTAAATAGATGTTTTTATTTCAGAGAAAGCAGATGACATGGCCTGATTCCCCAGGTGAATCTATAGGTGGTTTCTATGGCTGTAGCCTCAGAACAGGCTATGGCCACCCCCTTTCCCCTAGGAAGGACCATCATACAGAGCTATACTTCTCCAGGGAACCTCAGGACAGTCTCTGACAGCTCCAATACCTTGCACAGACAGTCTGTGCCATTTTTGACATACTAAGTGTGTAGCCGGGAATCTTTGCTCGGTTCTTCATGAACAAATAAGTGGTTACCCGCCCTCAGGGGAGAATCAGATTAAGTAATTTTTATAAGCTTTACCAAAAAAAAAAAAAAAAGGACAGAAAATGGACACTATGTTGGCAATCTCAGTACAAATGGCAACAAAACTATTTACTCATATCTTCAAAAAAATAACAAGGCAAAGCTTACTTGGAGCTTCTCTGCCATCTGAGATCTTTAATTCAGTGTCTGCCAGAACCAGTGGTATGGTAATATATCTCAGCACTCCCCTGGCTCTCCCTGCATGGACACCAGCAGAATTAGCTATCCATCTTGGTTATTGTATTGTGAGGACTCCTTAGACACTTCGTTGCTTCTCATTTTTAGCCTATTTATTAACATAAATAAATATCATTTACCAAAAAGATGGTGGTTTCATTCATCCTTTCAGCCACACATTCTTTTATATAAAATAATAATTTTCTCTTTCTTTTCATCTCTTGAATGCTTTGCCTCCTCCAAAAAAGCTTTGGATGAAAGAGAAGTCATTTATTTATTCCCTCAGAAAATATTTATGTATGCCTGGGATATCCCAATCCCTGTTCTAGGCACTAGAAGTAAATAATAAAAAGAAATGAACATCTGTGTTCACATGGAGCTCACATCTCAGTGGGAAGATTACCTGCAAACTGTCATTTCAGGAACACAGTCCCCATTGGTACAACCAACTCTACTGAGACCAGATCTCCATAGAAGCTATCACATGTGTTACTAGCTTCTGCTGCCTTTGGCCAGCTCCTCACGTTTGAGGCCACTAATAATCTTCATCAACAAATCAGATCGACTCAGCTTCCCCAGCAATTTTCAGTTGGGTGGGATATATGATAAGATTCTTGGTGCACAAAAAATTTGGAATTATTTTCTGACTCCATTTCTGATGGCCCAACCACAGCTGCTAAGCCTCTCTCTTCAGCATCACTTGAAATAACTGCTAGAAACTGGAACCTGAATTATGAGGACCAGGAGTGGTCATAAACTACCATGTAGCAACCCAAGTAACAGCAAACTAGAACTTGCCAGGATATGTCTAGTGTTAGAGCCCTGTGTCAAAACCCAGCCTATTCCCTGGACCTAACATCTTTACTAGCTTACCTCCTAGGAAACTACTAACCCAGGTTTTGTGTCCTGCCACAGTATAGTCAGATTTCCTAGATACCTACATGCCACTTAATTTGAGAGTCATGGCAGCATAGGTTCATAGTTAATTAACATCATGGGTTTGGAGTCAGACTGATTAGAATCATAAATCAAATACTGACTACCTAAACACTCTTGAGCAAGTGATTTTGTCTTTCTGTACCTCCATTCCCTTGCCAGTAAAGTGGGGATAATAAGAGAACTCATTTAGCAGAGTTGTGAGCTTTCAATGATTTAATACATATAAAATGCCGGGAATATATCTTGCTATATAGTAAGGACTGAAATGTTTCCTGCATCATGAAAATTGAACTCCTACTCTACTGTCAAAAGCCAACCAGAAAAGTGGGATCGGTTTGGATCTGTATTTTGTATCCCTTATCCTCTTTGCATGGCTCTCCCAGTGCTTCATTTCACCTGGTCTCTTTACTTCCTCTTAAACTCCAGCTACCTCTCAGGCAGAGTTCTGGGTTTTCTTGATTGACTACAAATTCTCCACCAGTTTTACTATATCCCAAAGCAGCCGAACATAGTGATGGCACCGCAGAGTTCCTATAACAGTAGAAAGCCAATGCCATACCATTATTTTGAACATTAAAAATAACTTAAAGTATTTGTGCCTTATTTATGTCATCTGTAGAATGGAGACAGACTTAATGAAGAGAAAAACATCTTCTTTTCCAAAGTTTTTGAGCTGATGGAGAGAGAGAGATTATCTACCATGGTACTGTTGATCAAGTTGTAGAATTGAAGAATTACAGACTCAATGGAATAAAAGTTCAGAATAGCTAAATCAGTCATCAATCTGTACAAAGAAAAGCAATTAAGGATATTCATCCTGTAAGATCCTAAAAGATGCTCTTAAACCATAGAATTAAAATAGTATGATATTGATGCAACAAGAAGTAAATAGATCAATGATACTGCATAATACAATTTAAATTAGTTTAAAGTGTGTACAGAGAATAATACACATAAACCAAATTGTTTAAATAAAAAGGTATATAATAATGTAAGTGAATGACTTCACAGGATTGGGGTAGTATATGAGAACAGAAAGAAATAAATAGATCCATTCATACAGCTTTTTTAGCTAAGAGGAGTTTTAAGAGGAGCAAGTACACACCCCGATTTAATAGATAAAGAAATCAAGATACTGGCAGGTGAAAGGTTATGCCCAAAGTCACACAGCCAGAAGCAGAGCTGAGGAAGGAGCTAAAAATCTTCTGATTTCCAAGTCATAATACTTCAGAAATTATAAATTATGGAAAAAAGGAGATTTAAAACATTTTACAAAAACAAATTTACTCTCTGTATGTATCGCATGGCTTTTGAATTTAGAATCAGACCATAGTAAATTATTTTGCTAAAGCCCAAGCATTCTCCTCCCGTATAAGCACTATATTTCTGCCCATCATCCTCATTGAACCACAATGTCTAAACATACTCTATTGTTTGTATTACGACAAAAACTGATAAAAAATGATTTTGAGTTATTTCTATAGGTCTGCAGTACATTGAGAGGACATTGTTGTCTCCCTTAGCAAAGTACCTGTAAACAGTAGATACTTAATAAATGTTTGTTGAATGAATGAATCCATTGTTTTCCTTCTGGGAAAGGTCACAATATGAATAAAACATGAATCGTTCAATCAAGGAGCATCTAGTTCATTTGGGACATGAGTCAAATACTAAAAGAAAGGTAATACAAAAAAGACTTTTATAAGGCCCCTAAAAAGAGGGTTATAGGAATTCAAAGGCAGGGGAGATCAGAAATGAATATTGGAAGAACTGATACTGAAGATGGGCCTTGAAAATGGTGGAGGGAAATGAGGAATTGGAACAATATCATTCTAGGCAGACAGAACAACTTGCACAAAGGGATAGTAGTAAGAAAGCATGAGAAGCCACATAGTCCTTTCTTTTATCTAGAGTGGAAGGAATGGTAGAGAATCAGAAATTAGGTTAGCAAAGACTAGAGCAATAATAACCAGTAGTGACATATAGATACTGGATAACCATATGACCTATTTCTCCTGGAAAGTCCTGTTTCACATTTGCTGTCCCAGAACAATTACTAACGCATACTTTTTACTCTCAAAGTGTCCCATTCAGGACAATGAAATATAGAATCTTCTTACAAATAGGGAGAAACAATCTGATAAAATAATTTAGCAGTGAGGTAATAAGGGCTTTCCGGTTGCATGTTAATTTTATAAGTATTTGAATAAGTATTTCTCTGATGCTATATGTATAAGCACAGGAATACAAATTAAAATGTGCTTTTTGGAGACACAAGTTTTTCTTTAATCTTTATAAATGATGTAGTAAGCTCTTCTATATGTAGGAAGATCCATGGGAAAAATAAAGTTGTTTCAATGAAAAATTTTAATGTGCATCAAGACCATTTCCTGACTTGAAACACCTCATCAACGTCTGTATTACAGAGAGTTGGGATCAAATAAAGCTGACCATAACACTCACCTAATAGTATGAGATCATTAGAAGTTAACATTAAAGTCACTCTAGCTGCAACAAACCTAATAACAGAAGATATCAAATTAAAACTGCCACATGTATCCTATTGCATATTTGTAAGAACATGGGGAGAGAGAATTCAATTAGGAAAACTCAATTATAATCAGAATGTGTTTAATATTTTGATTACTAAAACTAAGTTGCTGAAAGCACATTTACCTCAATTTTGGTTAGGATGTCTTGCAGTTCTCCTGATTCATTCATTGACAAAATTTTCTCAGCACCCTATTAACGAGAGAGAGTAGGGAGAAAAATCCATTTTTGTTAGTATTTGAGAAAATAAAGTTCTAACAAGGAAAGCTTAACCCACAAAATACTGAGCACAGTTCTTCCCTTTGGAGCTGAGTAAATGTACAACTAGGATGCCAAAGAGAAGAAGACATTTTTCCTTACTGCCACATACTCTTCCATCTAGTAAGTCTTACCTCAGGTAAGAGGAGGGCTGCCAGCAGGAGGCAAGCTCCAGGAAACCCACAACAGTTAGGTTTAAGTCCAAATACAGAAAGGGCCAGCATACTCTTCAGGATTGTTTAGGGAGCCTGGAGCCAGTCTACCATCTGGGAAAGGAATCCTTGGAGCAAATTCCCACCCTCGGTTATCTCTACCTTACTCCAAGCAGTACTAGACATGGCCCTCCTTAACAGCCATGCATGTAAAGATAGCAGCAGCTAACAGCAACAATAATGATAATGACTACCAACACTACTTAAGCAGATATTTTGAGTTTGGCATAAATATCATCTCCTTTGCCGTAGCAGACTCTATTATTTGCAGATATTGAGCCTCAGTGAGATTAAATAACAATTCCAAGGCCACCCAGAGAAGACACAGAGAGAAAATTTAAACACAGGTAGGGCATGCACTCCAGAGCTGATGCTTTTAACTTCTAAAACATTACTATGAAAGTGAGAAAGGGGACAATGTGTGTTTCTTCGAACTACTCCATTTTTCTCTCCTGTCCAGCTGCTTCCCATTCTACCACTCTACTTCCCAACATAAAACCATAGAGAAGGAAGAAGGAAAAACTGGAGTAATTATTTTTAATCAAAGACGGAGACCATGTCTGCCTTGTTGTCACTGTGTCCTAGGCGTTCAGCACAGTTGCTGGCTCAGAATAGGTATTGGATCAATTTTTGATCTGTGAACAAGACAGGGAGAAATATAATCCCACACTAAACATTTTTTATTCCTACTTGTGCTAAGCAGGGTGCCAAGCAGGACTCATTTAAAAAATAAAAACGTTCTAGTTCTTATGGAGGTTACTATATACATTTATGTAAAAGTGTATTTTTTTGTAAATGCACAAAAAACTAACCCACAGGGTAGAATGAAAAATAAGTGCCAAATGAATAATGAATAAACAAAGATAGGCTAGGAAATCACAAGAGGAGGAAAACTGTACTTTATGAGAGTAGAGAAGGCTTTCTGAGGTTGGTGGCATTTGATCTGGACCTCAAAGACTGGATGAGGTTTCTAAAATAGGTTAAACAGTCCTATAGTATAGGAGTATTTACTTCTTGGTTCCATTTTATTTCAGTCTATCTTGTATAACCTATGTCATCATAATCACCATAAAAAATGTCAAACTGATACATTCAAAAGCAATATGAACGAACGCACAGGGCTACAGAGAATATATATTGCTCTCTGAGGCAAGTTATATCTCTTCATTTATTGGTAGTTGGGCCAGGAATACAGACGTGAAACCTCTAAAGTAAGAACAAAGGTAATGAAAGCACCATGACAACACATTAAAGCCTAAATGTAGTAATAACTGGTAACATTTTACTTTTGCTATATTCTATTTCTTTTAAGAGATAGCTAAGTTAAAATGGGAAAGAACTCTGGGGAATTTGATACATGAACTAAAGCAGTAAAGAGAATATATGCCCCCATTTTTCTCAAATGAAAGAAAATTCCCCACAATGACTCCAAACAAAATGAATGTACCAGAAAAGCTATCACACATCTCCTACCTGGCTCTTTTCTTATGATAGCATTGTGTCTTAGTCAGTTGTTTAGAGTACAACGCATATGCCAAGAAAGGACCTGTCTCAATATTCTTAAATACAAACAACTCTTGCAGCATTACTACCACGGGAGAAGATTCCACATTGCAGTAGAAATGCAGGCTTTGCTTACGTTAAGCAAAGTACTTAAAGGCATAATGGTCACTGATTTTCAAGACACCTGGGTGTCTAGTATACAGGTGGTGTAATGAGTGCTTAAGGTTGGAAAAAAGCTGCTCCATAACAGAGGACAGGCAGCTGAATACCTACTTCCCTCACCCAGCCACTGCTACTCAACACAGCCTCCACAACCCTACCTGCCCTGCCCTCAGGTCTTTCCCTTGGAACCAGGCCTTTGGTCCCCATGCCACATGCTGAGCATTGACAGTAGTCAAAGCCTCCTGTTCCCTACTGGGTCCCATGTCTCTGCCCTCCACTTGACCCTGTCATTACCAAGCCTAACAGCAAGATCCTACAGGGGACAAGGAAATCAAATGATCGCCTTCTCTCATCCTAACTGCAGCAGCAGCAATAGCAGAATAGAGATTTTAGCCTACTTGGCACATTTCAGGGAAATATTACAGATCACTCCCATGCTGAGGTTTGGAGCATTTATCGGGGTAAATCTCAATCTGCCCTGCTTTCCCTGCATTTGCATATTCCAAAGGTCTCATTGCCACACTTTTTCTTATCAAAGACATTCTAATTATTACTTGATCTATAAAGAAACCTCTGTGTCCACAAAAGAGAGTGTATTTCCTTACACATTGACATTCTTAGGAAATTATCTTTTCCTGGTTGGTATTTGGCTAAGAATGTCAGACATAAGTTTGTTTTTACATACACTCCACCATTCAATTCTATGCTAGTGGAAATTATTTACTCTATTACTTGGCATAGTTTATCAAGACCTCCACGACACCTATGGAAATATTTCTTCCATATTTTTAATTGGTTCAGAATCGATTTTTTCTTAAAATTAATATAATCCTGAAAATAATGATAATAGTAATGTGTTAAGTGCTTTACAAACATGAACTCTTCTAAGCATTGGTGCGAAGTAAGCATTTTTTAAGAAAGGAACTATCTCAGTTTTTTAAATAAAAAAACTAAAGTTTAAAGAGAATAAAGAGCATGCCCAGAGTCTTTCTGTTAATCAGTACAAGGCTTGGGTTGATCTTGAATTCAGGTTGAGCTGACTCCAAAACCTATACTCTTTCCATTGCACCCTGCAAGCTGCCTGCTCACTGATACAGCACAATTGTATTATTGAAAAATGGTACAGAGAACTCCTAGTCTGGGGTATATGAGAGACTGTGGTTTGAACTCACTGTTGACTAGGTGCCCAAGAAGCTCAAGTGAATTGAAGGCTTTCACTGCAGTGACTCCACGCCCAGAATGAACATGCCAGAGAAGCTATGAAATGTCCAAGTTCTTTCTTTATAAATCTCAGCATTGCATCTTATTCAGTTATTTAGAATAATTGCATATGCCAGGAAAGAATCTATCTCATTACCCTTCAATACATGAAAAAACTCTACCTTGCTCAAACACTTTACAACTTAAAATTCAGAGCAGTGAGCTGTAACATGTGAACAAGACACTTGGCTTTACATTTATGTAACAAACTTCACAGACGAAGATAAGGTAATCTATTTAATTTTTCCTTATCTATGAATCACCAAGGAAGAAATACACATTTCGAGGAATAAAAAAAGGTAGGAAAAGAAATCAGGCCTCTGCCAACTAAGATTGCCAGAAAAACACTTACCACATGACCTATGAATGTGTAAGTGTGCTACCGTACTCATTCATGCATTTATCCATTCATTCAACATTATTTTGAGTCTCCATTAGGGATTAGGCACTGTGCTGTGTTAAAGCTATACAATAAGCAAAAAAGCCACACATGCACACACACACACACACACACACAAACACACAACTGCTTCCCGTTACTGAGGAAATGTACTTTTGGGGGAGACAGACTTTACACAAAAGATTACACAAATAAATGTAAACTTATTTATAATTGTTGAAAATAGTACAAAAGGGGCATGCTACAAGATGCTAAGAACACAAGTAGTAAGGCAAATTTAATAAAATTTTTGGTTAAAAATTTTTCGTTAAAGGAGAAGGCTGTCTCCACAAAACAATCATTAAGTTTTTATCTTTAGCAAGAATAGCAGTTGACCAAGCACACAGAGAGAATGAGGGAGGGCAACTAATAGGGACAATAATGCTACCAAATATTATTATATGTACATGTCCTTTCGTAGTCACCATTTCCCTCCATTCAAGATCAGAAGAAAAGCTATGTTCAATAAAACATCCTAGCAGAGTCTCTGCATAGCAGTTTGGGTTGATGCCCTGGAAGGAACATAGGTGAGACAGCATGCCATGGCATAAGCAATCTATTTTACACAATAAGCTAAAGAAAACAATAAAGTGATATAAATCAGCTTGTATTTAGCATACTCTGTTAGGTCTTAGGGAAGAATTGCTAAGTCAAGAGTTTCTAAACACTATTATCAAAAAAGAAAACAATCAAACATTTAAGTAGTTTTTCTCAAAATTTTTAAAGCCACACAGATTTTAGCTATCTGTGTACGGATATCCAGGGTCTGGAATTCCACATGGGACATCAACATTTGAAACTATTAACTTAAACATTTCTGAGGAGCCCAGAAGGACTAAAAATAAAGTTCACATTAACCAAAAAGAAATATAAATTTTAATGTATATATACACATATATTTATATGTGAATGCACATATATACATATATAATATATAGTTTTATTTATTTTAATTTATATTTAGTCATAAACCACCTCATCTTACTAAGAAAGTAGCTTGCAATAAAAGATCTATAACATAGTATAATAAAATAGAAATTTAATGGAAATTTATAGGAAATACTCTAAATAAATCTCAAAATGGTAGCTATGGGTGAGCCTTAAATTTGATTCTGAGTTAGCTTTTTAGATGAAACAGTTTTCTAAGCACAGTAGTCTAAACAATATAACAATATCTTGCATAAAACTTTGGATGGACTGGTTGACATAATAAATAGTATTCTTGCTTTTTTGGTAACCATAAAAATATTGTTTTCAAATAAATGTTATTACAGAAATGGCTCCTACATCCAACCACTACCAGTTTTTATCCCTTCTTCTAACTTAAACCAGGCTCCTTTTCCCTCTCACTTAACTGCTTCCCTGCCATTTATTTATCTTCTGTAAAGATAAATAAATATTATTGTTTACCTCATACTACTTGTTAGAGTATCTTCTAGTGATTAGGGTAAAACCCAAACTCTTTTTAGCATGGCCTACAAGTGTCTTCACTATTTGATTGCACCAATATTCTTAGCCCTGTCTTTTGATATAATAAGCTTCTCATACCCTGAATTTCTCTCCTTCTCCTGGACATCCTAGGTCCTTGCATGAGATTTTATGCCTTTACACATGCTCCATTTTTTTCCTGATATTTCTTCTATCTTTCTTCCACCACCTCTTGGGAAACTCGTATGCATCCTTTCAAACCCAATTTAAATGTCACCTGCTCAATAAAGCTTTCTTTATTTTCCCAGACAAAATCAGTCAATTCCTTCTTTGTGCTCTCAGATCACATTTTGCTCCACTGCACAGCAAGTCCAGTGGTGATTTCAGGGGCTATGACTTCTTCGGGCACACAGCATTTTGTGTAGTGCACCATAGATAATCAATCAATAAGTATTTGCTGTATTAACTTATTCAGTTTTTGGAGTAAACACAGCATTCAATTCCAAGTGGGTGTTTCTTTTAGTGATTGATGATTTCAAATAGAAAAACAAGCCAAGGCACATCAAAATGCACCTTTGTAAAGTGGTAGGGACCAAGCTGATGTGATGTGACAGTAAAAGGCCAGATACATAGAGGATTGAGAAGGATGAATACTATATAAATGACTTCTATCGCTTCTCTCAGCTGGGCATTTAATGGGAACTGAAGAGCAAACCACTGGAGGCTGCACTCTCTGATGAGGACCAGGAGCATAAGACTCTTTAGTACTGGCTGATAAAGGATCCTTCTGCTATGTAATCAGGAGAGCAGATGGCAGGGCTGGCATTGAAGGAGTTCGACCCGCACCTAGCATGATGCCTGCCAAAAGATGTGCTCCGTAAATGTTTGTTGCTGTGACTACCATGCCCATCAAAAATGGGAGGTTTCATCAACTCTGCTTGGAGATGGGCCACCTGAGCCCCACCAAAAAAGAATTTATTTCAGAAATCAGCTCTGGATCTTTTCCAGTGCATGACCAGACCCCATTGAGTCCCTGGAGTTCTGTGCCAAACACTTAGGCCTGGAAAATGTTCAAGGCAGGTGTAACAATATCCCACCAGTGTCTTTAAAAATGCAGTAAAGGCTCCTGTGGATAATCTCATCCTAAAGAGCGTGGTTTTTCTGTATCCCTGGCAGGAAGAATTAACTGCAAAATTAGCTAAACTAGTTGACTTTTTTTTTTTTTTTTTGCAATTATGTAATACAGACCTTTGGGTGTCAGAAAATGCCTGCCAAAGACAGTGATTTTAGTTTTATATAATTAGTGCTGAGCCACTTCTTTCAGCATAATTGTAAAGAACAATTTCCCATAGAGGCCAATCCTGATTTTTTATAATAAAGCCATATTATCAAACTAGATGTTCGCAAGGGTGTATTATTTGCTTCTCTATGGCAGAAAGCCATCTCTCCCATTCCTTCGGAATTAATATCAAATTATATAAAAGTAATATCAAGTCACTAGGCTAGAAAACAGGTAGTGTTGGGAGTTGATCTAGATAAAACCAGAAGACTGTTCTATTTAAAAGATTAAGATTGTTGTCTGCTTCCCCAGATTCTCTTTGCATAAACTGATTTTCATTTTTATTTTTTACTTTTTTTGTAATTTAAACTTGTATTTTCGATTCAGGGGTACATGTGCAGGTTTGTTACCTGGGTATAATGCATGATGCTGAAGTTTGGGGTATAACTGATCACACCACCCAGGTAGAGAGCATGACAACCAATAGTTTTTCAACCCTTGCTCCCCTCCATCCCTCCCCACTCTAATAGGCCCCAGTTGTCTATTGTTGCCATCTTTATGTCCATGAGTACCCAAAGTTTAGCTCCCCCTTATAAATGAGAACATGCAATATTTGATTTTCTGTTCCTGCATTAATTCACTTATGATAATGGCCCTCAGCAGCATCTATGTTGCTAAGAAGGGACATGATTTTCTTCTTTAGAGCTGAGTTATGCTTTTTCATGGCTGCTGATGGACATCTATGTTGATTTCATGTTTTTGCTATTGTGAATAGTGCTGTAATGAACATACAAGTGCATGTGTCTTTTTGGTAGAATGATTTGTTTTTATTTTGCTACATACCCAATAATAGGAATACTGGGCCAAATGGAAGATCTGTTTTAAATTCTTTGAGAACTCTCCAAACTGGCTGAAATAATTTACTTTCCCATCAATGGTAATACAAGCATTCCCTTTTCTCTGCAGCCTCACTAGCGTCTGTTATTTTTTTTGCTTATAACAGCCATTCTGACTGTGAGATGTTATCTCATTGTGCTCTGATAATTAGTGATGTTGAGTATTTTTTCATGTTTGTTGTCTGCTTGCATGTCTTCTTTTGAGAAGTGTGTGTTCATGTCTTTCGCACATTTTTAACGGGATTATTTGATTTTTGCTTGTTCAATTGATAAACTGATTTTTAGAACGCAGTGATTAAGCTCACCAAGGTTTTTTTTAAAAAAGAAATAATAATAAAATCCAGGATTAAATCTTAGCTCATCAGTTTACACATTAACTTGGACAAATAACTTCAACTATTAAAGACTCAATTTTCTCATTTGTAAAATGGGTATAATAATGTTTATAGGGTTGTTGTAAGGATTACATGAGATAATATATAAGAATTTAGAACGTTGCATGACACATAATATGAACTCAATAATTAGTAGTTGTTAGTTAGAAGTAGTAGTAATAAATTCCCAAAGAGCAACTAAGAATCATTGTCAAGCACACAAACATTTCCTGTCCAGAGTCAACAAATAATGAAAGATTAATGGAGTTTGACAAAAGTCTTACATTGTCTTTGGATAATGTCATAATAAAGTAAAAAAGAATGTAATAGAAAAAAACAAGGGGAATGGAGTAGTTGGGCTTAATATATGATTATTTCTTATACAAGATATTGAGAAGAAAGACCTAATTTTATGGCTTGTTAAAATGAAAAGGTAGCATGAAATTTGAGGATGTTCCAGTCATAAAATTCCACAGCTAAACTGTAGAATACATAAAGTGTTCTTCAGCCTAGCTAAATCTCTCATGCTAAAGAGCCGCATGCTAGCTAGGCTCTCTAAAGAGTCAGAAGACTGAGGACAGTTAGTGAACAAACTGCTAAGGAAAATTGAGTCAATTTTTTTTTCTGGGATGAAATGGATATTTAATCACTCAGCAGGAAAAATATTTGAAGAAGATTCACATAGTGAGAATAATTGAGAAATATAATTAGTTGATCAAAGTGTCAATTAAAATTCCATTCGCAGGAGGGAGTTCCAACTTGAATGGGCTCTCATTCCAGATGGGATCCAAGGATGTTTAGGCATGAGCAGGTTACTGAAGATCCATCATTGCAGCTTATCCATTCAGTAGAAATTCCTTTATTATTCATGCTACTATCTTAGTAAAATGACCAAGGAATCAAAGACATCATCCCCAGCTGTCATCAAGAAAGACCTCCCTACAATGTGCTGAAGCTTATGGGCAAGAAATGAAACAGGCATCCCATTTTTATAAGGCACTACAGCACTAACAAGTCATATGTTGCTCAATAATTGTTCATTTTAAACTCATGATGATAACCCGGTTTATCTTTTAGGATCCTAGCAGAAAACAGAGTGCATACCCAAAGAATTTTATTAAAAATTGTTTAACGAAGAGCCCCACAATAGAAGTGTGAACAAGGTTAAACAAAGAAGCTTGATGAAGCACCCAGGAGCTGTCAACAATGAGAAGCTCTTACCACCCCTAGGTCTAAGGGTCATGGGGAAGGTACGGTATTACAGAACCAAACAAGACCTGTAGCTCTGGGAAGAGGACTAAGAGGTACTCAACAACTGCCAAAACTATGCCTCAGGAGGAAGGGAGCAGAGGCAATACCCCCAACCTCTCTATCCTGCTCCAGCTTCCCTCTGACCAAATCCAACTAGAAGTCAAAGGGCAAAGGCCCTTGTGTGATTCAGTCTATAAAGTTCTCCTTCATGAGACTCCAGGTAGGCCAGGGAAAAGGAGAAAACGGACCTGGAAGGGAAAACAGAAATTAACCAGCACGATCGACAATAAATTAAATGATTTCACTCTTTTGTGGTCGATCCCTGCTTGAGTCTATTTATTATGTGTTTTCAAAACAAGAGAATAAGGCTGATGAGAATCTTCCTGTAGTCCTGAAGGGAAGAAAAGTGATAGGTAAGAGGATGTGTTGGGAGGCTGCAACATTCAGGTTTGACATCGTGGGCTCAGCCACATGAAATCCTGTCTCCTCCACTTATTAGCTGTGTGAGCTTGTGAAAGATATTTAACCCCTCAAAACCTCACTTTTCAAAGAGAAAAATATTTCTATCATGTAGCAGTGTAAGAAATAAATGAGATAATATATGTTGAGTATTTAGCATAGTGCCTGGCACACATAGCACCTTAGTAACTTGTTTTTAAAAGACTAGTGGAAGTAATACTAGTCTAATTTTTAGCCTATTTCAAAGAGCTTTTTTAAAAATCACACTGTCAACTTCTTTCTTTTTTAAATCTTTTTTAAATAAGCGATCACTTTTTTACGTGATCTCTTAAAAATCACTTTTTTAAATAAGTGATCTCTTATTGGAACTACCCTCCTGCTATTAATAATTAAGAGAGAATAGTAATTACCTCCATCCCCACCCCACCCCCATCCATTCTTCATTCTTTCTTTTAGTTAGAGAATCCTCTAAAATTCATCTGGGCATAGCATTTAGCGAAAGGTGATATTTCTCAGCCTCCCATTTGGTTAGGTATAGCCATGTGATAAAGCCCTTGCAAGTAAGATGTCAGCAAAAGTAATGCATACAACTTCCAGGCCACACTCTTTTTTTTTTTTTTTGAGATGGAGTTTCTCTCTTGTTACCGAGGCTGGAGTGCAATGGTGCGATCTCGGCTCACTGCAACCTCTGCCTCCCAGGTTCAAGCAATTCTCCTGCCTCAGCCTCCCGAGTAGCTGGCATTACAGGCACTCACCACCACATCTGGCTAAGTTTTTGTATTTTTAGTAGAGGCAGGGTTTCACCATGTTAGCCAAGCTGGTCTCGAAGTCCTGACCTCAGGTGATCCACCCATCTTGGCCTCCCAAAGTGCTGGGATTACAGGCATGATACTCTTAAAAGCAAGCTGCTCACTTCCTCTTTTTCCCTTCCAGAAAATATGTGATGGAGTTGAACTATTTTTAACCATGAAGTGAGAGTTCAACCTAAAGGGAGGTACAACAATATAGAAGAGTCACTCCTGAAGCAGAGAAATGTATACCCCTGCATTCTCCCAACCCAGATTTATTTGAAAGACAAATAAATGCATAACTTGTTTGAATCACTAGCTTATGATTCATATGGATGATATATAGGCACATAGATACATAGATAGATATATAGAAAATATATATAGAGAAATGTATTGCTGTAGAATGAATGTCTACAGCAAAAGTCATATGTTCAAATCCTAACCCTTAATGTGACACTATAGTAGGTGGAGTATTTGGGGGGGTGATTAGGTTATGAAGGCAGAGCCCTGAGGAATAGGATTAATGCCCTTATAAAAGAGGACCCAGAGAGCTGCTTTGTGCCTTCTACCATGTGATGACACAGGAAAAAGATGGCCATCTATGAACCAGGAATTGGGCTCTCACTAGACACCAAGTCTTCCAGTACCTTGATCTTGGACTCCCCAGTCTCACAATTGACAGAAATGAATTTCTGTTGTTTGTAAGCCAACCAGTTTATGGCATTTTTTATAGCAGCCCTAATGGACTAATACATATAGATCTATGTGTAGATATATGTATACATACAGATTTAAATACAAGTAGATAGAGATAGGATGAGGATGACAGTAGAGAGAGTTGGAGGACAGCATGAACTCTTATACCCAAAATTTAAAAATTTATATTAACTACAATGTTTATGAAAAGAAGTGAAACAGGGTGGCAATAATAACCTTGTCTAGAAAGATTCCCTGTACATAATTCTAGACTCTTTTTCTCTATTTCTCCAGGGATTCTACCTGCCAGAACTGTGTCTGGTTTGGAGAGGCAAATCAAGGAGTTAATTATCCATGGAGGATTAATAAACCCAGGTCTCTAAATCTGGATTAAGAACAAAGCCTGGTATTCCTTCATAATCTTTGCCTTGGCCTCTGTGGCCTCCAAAGAAGGCAAGCTTGAGATTTTCTGAAACATACAAGGTTGCTGTGATTGATCTTTTGAGGACCTTTGATATTTCCATGGATAGGACAATGCCAGGAAAATGTCATAAGAGGTGCAGGAGAAGGAAGGTTGCGCAATGACAAAGTAACAGACTCTAAAGAGAAAGCTCTAATAATTTAATAAGATGCTCTTCAAGCATTATTTATTTAATCTTCACTGCATCCCTGCAAGTTGTCTTTTAAAATTTTAAGTCTTAAAAATAGGGAAACAAACACAAAAATATAAAAGTACAAGTGTTACAGGAATATTGTTCAAAATCACACAACTAACAGTTGGCAGGGTCAGAATTCACATCTAGGATCATGCTTTTCTTCATTCAATTTCACTTTATTTACTTATAAGAATATTTAAAATTATATCTACCTCTTAGGGATACTATGAGAATAAGCCTGATACTAATAATGTCAAACCACAGTCCAATATAAAACATAGTAAATGCTTAATAAATTACTTTTACTAGTATTATAATCACACACTATGATAGTAATATATTAAATTTGTCAAATGCACACTGATGGAAGATATGTTAAGAACACAGATTTTAAATCTGGTCATAGATCTTGTGCCTCATAGACACTTCCAGGATTTTGCTTGTGCCACTTGTAAAGGCAAACTTGTGCTATAAAGAACTTCTGACCTGTGCATCTCCTATTTCCCTTCTCATGAAACACAGGAGCAAATTACAGGTTGTTTGTTAAAAGACATAGGCAGGTCTGTATTGGGACCATCCAGAAAGTAAATATACCGTCCTCTTGTTTAGAAGATGGGCTAATAGAAAACCTATCCATGCAATGACTATTTATCTTGCTAGCCACTTACTGAGGTAAAACACAGTCATAGATAAAAATTAACATACTAAATACTAAAAAGATGAAAAAATGAAGAGAAATTAAAATGTACTTAAAGAAGCAAAAACTAAAACGTTAAAAAGTTTTTATTCCAAGAATGAAAAGAAATTTAATATAATCAATGAAAACTAGATAAAACTAAGCAAATAAAAACTAGGAAAAAGATGTTAGTGAATAATGTATTATAACCAGAGTCACAGAAAACTTAAAAGTTAAGATAAAGAGAGCCTTGGAAACATTGTAAAAATGAAACAAAATGGGCAAAACGCTTTAAAGTGTAAAATTAGCCAGTTAAGATATTATGAGGTGTGAGAGTAAAAGCCAAAGACATTTATTAGAATGAGGCAGCTTCTAAGATCCAAAGCAAAAACTCTCACATGGAAATGATTTGGACTTTTAAGCTAAAGCATGTAGCTACTAAACGATAAATGGCACTACCAAATATTCTCTTACTCAAATCAATATTCTAGCCATTGACCTTGACTTCTCATTTTTCATCATCCCACATTCAATTCATCAGTAAGTCCTGTTGATTTACATGCAATGTTTATTTTAAATGCATCCATTTCTTATCACTTTTACTGCTAACACACTATTTCTGGGGTCCACCACCTCCCTGGTTTTATTCTTGCTTGCCTCCAACCTCCTCTCTATGCAGAGGCCGGAATGATCTTTTAGAAACTCATCAATGATCACTTCACTTGTCATTCTCCTGATTAAAAACATTAAATACCTTTGGTTTCCACTCATATCAGAAGCCAAACTCTTTTCCCTGATCTACAGGATCCTGTACAGCATGGCCCTGTCTAACTCTCTAACCCTACCTCACAACCCCATCTCTGTCTGATGTTCATGAAGGTCTCACTGGGCTTCCTTTCCATTTTCTTCTAGCTCCTAGAACAAGCCCAGCTCCTTCTTGCATTAAAGCATCAGCACATGCTTGAATATACAAAATCTCCAATGCCAGAAGGTCTAACTGCCATTGGTGGCCTCATTGGAATGCTTTAAGTCTCAGATCCTCAAGTAAATCTTCTCTGATCACCAAACTAATTAACTTATTTTCCTAATTGCTGTCAATCCCAGAATCTATTAGTTAACCCTATTTCAGTTTTCAATCTGTAATGGAGTGCATATTTATTTACCTGCTCCTCTACTGCTCCCCTTTCCCAACACACAATAGGATGTAAGCTCCTTTATCGGGGAACCTGCCCAGATAGTCATGTAGGTTCTTTTCTATTTTCCTTAAGTGTCAGCCAGCTTGAGAAATAAAGGGACAGAGTACAAAAGAGAGAAATTTTAAAGCTGGGTGTCCGGGGGAGACATCACATGTCAGTACGTTCCGTGATGCCCCACAAGCCACAAAAACCAGCAAGTTTTTATCAGGGATTTTCAAAAGGAGAGGGAGTGTGTGAATAGGTGTGGGTCACAGACATCAAGTACTTTACAAGGTAATAGAATATCACAAGGCAAGTGGAGGCAGGGCGAGATCACAGGACCACAGGATGGAGGTGAAATTAAAATTGCTAATGAAGTTTCGGGCACCATTGTCATTGATAACATCTTATCAGGAGACAGTGTTTTGAGATCAACTGGTCTGACCAAAATTTATTAGGTGGGAATTTCCTCTTCCTAATAAGCCTGGGAGTGCTATGGGAGACTGGGGTCTATTTCACCCCTGCAGTCTCGACCATAAGAGACAGATGCACCTGGGGGAGCTGTTTATAAGCCTATATCTCCAGGCATGTATTCTCTTTCCCAGGGATGTTCCATGCTGAGAAAAAGAATTCAGTGATATTTCTCCCATTTGCTTTTGAAAGAAGAGAAATATGGCTCTGTTCTGCCCAGCTCACCGGCAGTCAGAGTTTAAGGTTACCTCTCTTATTCCCTGAACAATTGCTCTTATCCTGTTCTTTTTTCAAGGTGCCCACATTTCATATTGCTCAAACACACGTGCTGTACAATTTGTGCAGTTAATGCAATTATTACAGGGTCCTGAGGCGATATACATCCTCCTCAGCTGACAAGATTAAGAGATTAAAGTAAAGACAGGCATGGGAAATCACAAGAGTATTGATTGGGGAAGTGATAAGTGCCCATGAAATCTTTACAATGTATGTTTAGAGATTGTAGTAAAGACAGGCATAAGAAATTATAAAAGTATTAATTTGGGGAACTAATAAATGTCCATGAAATCTTCACAATCCACATTCTTCTGCCATGGCTTCAGCCGGTCCCTCCATTTGGGGTCCCTGACTTCCCGCAATATCCATGACAACAAAATATTTAATTCAACACTGTATAACTGGTGCCTAGCATGGGACCAGATTCATAGTCATTTCTCATAAACATTTGCTTCATGAAGACCATGCTGTATGTCCCTTTCCAAACTTTGGCCTCCCCAGTAGACAAGAATTCTCAAGATTGAACACCAAGAAACAGATGCTGGATGCTTGGTCTCCCTGCCCTTCACCCACATCTGGAGTCTCACTTTCCAAGGAGTACTTCCTGCTTTGGATGTTAGTGTTAGAATAACTCAGTACAGCAAGGCAAAATTCTGTGGCTTGAACCCTTGGTGTTTATAGTTTGCAATCTGGCCACAGTCTCTCATCTTGCCGTGGTAATTTGTTCTTGAGCAACATAAAGTTGGATGATACAGCATTACTCTCATTGTCAAAACTGATCCAACATTGGGAAAAAGAACCTAATCAATTTACAGGAGTCCACAAAAAAAGTGAGCATAGAATTAAAGCTGAAGATTGTGCTATAATAATAAAATTGTTTCACCACAACAAACAGGTATAATTTGCAACTAAAAAATGTCAGAAACTAAACTCGTTTGTATTAGTCTGTTCCCAAACTGCTATAAAGGACTACCTGAGACTCAGTAATTGGTGAAGAAAAGAGGTTTAATTGACTCACAATTTCACAAGATTAACAGGAAGCATGACTGGGAGGCCTCAGGAAACTTACAATCATGGCAGAAGGTGAAGGGGAAGCAAGGACCTTCTTCACATGGTGTCAGGAAAAAGAGAGTGAGGGGGGAACTGCCAAACACATTTAAACCACCAGATCATCTCATGAGAACTCACTCACTATCATGAGAACAGCATGAGGCAAACTGCCCCCATGATCCAATTGCCTCCCACCAGGTTCCTCCCCCAATATGTGGGGATTACAATTTGATATGAGATTTGGGTGGGGACACAGAGCCAAACCATGTCATTCCACCCCTGAACCCTCCCAAATCTCATGTCCTTCTCACATTTCAAAATCAATCATGCCAACAGTCCCTCAAAGTCTTAACTCCTTCCAGCATTAACTCAAACGTCCATGTCCACAATCTCATCTGAGACAAGGCAAGTCCCTTCCATCTATGAGCCTGTAAAATCAAAAACAAATTAGTTACTTCCAAAATATAATGGGGGTACAGGCATTGGGTAAATGCTCCCTTTCCAAATGGGAGACTTTGGCCAAAACAAAAGGGCTATAGGCCCCATTCAAGTCCAAAACCCAGCAGGGCAGTTATGAAATCTTAAAGCTCCAAAATAATCTCCTTTGACTACATGTCTCCAGGGCACACTGATGCAAAGGGTGGGCTCCCAAGGTCTTGAGCAGTTCCACCCCTGTCACTCTGCAGGGTTACCCCCCACAGATGATTTCATGGGCTGTCGTTGAGTGCCTGTGGTTTTTCCAGGTGCATGATGCATGCTGTCAGTGGATCTACCATTTTGAGGTCTGGAAGATGGTGGCCTTCTACTCACAGTTCCACTGGGCAGTGCCCCAGTGGTGACTCTGTGTGGGAGCTCCAACCCCACATTTCCCTTCTGCAGTTCCCTAGTAGAGGTTCTCCATGGGGGCTCCACCCCTCCAGCAGACTTCTGCCTGGACATCCAGGTGTTTCCATACTTCCTCTGAAATCTAGGCAGAAGCTCGCAAAGCTTAACTCTCATCTCTTGCACACTCACAGGCCCAACACCATGTGGATGCCACCAAGGCTTGAGGCTTAAACCTCTGAAGCAATGGTTGAAGCTGTACCTTGTCCCCTTTTAGTCATGGCTGGTGCTGGAGTGGCTGGGATGCAGGGTGCCATGTCCCAAGGCTGCACAGAGCAGTGGGGTCCTGGGTCTGACCCACAAAAGCAGTTTTCTCTCCTAGGCCTCCAGGCCTATGTTATGAGGGGCAGTCAGTAAAGTCTCTGGCATGCCCTCAATACATTTTCCCCATTGTCTTTGCTATTAATATTCAGCTCCTCTTTACTTACGTAAATTTCTGCAGCCAGCTTTTATTTTCCCCCAGAAAATGTTTTCTTCTTTTCTACCACATGGTCAGGCTGCAAATTTTCCAAACTTTTATGCTCTGCTTCCCCTTTAAACATAAGGTCCAATTTCAGACCCTCTATTTGTGAATGCATGTGATTGTATGCTGTTAAGAGCAGCCAGGCAATTTCTTGAATGCTTTGCTGCTTAGAAATTTCTTCTGCCAGATGCTGTAAATCATATTTCTGAAGTTCAAAGTTCCACAGGTCCCTAGAACAGGGACACAATGCCACCAGTCTCTTTGCTAAAGCATAACAAGAGTGACCTTTGCTCCAGTTCTCAAGAAGTTTCTCATCTCCATCTGAGACCACTCAACCTGAAATTCATTGTCCATATCACTATCAGCATTTTGATCACAACCATTCAACAAGTCTCTATGAAGTTGCAAACTTTCCCTAATCTTCCTGTCTTCTGAGCCCTTCAAACTGTTCCAACCTCTGCTTGTACCCAGTTCCAAAGTTGCTTCCATGTTTTCAGGTATCTTTATAGCAATGCCCCACTTTCCTGGTGCCAATTTTCTGTATTAGTCCATTCTCACACTTCTGTTTTTTTTAATTTTATTATTATTATACTTTAAGTTTTAGGGTACATGTGCACAATGTGCAGGTTTGTTACATACGTATACATATGCCATGTTGGTGTGCTGCATTCTCACACTTCTATAAAGAACTACTTGAGACTGGGTAATTTATGAAGAAAAGAAGTTTAAGTGACTAACAGTTCTACAGGCTTAACAGGAAGCATGCCTAGGAGGCCTCAAAAAACTTACAATCATGACAGAAGGCAAAGGGGGAAGAAAGGATCTTCTTCATGTGGTGGCAGGAGAGACAGGGGAAGGGCTGGAATGCCACACACTTTTAAACCATCATATCTCTTGAGCACTCACTCACTATCTTGAGAATAGCATGGGGGAAAACTCTCCTCATGATCCAATCAGCTCCCACCAGGTTTCTTCCTTGACACATGGGGATTACAATTTGTCATGAGATTTGGGTGAAGACACAGAGTCAAACCATATCATCATTCAATACAGGTCCTGTCTACATCATTCATAAGTTTCAATACCTCCTTTTTCTAGGATATCAAGATAAATTATCATCTTTTTGTCCCTGGAAATTTTAAGCTGGATAAAAGGGTACAGGAAGAAGGAAAAAGCATAGCATTGATACATGTAGCCCAGTATTCAGGGATAAATCACCTAAAATATTGTAGGGAAAAGAAAGAGAGATCAGACTGTCACTGTGTCTATGTAGAAAGGGAAGACATAAGAGACTCCATTTTGAAAAAGACCTGTACTTTAAACAATTGCTTTGCTGAGATGTTGTTAATTTGTAGTTTTGTACCAGCCACTTTGCCCCAGCCACTTTGACCCAGCCAGGAGTTCACAAAAACATGTGTTGTATAAAATCAAGGTTTAAGGGATCTAGGGCTGTGCAGGACGTGCCTTCTTAACAAAATGTTTACAGGCAGTATACTTGATAAAGGTCATCGCCATTCTCTAGTCTCAATAAACCAGGGGCACAATGCACTGTGGAAAGCCGCAGGGACCTCTGCCCTTGAAAGCGGGGTATTGTCCAAGGTTTCTCCCCATGTGATAGTCTGAAATATGGCCTCGTGGGATGAGAAAGACCTGACTGTCCCCCAGCCCGACACCCATAAAGGGTCTGTGCTGAGGTGGATTAGTAAAAGAGGAAAGCCTCTTGCAGTTGAGATAGAGGAAGGCCACTGTCTCCTGCCTGCCCCTGGGAACTGAATGTCTCAGTATAAAACCCGATTGTACATTTGTTCGATTCTGAGATAGGAGAAAAACCGCCCTATGGTGGGAGGCGAGACATGTTTGCAGTAATGCTGCCTTGTTATTCTTTACTCCGCTGAGATGTTTGGGTGGAGAGAAACATAAATCTGGCCCACATGCACATCTAGGCATAGTATCTTCCCTTGAACTTAAGTATGACATAGATTATTTTGCTCACATGTTTTTTGCTGACCTTCTCCTTATTATCACCCTGCTCTCTACATTCCTTTTTGCTGAAATAATGAAAATAATAATCAATAAAAACTGAGGGAACTCAGAGGTCGGTGCCGGTGCAGGTCCTTGGTGTGCTGGAGCACCGGTCCCCTGGACCCACTGTTGCTTCTCTATACTTTGTCTCTGTGTCTTATTTCTTTTCTCAGTCTCTCATCCCACCCAACTAGAAATACCCGCAGGTGTGGAGGGGCAGGGCCACCCCTTCACAACATAATGAGGTATCACACACAATTACAAAGAAGCTATTTGGAAGCTTCCAATGAGACACATACACCGAGGACATGTGTTTTTACGAGTACAAATAAAAACATTTCTCCCCGGGAAAACACCACATAAATTTAGAAATCCTTCCTCAGAGTGAAGAACACATAACTGTCACTGATTCCTGAATTCAGCATTTTAAACTGGATACTTTCCAAGAGGCAAAAACTCAAATAAGAGAGCGAGCTTGACCTTCTGCAAAGTCTACCATCAAGCCCTACGCCCAATTATCTACTGAGGCACGATGGGACTTAGCTCTTGCCCAAGGTGAATTTAAAAACAATAATGAGATAATCATATTTAAAACAAGCAAAAGAGCAAAGTAGAGACTCACTAAAAGTATATTTTATATTTTACTGCATACACAGCTAATTGTACACCGGGGGGAAAAATGGACAGTGTTACAAAGGCATCCTATCGTCTTTAAAAGATAGAAGTTGACATGGTGAAACCTTGTCTCTCCAAAAAAAAAAAAAATACAAAAATTAGCTGGGCACAATGAGGGCTCCCTGTAATCCCAGCTACTCAGGAGGTTGAGGCAGGAGAACTGCTTGAACCCGGGAGGTAGAGGTTGCAGTGAGCCGAGATAGCACCACTGTACTCCAGCCTGGGCAACAGAGTGAGGCGCCTTCTCAAGAAAAAAGTGAAAAAAGAGAGAAGTTGAAGAAAGAGAAAAACACCTATAGCTATAAATACAGTCCAAGTATACGGCTAAAAATATACGAATTGGTAATATAGTCATCACCACTTTTCCCCATATGTTTTAGTAATGACACAATCAGAGTAGGCTTATACAGTAGTGCTCCCTTCTCTGGAGGATACATTTCAGGACCCCCTCGTGGATGCCTGAAACCAAAGATGGTACGGAAGCCTATATATACTGAGGTTTTCTCTGTATATATATATATACCTCTAACAATTTATAAATTAGGCACAGTAAGAGATATCAACAATTAATAGTAAAATAGAATAATTGTAATAATATTCCAGCATCACAACTCTTGCACTTCAGGGTCATTGTGAAGTAGAAAAGGATTACTTGACCATAAGCACTGCTATACCATGAGACTTAGATGCCTTCTTTTTTTTTTTTTTTTTTTTTTTAAGATAGAGCCTCGCTCTGTCACCAGGCTGGAGTGCAGTGGCGCATTCTTGGCTCACTGCAACCTCCTAGTCCCTGGTTCAAGCGATTCTTCTGCCTCAGCCTCCTGAGTAGCTGGGATTACAGGTGTGCACCATCACACCCAGCTAATTTTTGTATTGTTACTAGAGACAGTTTCACCATGTTGGCCAGGATGGTCTCAATCTCCTGACCTCATGATCCACCTGCCTCGGCCTCCCAAAGTGCTGGGATTACAGGTGTGAGCCACAGTGCCCACCCCCTTAGACGCCTTCTAAGTGAGTAACAGGCAGAAAGCATGTATAGTGTGGAGACACTGGACAAAGAGATGATTCACATGCCAAGGGACAAAGCAGGATAGTGCAAGATTTTATCATACTACTCAGAACGGTGCACAACTTAAGATTTATGAATTGCTTATTTCTGGAATTTTCCATTTAATGTTTTCAAACTGCAGTTGACTGTGAGTAACTGAAACCATGGAAATCAAAACTTTGGATTGTTTGGGGAATACTGTGTATCACGAAAGGTGAACAAAGACACATTAACCAGAAACTAAATTCCAGCAACCATCTGATAGCAAACAATCTTAGGAATTTAGTAGGTTTATTGTCTTTTACCGATGCATACAAACAATTGAGCCAACCATGTACTTTAGGCTGCATCAAGTTGTCTACTTTTTAGATACTGTTAGTGAATTAAAGCTGTTTTCTTAATTTAGTGTGCAATAAACTTTAAATGGGTTTTTAACAATTCCTAATAGTTGTACCAAGCAATCAGACTTTAAGGAAAAAATCTGAATTATGGAGAATGGCCTGATCTTGGGATATCTTGAGGGAAAAAGTGGACCTGAGGATGGGAGAGGCATAGGAGCCAAAGACAGCAAAGGAGAATGGCCTCACTGTTGTATAGGAAATAAAGAAAGATGCTTTGTTTTTACTTCCAAAGAAAGGGGAGTGGATGGAAGAGACTTGGAAAGGTGAGGATGAGGTGACAGTATGTGCAGTGACAAGATGGGACCAACTAAGGCTGTGTGGTGAAGAAGCCTGAAAGGCTGTGCAGTCGAAGGACCTTGAAGAAGCTCATGTTTAAGTGGAAGCTGTCTTTTTTAGTACAAAGCAAGACCCTCCTTTGTCTCTCCTCACACCCAACTCTGAGCATTGAGTAAATTCTATACACACATGCTTTGTAGGTATGATGTGCAGAGAAACCAGAAATGAGCTGAATTTAACATCAAGGTTGACTGTAGTGCAGGACACAGACTATACAAAGAAGAAATACACCTGAGGCAGAAAGGATCATAAGAATGCAAGCCTGCCTGCCCTCATCACTCCTTCATTCTCAATAGTGGACATGCACCAAGAATGCAGTTTTGCAGCTTTTAATATTTCCTATATCCTAAGTGGTCAGGGACCTCGGTTGTTATCTGGATTGTGCACCTATGAAGTCATTTCTTCCTAAGTTCTATTGACTTAAAATACTTTTTGACAGCCAAGAAGGATCTAATATAGGTACCGGACATCAAGTCACCAATGTTAGCTGTATTGCATGCCTGGGAAAGCCAAATCTACCAATTTGCCAATCATTTTTTAAAGTAAACTCTCAAAACTTATCTCTGACACACAAAATTCCAACTATTGACCATAGTCAAGAAGAATGATCAAAAAGGTGAAAAACATTTCTTCTGTTTAAATTTCCATTTTCAGAGGTAATTATTCCTTGAAACAAGACCCTCTGCCTTATGGAAAAGTCAGAACACATGAAATGTTTGGGACAGATGATGTCCTGTCAGGAAATGCCACAAACATGAAATTCAAGCATGTCGGCCCAAATGCAAACCTGCTGTGTTTTCTTTATTTTTTATGAAGAACCACAAACAGACATTTTTTTCCTTACAAGCCTGGCCATTTTGACAATGTTTAGTCAATCATTAACATTTTTACAATGTATCTTTCACTTGCGTTTTTGTGATATTGTCTTCAGAGACTGTCCTTTCCATATTTTCTATTATTTTCCAGATGTGTGGAGGTAGTATTTATACTCTACTTAATTACATGTGCATGGAACATTTGTACATGAATAAAAATGTGGCACTCTCCATTTATAGATTAGAAGTTTTGGTGTATTCTTTTCAAGTTTATCTTTATTAAGAAAGGGGTCAGCCAACAGAAGAAAAGTAAGAATGGAAAGGAAGTGGATGAATTTGCTGATGTTTTTCAACAGAGCAGAGTTAAGTGATAGGAAACATATTTTTATGGACTCACGTTCAGAAGGCCCTGTTTTAAACTTTGCTCTATCATCTCCTGGCTGTGAAATGTTGGCTGTGAAATGAGGCTCACCCAGCCTCAGTCCCTTTATTTGGAAAATGGGGGTAATAATTGCATTTACCTCATCAAACTGGAAGGACCATTGTGCCTGACATAAAGTAAGAAATATACGCTTTTAAAAAAGTATTATTCTCTTCTATTTTAAAATGTAGGTTTTATTATTATTCAGGTATGGTGAGGCCAACAGATGAGAAAACAATTGACATGGAAAAGAGAGTTTGTACTCACAGTTCCCGAGAGGAGGGAGGAGGCACGCCATGCCATGCAGGAGCCACACAGGGAAGAACTGGGATCATTAGGAGGCAGAGGGAGAGAGGCAGAAATGAGGGCAGGGGCCTTTATTGTGGTTTCCATGGAAAAAGCAAGGCAGGGTGAACAGGCTTACGATTGGCTGCTTTAAATAACTTCAGTGGGCTCTGGGACAGAAAGGCCATCCCTAGTTTTCTGATTCCGGGCCCTGGGGTGATCAGGGAGATGGCGCACCCTGAGTGTGAGAGTCCCATAGGGGAGGTGACTGTGGGGAGGAGCTCCTTTGCATTCAAGACTCATTTGCAATCAAGACTCGTTCTTGAGCAAGTCCTTTGCTATCTCTAGGAATTAGATGACCCTGGAGGAGCAGTCTCTCCAGTGTTAGCAAGGTCCCAGATGTTAAAGCCTCAGAAGATACAGAAAATAAAAAAACACGGTTTATACATTTTCAGCTACATATTTTTATTATTATTCCCTTCTGCTATAGATTTTAGTTACAGTTTGAATATTAGCCAGGACACTGCCTATGTAAATAGACACACTAGATTTCTGCTCATTAAAATCACAATTTGCTAATCTACTCTGTGATCAATAATAAGCTTCACTAAATATTTGAAGTGTCCTACAGATGACAAAAATAAAGGGAAAAAAAGCAAACCAAATTTCAACTTTCAGTAATCTATTTTAAGACATCATCTACCCCAAATGTATCTTACCTATGGGTAATAACCTATTAATATAGAATATTTGCAAATATATGTACATATTTATATAAATTAAAATACATATAAATGACATCAAAGGATAAAATTTATTTTCTCAATAAATTGTCAAAATGGCTACCAACTAAACATAAGAGACTGAACTGATATAGTGGGAATTAAGGAAAAGGAACAGAAGTAAATAATATTCAGGAAGTAGAACATAGAGTAGTTGGTGGCCAAGAGATTGTAACAAAGACAGCCCATCCCATTGTGAAGGATAAGACAGAAAGGTGTACACATACGTATTGTAAGACTTTTATAATTACTAACGTGTCTTTTATTAATATAAAATATTAACATAAAATTTATATTTATTAGACTTTATATTTTATTTTGTCAGGATGTTATTTAATCTTCCTTTATAGATGGAATTTTGCATGTTCACTACAGAGTCATCTTCAAAACATGATAATTAAGGATGATAGCTGTCTACAATAAACCTACACTTGTAGGATTTACAGTTTTGCTGTATAAATTCACAATAAATGGAATAGACTATTTGAAAAAAAAAACTTGACCACAGACAAAGCTGTTGTTTTACTAGAATTACATAATACACCTTCAGAATGCATAGATTATTGGTCAAGATTTTTTTGTTGTGCAAACTAAAAGGCCACATATCAAAAAGCACAAGTTGGAAAAACTAGGCTGATTTATTCTCCAAGTAACTTTAGGTCAAAGTTAAAGATGACTTACTAAGGCCATAAAATATCACTGGCTGGAGTAAATTTATGTCTTTGCTTTGTTCCCTGTCATTTTGTAACCAAAGCTATTTCTATCCTGCCATAATGTGTATTTTTAATCAGACGGTATTAGCCACAGCAGAGCACCACAAGTCACAAGGACAGATGATCGTAACTTTATTTATGTTCAAGATAGATTTCTGTAGCACTACATATAAAGCAGGATTTATAAACAAAATTAAATCTCCACTTCACTTCCATAATAATTTTGCTTCTAATAAAATCATTTTGACCTCTAAATTTCATCTTTAAAACATACTTGAAGAAATATATAATTTTTTGTGCATGCTTCTAAAGTAACACTAGTCTGAAAAAAATAATAACCACTCTATTGATTAAATCCTGCCTGTGATAAAGTAGCATAATGAAGAAACCTGAAAACTCATATGCTTATATTTGAGGTGTTCTCCTGTAGGACCCATAGTAGTAGATAAAGCCTTTCGCATGACATCAGTCCTGAGCAAGTACACTGCAGAGTTGCACTGAACAACTTCTAAGTCCTCGGACTCAATCAGACCTTGTCCAGAACTGGCTGGATTCCTCAATTCTTCAAACCTGATATTTTGTTATGGACAAAATCATCCACACTTTTGTGACATGCTGTTTCTTGAGGTAGAAGGTAAAAAACATAAAAATTTAAAATATCATTGCCTGATTCACCAATTTATTTTATTGACCGAAAGAGTGGCGTACATATACTTCTTTTTCTTTCTAAGGCAGCAAATGTGTTGGCATTTTAATAAGATTTGCACCACGTGTGGCTTTTCTCAACGCCACTCAATTAGCTTTGTGCATAGGACTGTAGGTATAATCTCCTGCAGTGAGGATGTGGTAAACTAGTGACTCCTAGTGGTTGGTACACAATTGTGCAATTATCTCTTTCTAGCAAAGAAGACAGGGAAAATATTTGCTGCTTCTTTTCCTTTTAAACAAAAATGTTTTTTCCACCAAAAAAAATATTAAATGGATCATTTCTACAAATGCAAAGCAAGTATATACAAATAAACAGGTTTAAAACTCTTTATAGTAAAAGGTGCATGGCAAATTTTCCAAAGCAGGAATACCAAAATGTATTGATGAATATTGCTAAGATAAAACTATAATTCAGTGCTCCCATCTATAGGATTTTTTTCTTAGTAACATAATTCAACAGGAACAAAAATCTTTATACAGTGAACCCCAACGCTGGACACATTAATTTCCAACTAGAGGGAAATATCTTAACAAATTCAAAAGTGTCACAGTGATGATACATAGTAAAGTAATTCCCAAGTTTATGTATATAGACTAAGGAAAAAATGAAAAATGCTTTTGATAAATATTCAGTTTAATAAACAGATTAAAAATTGTCCATTTATTGTGAATGTCACCATAAAAATATGTATGCATGTATATACAAATTGGAAGGCAATACAGAAAATTGAACATGATTGTATTTAAGACAGTAATATTAAGCATTTTTGATGTTTAAAATATCATTCACCTTCCCAATAAAAAATTAAAGAAAATAAAATATCTAGATTGCAAGTTTACTTTAAAGTAACATGTAAGGATAAACTAACAGTGAACTTTCAAAATTCAAATCTAATCATGTCCTCTTCTCCAATGCTTATTCACTTTCAAAGCTCACCTCCTGTCACTTCCTCAGGAAAGTCTTCCTTCACTCTCTAGTTTGGGTAAAGGTACTTTACTAGGTATTCTCAGAGACCCTATTCCTCTTCTTCACAATATATCTCTCACTTTGTGTTATATGCTTATTAGCATGATTAGTAAGGTTTGTTTCTTTCACTAAATTATGACAGAAAGACTGTGTCCATTGGAAGAACTCAATAAAGTTTGTGGGGTAAGTTTGAATAACAGCACACACTCAGTGGGATAACTAACTTGTACAACTTCCTGTCTTTACTCCTATAGAAGCTGCAGCAGAGTAAGGCATGGGTGTTGTCTTCAAACATTCTGGCAATTTTCACCAATCTGCATAAAAGTGTTGATGTTCTTAGGATTACCTTGCACTCTGTGGTAAAATAAAGCAGAATCTCCAATTCTTGATTTCCTCACATTTATCAATACTTCATAATTATCTTCAATGAGAGACTTTGAAAGACTAATGACTTTTCACCTAAGACCTCCCTTGTCCTTGTCCCCTGCAGCTGTTTGTCCCCATCTCCTCTTGCACATGACTTATAGTCCTCTCCACCTTTCTTGATACAACACGAACTGACTGAAAGTTGTTGCTAATCTGCAAGAACAATGCATCCTCTATAAAGAACCATCTTTGGCCAATAAATTTCTTAAACCTGATGAACTTCTGCTGACCTACTCTTGCTACGATCCTATAAAACATTTCTTCCTTTCCTAAATAAGAAAGTTACTTCAAAGCCTCCTTGTGCTGGCATTATCAAATAATGACTTACGATCACAGTGCTTGGGTCGATTTTCTTCTACACTCGTTTATTTATGAAAGAGATAGAGAAGGAACAATATGTCTGTTCCACTCTTCAGGTACACAGCATCCAGCACAATTGCTGATACTTATTTGGATCCTAATAAGTAACTTATTAGTTGAAAGTAAATACAGATATTTCCTGACTTAACTTACAATGGTTCAACTTACAATTTTTTGACTTTTCTGTGGTGTGGAAATGATACACATTTAGTAGAAACCATACTTCAAGTACTCATACAACCCGATTACGCTTTTCACTTTCAGTACAGTATTCAATAAATTGTATGAGATATTCAAGAGTTTATTACAAAATAGAGTTTGCATTAGATAATTTTGCCCAACGGCAGGCCAATGTAAGTATTCTGAGCATGTTTAAGGTAAGCTAGGCTAAGCTATAATGTTCAACAGGTTAAGTGTATTAAATGCATTTTTTATTTATGATATTTTACACTTATGATGAGTTTACCGAGACATAACCCCATTCCAAGTCAAAGAGCATCTGCAATTAAAAACTAGAACATATAGTTTAAAGATTGACACAAGAGGCTAAAGCGAAAATTCTAGTTCTTCATTATATTTTACCATTTTTTCAGCTCGGGGCAGAGAGGCATCAAGAAATTAATATCCCCATGTCCAGAAAAAGCAAAAAGAGGACCAATAATGAAGAATAAAGGGAATGTTTTTCAGATGTTATAGATGTGAATAACTCCCATCTGGCCAGGAATACACTTTCAGCTGATCTTTTTATTTCACTTACCTTTTACTTGTCAAAGATAAAATACAGTTTACTTGGATGGAAGGAAGAAATAAAAAAAGAAAGAAGAAAGGAACAGAGGGAGAACGAGGGGACATAGCAAGGGAGAAATCCCACCACTTATTAAAGCAGCATTTGCCATTTCAGATCTGAAATAAAATGAGGATGTGTGGTGTTTGCTAAAGAAGGAAGGGGGGAAAAAGCCTTCAGAAAACTACATTTTTATTTTTTTCTCCCCAAATTGGTTAATGTAAACAATGAAATGTAAGAAGTAATGTAAACAATGAAAAGTATAAGTAAACTAAAGGAACTACAAAATTTTTAACATTTTTATAAACATTTGAAACCATTTTAAGAAATGCACTTAATTATATTTAAATACATCATACCAAATATGCTAATTTTATCATCACTCACAATCACCTCACCTTAGGATTCTGAATGTAATGGCAGCTGTGAACAATGAAACGTTCATTTTCTTACCATGTCGTATGCTTGGATCAAGCTACTAAGCATTATGGCTTTCTAATGGCTTTGAGGCTCCTGAGGCAATAGTACGGCCTACTCTAAGTATATGAAATATAATGTAAACAAATCTGATTATCACTCTTTTCCACAGTTACACTGGAGTTCTAAGCAAGAAAACTGTAATTCAAAAATTAAAATTATTTGGATCATTAACTGATGGCAATCTTCGAGGCAGAAAAAAATAGCTCCCTACATTATACATAACATATAATGCATAAAATCACATTAAATTATCATCTGTGTTCTAATTAATATGAAGAGTGACTTTGGTGTGCAGAGAAAGTGGCATTAATACAAAATGATTATCCCAGGTTTGACGTATAGCATTACTATTTCTCCTACGAATTGTCAACCATACTAAGTTATCCAGCTTTCTGAAGAAAAACATTTGCTGCTTTTCATTTTAATGCCATTCCTATGGTTGTATTCTATAATCTTCTTAAGAAACAGCCACAAGGATTTCTGAGTAAGGTGGTGGTATAATTCTGTAAGTATAGCCCCTCTATCCATCACCACTAGATTTCCCATGAAAAGAAAAAGGAATATAGGAGAGGAGGGAAATTTGATTTAGTGATTAAAAATTGGAAAAGGATTAAAAACTAGAAAACCATCCACATGTCAGATGCTTTAAGAAAGTGCTGCAAAAGGAAGGGCAGCCAGGACTGAAAGTTCCATCAAATCTGCCATATACAGAAGCCACATGCCTATAGGAAAAAATAAAAAATACTTTCAAAACAACACTTGTTCTTGTAGAAGTGGGTGGCAGTAATGAAACCCCTCTGTGCAGCATTCTCGATGAGGGCAATATTGTCTCCAAGGGATTGAAAATTGATTCTTCTGGTGGGGAGGAGTGAAAAAAACTTACTTTTTAACTGCATAAATCACAGATATACATACAGTATATAAACAGAGGATGATAATGAAAAAAATGACTGAGAAATATGTTGTACAATACCAATTACACAGAGAAAGTCTTCTAACACAAGAAATACTGAGCCATAACAATGGCAGTTACACTTGGTAGACAATGTTTCAAAGAACTCCTGGCTGCTTCACTGAAAGAGGCAGTTTATTGTTGCAACTACCTCACATGCTCTCTCTCCCACCTTGTTCCCTTAAACTGCAAAGAAAGCACAGTACTTTTAATGAATGACAGATATATATATATATATATGTATGTGTGTGTGTAGAGAGAGAGCAAGAGGTATATATAGATATATATGTATAATAAAAAATAAAATTTTAAAAACTTGAAAAACACAAAGCACAAAATGGCATAAGAATGGTAAGAAAAAAATTTTGTTTAAGACAATAAATATAAATGGGTTAAGTTCTATTTATTAAAGCATAAAGATTCACAGATGTTGCCAAATATATAAAATCCAATTATGTTTTTGTTTACAAAAGAGACGAACCAAAATTAACAAGAAAAGAAAAACAATTTAACAAATGAACAAAGAAATATAAGGCAAAATAAAACAAAATGCATAAATAAAATACTGGCAGCTGTGAAGTGGGCCATCTGAGTATTCATTTACAACGAGGAAGAATCCAAGTCAAATGCATTAACTAAACAAAGATAATTATGTTACAAGAATAAAAGATTAAATCATAATATAGACCTTCCACAAATATATCTCTCATATTTAAATATATGAAGACAAATTGATAAAAACTAAAATATAATAGATTACTAAGAGCTTACCATATGTATTTGATGAAAAAGTAGATTAAAATACAGAATATTTGAATGGAATAATTATGATGTAATTTAACAACTGTGTGGCATTTATGTACGCATATATGCATATATATATGTAAAAAGGAGACTACATATTCTTTCCAAAGAGCCATGAACATTTTACAAAAATTATCATATATTAGACTACAAAGAAAATATCAATAAATTCCAATTAATAGGCATATTATGGGTCATAGTGTCTAATGACAATGCAATAAAAGTAGAAATAAGTAGCAAAATATAAAACAAAAACATTTAGTTTCTTGGAAATTGATAAAATCTCCAAAGAAGTATTAGGTCAATGAGGGAAAACTTAAAATTACCAACTCTAACTATAATAAAAATTAGGATGTTACAAATTAAATTTAAATATACTATGAAAATAATTTTTAGAGATAAATTCATGCCTAGTTTTGATTCCTTAGGAAAACATAAAAATAAATGAACTAGCACTTTGGGAGGCCGAGGCGGGCAGATCACGAGGTCAGGAGATCGAGACCATCCCGGCTAAAACGGTGAAACCCCGTCTCTACTAAAAATACAAAAAATTAGCCGGGCGTAGTGGCGGGCGCCTGTAGTCCCAGCTACTTGGGAGGCTGAGGCAGGAGAATGGCGTGAACCCGGGAGGCGGGGCTTGCAGTGAGCCGAGATCCCGACACTGCACTCCAGCCTGGGCGACAGAGCGAGACTCCGTCTCAAAAAAAAAAAAAAAAAAAAAAAAAAAAAAAAAAAAGAACTAATAATTCAATTCAAGAAGTTGCACAATGAACATCAAAAGTATTCTACAAAAGCAAGAACAGCAAACAATAAAGACCAAAACAGAATTGATTCCTGAAACAAAAAAGGCAGAAAAATCTTAGAACTGCTATATACTATGCTCAACTGGAAGCTATTAAAGTTTTTCAAGCAACTTTCTTCAATTATTAAATAAAAACTTTTCACAACCTTGGAAATATTTATAAATCATACATATAAATATGGAAAATGATAATATATTAATACCTTCCTTCAGAGTTTAAGAAGAACCCCATATTTAGCAGAAAAAAATTACTTGAGAGGTGCTTGCAGATAGGAGATAATACCATAAGAGACTTAGGTATTGGTGGAACTTTTCTAAGAGAAAGAAGAAACACTTGTTTATTGCTCTAGATATAGAAAGTGAGATCAGAAAGGAATGGGGATTGCATCTCCAAGAAGAAATCAAGCTAAGTAGTACATAATGTGACCCTTCTGTGTATAATCAAACCCTGATATGCTTGATGTAAGTGGATTGACAGTGAAAGACAATGAAGTTCTACACCCAGTTATTGCAGGATAAGATACAGGTAGCTCATAGGAGCTCAACAGCATAGAGGGAGAAGTAAATTTAAATGGAAATTATATGGAAGATTTTGCATTGTTATAAGCTGGTATGAATTAAAATAAATTAAATTTAAATAAATTAAAGTTCATATGTTTAAGCCCTAACACTCAATGTAACTATATTTGAAGATAGGGCTTTTAAGGAGGTAATTAAGGCTAAATGAGGCCAGAAGAGTAAGGACCTAATCCAATAGGATTAGTGTCCATATTAGATGAAGAAGAGACAATAGGAAGAGAGAAAAGGCCACGTGAGGACACCCCAAGAAGGCAGCCACCTGCAAGTCAAGAAGAGAGGCCTCAGGAGAAACCAAATCTTCCAAAACTTTGATCTTGGACTTTCAGCCTCCAAAACTATTATTTAAGCCACCCAGTCTATGGCATTTTGTTATACCCGTCCTAGTTGAGTAATATATAAGCGATATAAAAGAGGAAATTATAGAAAGTGTGTTTCCTGATATCTTCTTCCACCACAGTCTAGCTCTGGAGGCCTATAAGCAAAGGCAACTAGCTTCATGTAACAGAGAACAGCCTGTGGGTGATCCCCTTTTATACATGTGAAAGTTGAAGTGTTTAAGGTCACCCAGTCAGAAAATTTTTGCCTGTTATATATGGAGAGATGATTATAATAGAGAGAAATTTTACTTGCTCCAAGAAGCCTTTCTTGATAACTTTCTTATTGATCTTCTTATCCTCTGATAATATATGACTTATAGTCTGAAAAAAACTATATTGCATACTGGCATTCCATATATACACTTGCCTCATTTTCTCAGTCGCAGTACAAGTTTGTGGTGGCAAAGACCACAGCTTATATGGCTACAAAATTTTCCAAAGGGACCAGCCAGCACACCATATTATAGGTTCTCATTCATCCATTCATTAGCCACTTCAAAATACTAAATTATTTAATAATAAAGAGTTAAAGAAAATTCACCAAGGTTTCTTCTACAAAGGAAAAATATACTTATAACTGAACATTTAATTCTACTTTTATTCCAATTTCCTAATAATACAGTATGAATTATAGTGTGTTCTGAAATATGTGTTTTTGAACCTAGGAAAAAGGAAACCTTGAAAGGTTATTTTTTGTGAATAATTTCCCTTTAATCTGACTTCTGCTCTACCCCAACAGAAAGAGTAAGCTGAACTTGGCAGTCTTCAGAATAGATGATATTTTTATTTTTATTATATCTTTTACCTGAGAAATGACGGAAATGTGGTGTCACTCTGCATCAGTGCTCTCAGATGGTGACAGAAGAAAATTGATTTATTCCTCATTTTGCATTATAAAAATCTGAAAATATAGGTCTTGCCTATTTTCTCCAGGGACAAAACACAATAATAGACAGAATGAAGCCAGGATTCTCAGCAAGTATCATTGCTGCCAAGGTAGCACTCTGCACTACCCAGCCCCTTCAGATTACCTTCTTATAACTTCTCTTGAATCACTCAAGAGAAAATCAGAAGAATGAAGCTCAGGATCAGGTTATTTTAAGCTCTAGCACACAGGATACTCCAGAAACTGTGTGACATCTGAGGACCCCAATGAGAAGAGCAAGGAGGGATTCTCCTGCCCTTAGGAGACTCTAATGCCATCTAGTCTTTGATTTGGCAGCCACAATAGAAGGTAGATAGCAAGGAAATTGGTTACAATCTGCTTTGAGTTGAGTTCTGTGTCATAGAAGCCTAGTAAAAACTTCTTCCCTAGTCTCTGACGTTTTGTAGAGATCTAAATTGATCTGGAATTCCTTTAGAAAACTTCATTGAATCCCTAGAATTATTTTATCTAGAATTTTATCACCTAGATCTTTCCCAGAACTGAACTGAACCACACCTCATAGGGAAATCCAACATGGTTATATGTCAGGTATAGCAAAGGTTTGTTCTCTCTAGAAATCTTTCATACTAGGAACACACGTGGCATGGAATTAAGGGTACATTTTCACCACTTCTTATTGAAATCTTCTTATTGTTTAGGCCAGGTGGTGGATCCTAACACTTTGGGAGGCTAAGGTGGGAGAATCACTTTAGGCCAAGATTTCAAGACCAGCCTGGGCAAAATAGTGAGACCCCCGTCTCTACAAAAAATAAAATTAGCTGAGCATGGTAATGCACACTTTTGTGGTCCTAGCTACTCAGGAGGCTGAGGCAGGAGGATCACTTGATCTCAGGAGTTTGAAGTCACCCTAAGCTATGATCACACCACCACACTTCAGTCTGGATGACAGAGCAAGACTCTCTCTTTCTCTCTCTCTCTCTCTCTCTCTATATATATATATATATTATATATATATATTATATATTATATATATATAATATATAATATATATATAATATATATATGAAAACTATGAAATCATACTCATTTTTCAAAGCACAGTTCAAAGTATGTCTCTCTCTCCTCTTCCTTCTAAATAAATCTTTTTTTCACCATTAACTTAGCACTTAGCACAACTAGCATAGTATGTAGTGAGGCAGTATGTTTTCACACCCACAACACTTACCCCCTAAACACACACACACACACACACACACACACACATACACATATCTCTTAAATTTTGAGCCTAGATGGCAGGGACTGTGTTTAAAAATCTTTTACCCTCTAGAACATCGCACAGAAGGTACTCAATGTTTGTTCGGTGACTGTTTGGCTTCTTCTTTCCAGGCTTAGGGGGACTAATTTTAAGATAGCCTGGAGGCTCTACAAGGAGACATATCTAGACTTGTCCCACATGAGAGAGGACTACCACACTCCACCCTGAATTAGAAATATTACCTGAGTTCCAGAGAATCTCAAATAAGATAAAATTCCTGAAAATAACATTAGGCATTTGTTTCAGAGTTCCCCTAAGTTATTCAACTAAATCTTTCTGTTTATTATAAGTCATTCAAGAGAAACCATACGTGGAGTACAATAAAATGTATAAGTAAAAAGTATAGATCGGCATTCAGCAGAGAGCTTGAACTTCCTCCCACCCTCACTACCCATCAGATATTCCGTAAAGAAAGCTTGAAGAAATCTCCAGGGCACCACAGAGATTAATTTGAAACCACGAATCCTAATCCAGCCTCCCCAGTACTTCAGATGAGAAACATGAGTCAGAGAGAGGTGCTGAAAGTCAAAGGAAATGGATGAGAATTGACTGGCCCCTGGGCCCACTCAACCTTGTTAATTTCCTGCAAGACAGACATAGGTTACACTCAGAGAAAAAGCTCACAATGAGCCCCTCACTTCAGCATTTTAAGTCTTACTGCTGGAGAGATGGTTTGCTTCATTTCATTCATTTTATTTATTCTTTGAATCTAACCCAGAAAATAAGCACCATCAGGACCAAACATATGGTCAGGTCTTTAGCTTAATTTTTGTGTTTTGGAAAGAGAGGCTTCTTGGGCTATGTTCAACCAAACTGGGAGTCTAAGAAGTGATTAAAAACAAAACAAAACCACAACACAATGTATTATAAACCTACCTGAGCATAAGGAAGCCTGCAACTTGGCTCAGGAGCTATTTACATTCTCAAATCCCTGGGTGAGATGTTTGCTCAGTTGTAATCATATATAACATCATGGCAATAACTAGATGTTTATGGAAAATAAATCCTGAGGGCCAGAAACTCTCAGAGAAAATATATGCATTTTCCCTTTATTTTTTTCAAGTCAAGCTATAAATGAATAAGATAAATGTTTGCTTCAGGATTAGACAACGAATAGCAAAATAGTTATTGTATTTGTTTTAACTTTTTGATAATCAATTTAAAATTGGCTCTCCCAATTCTTTCTTTTCTAAAAGGAAACCTAGATTTGAAACTTTGTTTATAACCTACATATTTAAGACATTCTTTTAATCGCACTCTAAAAAATGTACATCACAAATGATTTCTTCTATTTTTATTTATTTTTAATATATTTAATATAGTTTTTCTATTGTGAAAGGTGTCTGGTGGTTGAGAGAATACTAAATCTCTATGCTCATAAAAACAGAAATAGAGCGTTTATTATCAACTAAAGCTCTTCTTTACTAAGATACTGACTGCAAGTTCCATTAGAAATAGATGCTTATTAAAATGTTTATTAACTTTCACCTACCTACAGAATAGCAGATTAATTTACTTTTATGTATTTTCCAGGATTCAGAAAAAATCCTTGAAAAAATGTTACAGGTTATACCTTTAAATTCATATTTAGAAAAAACATGTTGCAGGTTATATCTTTAAATTCAAATAAAAAACACAGATTATACATTTTTTCTTCAATCAAATTAAGAATGGTTAGTGGTTTACATTTAATTTTAAATATAGGAGAGAAGAGTGAAGCAACATGGCAGAAGAGGACTTTCCGGTGATTGCCGCCTCACAGAAATATCAATTTGAACAATTATCCAGGCATGAAAATACCTTCAGAAGAACTAAGGGAACCAGAAAACATGCATTGAAGACAGTAAGAAGAAAGAGTTTATATTATCCATGTCACCCCTCCTTGAACCCCAGCCAACAGAGTGCTGAGTGAGGTATCATACACTTAGGATTAAGGAAGGGAAGTGATCATAAGACTTTGCCTTGGACCCCAACCTCAGGCCCATCATACTAAATATTAGAATCAGGTAGCCTCCCTCAGCCTCAGACTCCAGGCTGGTACATGTGGACTGAGCCTCCAGACCCACTTCAGCACCAGGCAGGGTCCCACAGTCCCAAGCGTTTGGCCTATGAGGCAGAATTGATATCCAGTCCACACCACTGTCAGGCCAACTTCAGCAGCCCCAGATTCTGGACAACTCTCATCAACAGGCAGGCCTCAGCAGTTCTGAGTTTCTGGTCTGCTCCAGTGTTCCACCAACTACAGCAATCCCAGGCTTCAGGTCCACCCCAGCACCAAGCCAGTCCCAGCAGCCCCCAGGCTTCTAGCCTGTCCCAGAACTGTGCCAGCCTCAGTGACCCAAGGCTTCAGGACTCTGCCAGACTGCCTGCCAAGAATCTCTGAAGGAGCTGACTGTTGAAGGGCTAATTCAGACAAGGCCAGTCTAGAAGACTAGAATAGGTATCTACTTTTTCAAATGCACAGACATTGACACATGTCCACAAGGATCAAGAACAGTCAGAAAAACATGACATTACCAAAGAGACAAAATAAAGTGCCAGTGACTGATGCTAATGAAATGAAGATAGATGAACTGCCGGATGAAGATTCAAAATAACTGTTTTAAGGAATCTCAGTGAACTTCAAGAAAATACAGATAAACAATTTAATGAAATGAGAAAAATAAAAAGTGACAAGAAAGAAATTTAAAAAAGAGATTAAATGTTTTTATATCAAACAGAAACCCTGGTGTTGAAAAATACAATGAGCAAAATGAAAAATGCGATAGAGGCATTAATAGCAGAATAGAGCAAGCTTAAAAATGTATCTGTGGGCTGGGCATGGTGGCTCATGCCTGTAATCCCAGCACTTTGGGAGACTGAGACAGGAGGATCACCTGAGGTCAGGAGTTCGAGACCAGCCTGGCCAACATGGCAAAAACCCATCTCTACTAAAGGTACAAAAATTATTCAGGCATGATGGTGGGCACCTGTAATCCCAGCTACCAGGGAAGCTGAGGCAGGAGAATTGCTTGAACCTGGAAGATGAAGGTTCCAGTGAGCCGAGATCACACCACTGCACTGCAGCCCAGGTGACAGAGTGAGACTCTGTCTGAAAAAAAAAAAAAAAGAAAGAAAATCTCTGAACATAAAGACAGGTTACTTGAAAATATACACTTAGAGGAGAAAAAAGAAAAAAGAATAAAAAAGAATTTTAAAAAGTTAACAGGATTTATGGCAGAGCATTAAAATAGGAAATATTTGAGTCTTCTCCTTTAAGAAGGAGAAAGAGAAGAATCAATATCGTGAAAATGGCCATACTGCCCAAGGTAATTTACAGATTCAATGCCATACCCATCAAGCTACCAATGACTTTCTTCACAGAATTGGAAAAAACTACCTTAAAGTTCATATGGAACCAAAAAAGAGCCCGCATCGCCAAGTCAATCCTAAGCCAAAAGAACAAAGCTGGAGGCATCACACTACCTGACTTCAAACTATACTACAAGGCTACAGTAACCAAAACAGCATGCTACTGGTACCAAAACAGAGATATAGATCAATGGAACAGAACAGAGCCCTCAGAAATAACGCCGCATATCTACAACTATCTGATCTTTGACAAACCTGAGAAAAACAAGCAATGGGGAAAGGATTCCCTATTTAATAAATGGTGCTGGGAAAACTGGCTAGCCATATGTAGAAAGCTGAAACTGGATCCCTTCCTTACACCTTATACAAAAATCAATTCAAGATGGATTAAAGACTTCAACGTTAGACCTAAAACCATAAAAACCCTAGAAGAAAACCTAGGCATTACCATTCAGGACATAGGCATGGGCAAGGACTTCATGTCTAAAACACCAAAAGCAATGGCAACAAAAGCCAAAATTGACAAATGGGATCTAATTAAACTAAAGAGCTTCCGCACAGCAAAAGAAACTATCATCAGAGTGAACAGGCAACCTACAAAATGGGAGAAAATTTTCGCAACCTACTCATCTGACAAAGGGCTAATATCCAGAATCTACAATGAACTCAAACAAATTTACAAAAAAAAACAAACAACCCCATCAAAAAGTGGGCGAAGGACATGAACAGACACTTCTCAAAAGAAGACATTTATGCAGCCAAAAAACACATGAAAAAATGCTCATCATCACTGGCCGTCAGAGAAATGCAAATCAAAACCACAATGAGATACCATCTCACACCAGTTAGAATGGCAATCATTAAAAAGTCAGGAAACAACAGGTGCTGGAGAGGATGTGGAGAAACAGGAACACTTTTACACTGTTGGTGGGACTGTAAACTAGTTCAACCATTGTGGAAGTCAGTGTGGCGATTCCTCAGGGATCTAGAACTGGAAATACCATTTGACCCAGCCATCCCATTACTGGGTATATACCCAAAGGACTATAAATCATGCTGCTATAAAGACACATGCACACGTATGTTTATTGCAGCATTATTCACAATAGCAAAGACTTGGAACCAACCCAAATGTCCAACAATGATAGACTGGATTAAGAAAATGTGGCACATATACACCATGGAATACTATGCAGCCATAAAAAATGATGAGTTCATGTCCTTTGTAGGGACATGGATGAAATTGGAAATCATCATTCTCAGTAAACTATCGCAAGAACAAAAAACCAAACACCGCATATTCTCACTCATAGGTGGGAATTGAACAATGAGATCACATGGACACAGGAAAGGGAATATCACACTCTGGGGACTGTTGTGGGGTAGGGGGAGGGGGGAGGGATAGCATCAGGAGATGTAGCTAATGCTAGATGACGAGTTAGTGGGTGCAGCGCACCAGCATGGCACATGTATACATATGTAACTAACTTGCACAATGTGCACATGTACCCTAAAACTTAAAGTATAATAAAAAAAAAAAAGAAGGAGAAAGAAAGACAAAGGGGTGGAAAGCCTCTTTAAAGCAATAATAGCAGAACACTTTCCAAATATGAAGAAAGATATAAATATCTAGACACAGGGAGGTCAAATATCTGCTCTGCATTCATATATTATATAATCCAAACAAGAGTATTCCAAAACATAATATAATCAAACTGTCAAAAATCAAAGATAAAGAGAAGATCCCGAAAGCAAAAGAAAATAAGCAAATAACACATACAGAAGTTCCAACATGGCTAGCAGCAGATTTCCTAGCAGAAACCATAAGACAAGGAGAGAGTGGGGATGATACATTAAAAGTACTGAAGAGAAAAAATAAAACTGTCAACCAAGAATACTATAGCCAGCAAAACTGTCCTTCAGAGGTGAAGACGGACTTTCCCAGATGCACAAAAGCTGAGAAAGTTCATCACCACCAGATCTGTCTTACAAGAAATGACAAAGTTCTTCAAGCTAAAAGAAAAGAACACTAATGAGTAACACAAAGACATCTGAAAGTATAAAACTCACTGGTAAAAGTATACATGAAATTCAGATATTCTAATACCGTAATGGTGGTTTGTACATCACTTATATCTTTCATATGAAGGTTAAAATTCAAAGCTATTGAAATTCATAAAAGCTACCATAATTTTTAAGGGATATGCAGTATAAAAAGACAAACTGAAACATCAAAAATTCAAAATATGGGGGGGCACATTGTGGAGTAAAATTGGAGAGGTTTTCTGTGATGAAAGTTAAATTGTTTTCAGTTTAAAATAACTTGTTATAAAAATAAGATGTTTTTTATAAGTCTCATGATAACTACAAAGCATAGCATAGTAGAGACATAAGAAAGTAAAAAGCAAAAAGAAAAAGAAAGTAAAAAGCAAAAAAAAAAAAATACCACTACAGAAAATCATTAAGCTACAAAGGAAGACAGCAGAAGGAAAAGAAAGAGAGAAAAGATCTATAAAATAACCAGGAAACAACTTGCAAAATGGCAGTAGTATTATCTATCAATAATTATCTTTAATGTAAATTGATTCAATTCTCCAATAAAAAGATACAGTAGCTGAATGGATACAAAAAAAAAACACAAAAAAAACAAGATCCAACCAAATGCTCCAATAAAGGTCTCTCTTCACCTGTAAGGGCACATAAAGACTGATAAAGAAATATTGAAAGATTTTTGATGAAAATGGAAACCAAAAAATATTATAAATGTATATGCACATAACACTGGAGCATCTAAATATATAAGCAAATATTAATAGATTTGAAGGGAGATATAGATGTCAATGCAATAATAGTAGGAGACTTCACTATCCCGCTTTCAACAATAGACAGATTATCCAGACAGAAAATCAATAAGAAAATATTGTATTTAAACTGCGCACTAGACAAAATAGATGTAACAGGCACATACAGAACATTAAAAAGCTGCAGAATACACATTCTTCAACTGCACATGGAACAGTCTTCAGGACAGATCACATGTTAGGCCACAAAATAAGTTTTAAGAAATTTAAGAAGATTAAAATCATATCAAGTATCTTTCTTGACTACAATGATATAAAATTAGAAACCAATAACAGGAGAAACTTCAAAAAATTTACAAAAACAGGAAAATTAAAAAATTATTCCTGAAAAATCAACGGTTGAATGAAGAAATTAAAACAAAATTTTAAAAATATCTTGAGGCAAAGAAAAATGGAAACACTACATACCAAAACTTAACGGAATACAGCAAAATCAAGTCTAAAAAGGGAGTTTATAGCAATAAACACCTACGTCAAAGAAGAAAGATCTCAAATAAACAACCTAATGTTACACTTCAAGAAACAAGATGTACAAGAACAAACTAAACTCAAAGATAGTAGAATGAAGAAAATTAACAAAGATGAGAACAGAAATAAATGAAATAGAGACAAAAATAAATCAACAAAACTGAGTTGGTTTATTGAAAAAATAAAATCAACAAACCTTTAGCTAGACTAAGGAAAAAAAGAAGAGGACTAAAATAAAATTAGGTATGAAAAAGGAGATGTTACAATTGATACAAGAGAAATACAAATGGTCATAAGAGATACTTATCAACAATTATATACCAAAAAGTTGGATAACTAAGAAGAAATGAATGAATTCCTGGACATATACAACTTGCAAAGATTGAATTATGAAAAAATAAAATATCTGAACAGACCAATAATAAGGAGATTGAATAAGTAATAGAAAGTATTTCATCATACAAAAGCCCAAGACCTGATAGCTTTACTGCTGAATTCTACCTAACTTTTAAAGAACTAACACCAATTCTACCTGCCCCACACACCAAAAAAATCTCTTCCAATAAACTCAAAATGAAGAAAATACTTTCAAACTCATTTTAGGCAAGTATTATGCTGATATCAAAGCCAAACTAGGACATTCCAAAAAATAAAAATAAATAAATAAACTATAGGCCAATATTTCTGATACAAGTACATGCAAAAATCCTCAACAATATACTAGCAAATCAAATTCAACAGCACATTGAAAAGATTCACCATGATTGAGATTCTTCCCAAGGAGAAATGTGATATATCACATTAACAGAATGAAAGAAAACAATATATTATCATTTCAATAGATGCAGAAAATATTTGACCAAATTCAACATCTTTTCATAATAAAAAACTCTCAACAATTTAGATATAGAAGAAATGTATCTCAACACTAAAGGCCGTATATCACAAACTCATAGCTAAAATCATACTCAATGAGGAAAAGATGAAGGCTGTCCCTCTAAGATCTAGAACAAGACAAGGATGCCTACTCTCACCACATCTAGTCAACATAGTACTGGAAATCCTAGCCATAACAATTAGGTAAGAGAAACGAATAAATAAAAAGCATTCAAATCAGAAAGGAAGAAGTTAAATTGTCTCACACTGCTATAAAGATTCTGCCTAAGACAGAGTGGTTTATAAAGGAGAGAGAGGTTTGATTGACTCACAGTTCAGTATGGCTAGGGAGGCCTCAGGAAACTTATAATCATGGCAGAAAGTGAAAGAGAAGCAAGGCACCTTCTTCACAAGGCAACAGGAAAGAAAAGTCCCAAGTGAAGAGGGAAGAGTCCCTTACAAAACCATCAGATCTCGTGAGAACTCACTCACTATCACAAAAACAGCATGGGGGAAACTGCCCCCATGATTAAATTACCTCCACCTGGTCTCTTTCTTGACCAGGGGGATTATAGGGATTATGAGGCTTACAATTCAAGATGAGATTTGGATAGGGACACAAAGCCTAACCATGTCATTGTCTCTGTTTGCAAGCAGTTTAATCTTACATGCTGAAATTGCTGTTAAAAAACTCTAATAAAATATGTTAGCACCAAAAAATAAATTTGATAAAATTATGAAATACAAAATCAACATACAAAAATTAGTAACATTACTGTATATTAACACTAAACTATCTTAATAAGAAATCAAGAAAACAATCTCAATTATATAAGTTACAAAAATAAAGTACCTGGAAATAAATTTATTGAAGTAAAAGATCTCTACACTGAAAATCATAGAACAATCACAAAAGAAATTGAAGAAAACACAAATAAATGAACAGATATTCTGAGTTCATAGATTAGAAGAATATTAATAAAATGTCCCTACTAGTCAAAGCTAAATACAAATTAAATTCACTGTCTATCAAAATACCAATGATATTTTTCACAGAAATTAAAAAGTTATCCTAAAATTCATATGGAATGACAAAGTACCCCAAATAGCTAAATAAATCTTGAGCAAAAAGAAGAAAGCTAGAGGCATCACACTACCTGACTTCAAGTTATGCTACAAAGCTATAGTAGCCAAAGCAGCATGGTACTGGCATAAAGGCAAGTAAATTGATACATAGACCAAAGGAACAGAATACAGAGGCCAGAAATAAATCCACACATTTGCAGCCAACATATTTTCAACAAACGTGCCAAGAATAAACAATGGGGAAAGCACAGTTTCTTCAATTAACAATGTTAGGAAACCTGGATATCCAAATGTTGAATAAAATTAAACCCTTGTCATACACCATATACAAAAATCAACTGAAAATGGATTACAGACCTAAACATAGGACACAAAACTATGAAGCTGCTAGCAGAAAACATAAGGCAAATTCTCCACAACAGTCTGGGCAATAATTTTTTGGATATGACTCCGAAAGCACAGGCAACAAAAGGAAAAATAGACAACTGGTGTTACATTGAATTAATAAACATCTGCACAAGACAAAAAACTATCAACAGAGTGAGGGGACAACCTGTTGAATGGGAGAAAATATTTGCAAACTATCCATCTGACAAGGGATGAATTTCCAGAATATACAAGGAACCCAAAAACTCAACAATTTTTTTTAATTCCATTAAAAACTGAACAAAGGTCATGAACAGATATTTATCAAAAGAAGGCATAAAATGACTAATAGTTACATTTTTTAAATGTTCAACATTGTTGATTGTTAGGGAAATGCAAATTAAAACCACATTAAGAGTTCACCTCATGCCTGCTAGAATGGCTAATATTAGGCAAAAGATAATTGTTTGTGAGAATGTGGAGTAAAGGAACACTTGCACATTATTGGTGGAAATGTAAATTAACATAGCCATTATGGTAAGTGGTATAAAGATTCCTCAAAAAATTAAAAATACAACTACCATATGATCCAGCAATCTCACTACTGGGTATATAGCCAAAGAAAATAAAATCAGTATGTCAAAGAGATATCTACACTCCCTTGTTCAGTGCAGCATTATTCATAACAGTCAACATACAGAATCAATCTAAGTGTCCATCAGTGGATAAATGGATAAAAAAATGTGAAATATATATACACAATGGAATACTATTCATCCATTAAAAAGAAGAAAATCTTCTCATCTGTTACAACATGGATGAATCTGGAGAACATTATGTCAAGTGAAATAACTCAGCCACAGTAAGGCAAATTGCACATGATCTCAGATATATGTGGAATCTAAAAAAGTTGAACTTATAAAAGTAGAGAGTAGAATGGTGGTTACCAGGCACTGGCATAGTTGGGGATGGATAATTGTAGAGATATTGGTCAAAGGTTACAAAATTTCACACAGAAGGAATAAGTACAAGAGATCTATTGCATCCAGTCTATTGGAGGACTAGAGTTAATAACAATACGTTGCATTCTCGAAAAATGCTGAGTGAATATTAAATAGTCTCCCCACAAAAATGATAATTATGTGAGATAATGCTATGTTAATTAGCTAGATTTAGCCATTCCACGGTGTATATATACTTCAAAACATCATGTTGTACATGATAAACACATACAATTTTATCTGTCAATTTATAATAAAATAAAATAAGCCATTAAAAAATTACATACATGCAAAAGAATATTTGAGATTGGTTATCTATGGAAGGAATATGAGGGTACCAAGAATGGGAGGTTTTGGTGTACACTAAAGTTGTATTTATTAACCTGGGTGCTGGTTTCGTGGGTGTGATCATGTCATAATAATTTACTGACCTATACTCTTGTGATATATGCATTATTCTGTGTGTACATTATAATTCAAAAATAAAGTTGGTTTTAAGAAAGATATACATAGCATCTTTTAAAGATATAAAACATACAGAAAAATCTTTAAAGATTTCTTTAAACTCTGATAAATGCCATGGAACCATTACTCAAATGAAGACCATAACTAACTAAATTAATGAATAAATGGCTACACATATAGGTTAATGGGCTCCTCAAGCTTTTTACCAGATTGCATGTTCTAAGTCTTCATTTAACTGTGACCAGGTCACCAATAAACAGAACCGCTTTATACTTTTATAGTGCAGAGGTCCAAAGTACTAAATTAAAGCCTCAGGTTTTGACATAAAAAAATCATTAAACAATGGACCTGCTAGACCACTTCACAAGTATCCTGCCACACAGAGAATTACAGCAGGCAAAACTCAAAGAGGCAAAGTCATGGGTAAATGTGACAATCAATTTAAATCTGTGAAATGATAAAGACAGAATATACATTAAGGAAAGACTGTACGTGAAGCTGTTCCTTGGGTCTATAATTTAGGAATACTTAATGCCTGCATCCTTCAAAAGTTCTTTCTCTTTAATTGACTAAGTTTATGGAATGAAAATTGAATTGTGCATAAAGAGGCTTCAAAGTACTTACTGCTATACATTTCATACCAAATATGAGTTAAAGAAGATGTGGTTGTAGTACTTCTGCATTTCTTCTTTGAGATTAAGACTTGAGGGAAGAGGAGATAGCCAAACAAATGTCAAAAGTCAAAGGTAAAGATTTAACCAATGGACCAAGGGTAAGATGCTACTGGTAATGCTACAGGATTACTGAAAGAACAAGATGATGGAGTGTGACTACGGAAATATGAGGGGGATTACAGTTTCCAGTAAGACCGTGGACTCCGGTATCACTGCCTCCAGCCTGATAATTACATATGCTGGAAGAGACATCTGTTAAAGGCTTCCCTCCAGCCCTTGGAAAGAGTCCTTTATTAGGTGTTATTAAATCACAAAGGATACATTATTAGGTGCTATTAATTAATCATTGGGCTGTTAAGTCTCAGGTCTTTGACTCCTAGGTACACATAACTGAAAAGGGCACTAATTCCTGCTAAATCTTAGACATTGACACCAATATCTGATGACAAACTCAATTTAACCACAGCCTTGTCTCTAAACCCAGGAGGTGACAATAAATTGCTTTCATGAGGCACAGAGCCAGATATTAAAACTATTCAATCCCTCTAGGCCCAGGGACTATCGTAGACTTATAGATGAGTCAGTTTTGTAACCTTACTTTTTGGTTTTTGGTTTTTGGCTCCTACAATGCTCAAAAGGTTTTTATGGATTAATGAATGCCTGTGCACCTCCATTCCCATCTATCTTGGAAAATTTAAATGGTTATATGTCTTTTGGCTCTAAGTCCCTTGGCCATAGGAGTCCCACTGAGGTACAGGATGGACCCAGGGCAGGTAGTCATACCACCCTTTTGAAGTCTAAACACAACTGACCAGATTTAATGTTAAAACAGAGATCATAAGACAAACAGAACAGACTTGTGGCAATAAGATCTCAAGGTTTTCAGTCTATTTTACAAGGACTTTTGAAATTTAACTCACAATTCTGACAATAGGGCTTGTAATATATCTTATACTCTGGTGTTCAATTAAATTCTATGCTAAGCCAATGGACAGGAACACTAATGTGTTTATGCCACAGCCCCAAGATCCCCAACCAGGCATTCATGAGTGCTTAATGGTTACTTCCAGGCAGTTTCGTTCCTCTAATCCCGACTCTTACCCTGACTATGCCTCTTGCAAGCAGGAAGCAATAAGAGTGGTCTTAGCTCTCGCTTCAGGATTGAGGTATGATCCAGCCCAGAGGGACTGAAACCGGCCCTATAAACTTCATAAAATTAATCAGGAAAGAAGTTGGGGGAAGAAATGAAATGAAACCAAGCTCACAGCACATTCCGCATTAGTGATTAGATCAGCTTGCTCTCTGACCTTGCTCATCATAGCTGTTTGGTACCAATTGCCTCAGAATCACCTAGACCCTGTTACAAGATTATAGTTCCCATTAATGCTCTATAGATAAACACTTAAAAATTATGAAATCTTGTTCAGTTTTCCCTTTGAGGTTTTCTTTCAGGTCCTTCAAACCAGTGAAACTACTGACTTCAGCAGGTCTAATAAAGGAACCCACAAGAAGATGACTCATCAAAGAATGCAGTTTCCACATTTTGATGATTTCATCCCTCCTACCCTGACCAATCAATCCCAATTTTCCAGCCCCCTACCCTCCATGATCCACTTAAAAACCCCAGCCCAGAACTCCTCAAGGAGATGGATTTGAGAGTCTTTTTTCATCCCCTCATTTGGTACCCTGCAATCATTAAACTCTTTCTCTGCTGCAAACCCTGCTGTCTCAGTGCAATTGGTCTGTTTCTGTGCAGTGGCCATATGAAACGTTGGTTCTATAACAACTGTAGCATGCACTTTGGTACATTGTTGTGCAGATAGCCACCAATTTGTTTGTGCTTTGTTGTATGCACACCCCTAGAACATGCTCTAGCCTTAGTAATATTTAATTTTAGCAAATGTTTACTGAGTGTGCATCATGTTCTAGCCACTGTGAGTTTTTATGCTTCATCTCATTTCATCTTCACAATATCCAAAACTGTAAGTATTCTATTATCTTCATTGAAAGGGGATCAAATAACCTATCCATCAAATATAACCAGTAAGAAAAAGAGTTTATCCTTGCATGCAAATATGTCTGCCTCTACTTTACTTTGATATACCCACTTAGGTGAGTTCTTAAAACTTGCAAAATAGAGATCCACATATACTACAATAAATCTTGGCAACTGACTAGATATGAGGCAAGAGAAAGTAGGTGGAGTCAAAGAAAACTGAGTAAGTGGGGGAATTGTGAGGCCATTAATCAAAAGCAGAGTATTGGAATAAGAAACGAATACTGGAGTGTGGTTCTGTGGTATTTTTTTAATGTCAAGAAAAAAAAAACATCGGCAAGGACCCCCAAAATGAAAAGACTTTACAAGATTAGAGCTGTGAAAGTGAAGAAACAGGAAATGGCAATGGAACTTCTGTTTGGGGAAATTAGAAAAGATGTTGAGCAATTTGTTATGTGGATCACAATAGAAAACTAACAAGATATTAATAGGAAAATGAAGTAATGGGCCTAGATAACGCTGACAATACAACCTTGTTGTATATCTCTTTGTTATGGTTTGGGGATTTTCTAAATTCATGCCCATGGCAATGTGGAGTAAGAAAGAAAAAACAACTGGAGGGGTTTGCACAGAACTGGGAACTAGCAAACTTGGAAAGTCTATAGAACTTCAGCAACAAGTGACTATAGACTGGCTATTATTATATTTCTGAATCTAGTAAGGTAAGGAGACAAGTGAAAACAAAATTGTGACTATAAGCTAAGAGAAATTGTAAAGGAGTAAAGATTAAAAATGCCAATGATGAGAAAGTTCAATAGGGGAACAAATGGAAGAGACTAAAGGACAGAAAATTGTGACCAAAGCAGGACGTTACTAAGTTCACAATTTTGAATATGGAATCATTTCAAGTGGTGAAGTAATTCAGCATGTAAATATGCTGCTAAAGAGTAGAACTGAAGGCCATTGTCAATTGATTAGAACTTTGAGTCCTCAACTTTTAAAAGCTCAAGCAATAGCCAGACACACCTAAATTTGAATCATGGCTACACCCATTGTGATCTGAAGATGATTAAATAGTGTCTTAGCTTCTCTAAGCTTAAGTTACTTCAAGTATAAAATTTGGGTTTTGAAAGATGATAACAGTGCCATTCACAGTATTATTTTCAAAAGTAAGAGATAATGCATGTAACATGCTTAGCAGAGTATGACATTCAAATTAGCTTTTACTATCATTGTCATTGTTCTTATGACTAAAAACTATCCTGAGTTATCCAGGAAAAAGGGACAGAGGAGCAATCACACAAGCAACTGCTTAAATTCTAAAAGTCTGGCTTTTGTTCTAAATTTTAAATTTCTCTATCCCTGTACTATCTGAAGGCCAGAACAAACACTTCGTGGCTTTAAACAACAAAGCTTGAAGATTTAACACTTATCTTGCCTATTACCAAATAAGATCCAAAACAATAAAAGAAGATTTGAATGTTCATGAGACTTTCCTCCAACCAGATCTCTGATGGAATTTCTAATGATCAAACAAGTGACCAAAAAGAAATGAAGATAACAAATAAAAAGGAAGAGTAATAAAAACCTAAATTTCATCAGTTCCATAGTTAAATAATAAAAAATGAAAATTAGCTATGATAGTACATGTGATGAAATGGGTCACACATTGCTAAATAAAATGCTCAAAGACAAGCCTGGGCAAATGGTGAAACCCCACCTCTACAAAAAATTTAAAAATTAGCCAGACATGGTGGCTCACACCTCTGGTGCCAGATACTTGGGAGGCTGAGGTGGGGAGATCGCTTGAGCTGGAGTCAGAGATTGCAGTAAGCCAAGATTGTGTAAGTGCCCTCCAGCCTGAGCAACAAAGCAAGAACCCTGAATCAATATCAGAGATGTTTTTTAAAGTTATTCTTAGAAAACTAACTTCCCATCTTAAAAAGTACCTTGGAGATGGTTCTTAGTGAAGTGTATCCTACTTTCTAGCTGTCTTTGAGCATTTTTTTTTTGAGACATGAGATTTGGAAAGGTACAGAAGTATAATGATATGGTTGGCCCTGTGTCCAACCATATTTGTCTCATCTCAAATTGTAATTCCCATGGGTCATGGGAGGGACCTGGTGGGAGGTGATTGAATCACGGGAGTGTATTTTCCCCTTGTTGTTCTCATGACAGTGAGTGAGTTCTCCTGAGATCTGGTTTTTTGAACGTGGGTGGAACTTTTCCCTTCACTCACTCACTCTCTCTCCTGCTCTGCCATGGTAAAGACATGCTTGCTTTCCCTTCACCTTCTGCCACGATTATTAGTTTCCTAAGGTCTTCCAACCATGCTTCCTGTTAAGCCTGTGGAAATGTGAGTCAATTAAACCTCTGTTTTTCACAAATTACCCAGTCTCAGGTAGTTCTTTATAGCAGTGTGAAAATGAACTAATACAGGAAATTGGTACTGGTAGTGGAGCATTGCTATAAACATATATAAAAATGTGGAAGGTACTTTGGAACTGGGTAATGGGCAGACTTTGGAACAGTTTGGAGGGCTCAGAAGAAGAGAGAAAGATATGGGAAAGTTTGGAACTTCCTAGAAACTTGTTGAATGGACTTGACCAAAATGTTGATAGTGATATGGACAATGATGTCCAGGCTGAAGTGGTCTCAAATGAACTTGAGGAATTTTTTGGGAACTGGAGTAAAGGTCACTCTATAGCAAAGAGACTGGTGGCATCTTTCCCCTGCCCTGGAGATTTGCAGAACTTTTAACTAGAAATTGATGATTTAGGGTATCCGGGCAGAAGAAATTTCTAAGCAGCAAAGCATTTAAGATGTAACCCAGCTGTTTCTGAAAGCATACAGTCATATGCATTCACGAAGAGATTGTCTGAAATTGGAACTTATGTTTAAAAGGGAAGAAGAGCATAACAATTTGGAAAAATTGCAGCCTGACCATGTGGTAGAAAAGAAAAACTGATTTTCTGCGGAGAAATTCAAGCTGCTGGCTGAAGAAATTTGCATACGTAAAAAGGACCTGAATGTTAATAGCCAAGACAATGAGGAAAATGTCTCCAGGGCATTTCAGAGACCGTCAGAGCAGTCCCTCCCATCACAGACCCAGAGGCCTAGGAGGAAAAAATAATTTCATGGGCCATCCCCAGGGCCCCACTGCTCTGTACAGCCTTGGGACATGTTGCTCTACATCCCAGCAACTCCAGCTCCAGCTTTGGCTAAAAGGGGACAAAATATAGCTTGGGACATGGCTTCAGAGGGTGCAAGCCCCAAGCCTTGGCAGCTTCCACATGGTGTTGGGCCTGCAAGTATGCAGAAGGAAAAATTCAGGTTTGGGAACCTCCTCTTAGATTTCAGAGGATATAAGGAAACGCCTGGATGTCCAGGTAGAAGTCAGCCAGAGGGGTAGAGTCCTCATGGAGAACCTTTACTAGAACAGTGCTGAGGGGAAATGTGAGGTTGGAGCCCCCTCATAGCTCCACTGTAGCACTGCCCAGTGGAGCTATGAGAAGAAGGCCATCGTTCTCCAGACCCCAGAATGATAGATCCACTGACAGCTTGTACCATGTGTCTGGAAAAGCTGCGGACACTCAATACCAGCCCATGAAAGCAGCTTCTGGGACTGTACTCTGCAGAGCCACAGAGGCAGAACTGCCCAAGGCATTGGGAGCCCACCCCTTGCATTAGCATACCCTGGATGTGAGACATGGAGTCACAGGAGATTATTTTGGAGCTTTAAGATTTAACAACTGCCCTGCTGGGTTTTGGACTTGCATGTGGCCTGTAGTCCCTTGGTTTTGGCCAATTTTCCCTTTTTGAATGGGAGCCTTTATCTGATCCCTGTATCTTAGAAGTAACTAACTTGTTTTTGATTTTACAGGCTCATAGATTGAAGGGAGTTGTCTTGTCTCAAATGAGACTTTGAACTTAGACTTTTGGGTTAATGCAGGAATGAGTTAAGACTGTGGGGGACGGTTGGGAAGGCATGACTGTGTTTTAAAATGTGAGAAGGACATGAGATTTGGGAGAGTCCAGGGATGTAATGATATGGTTTGGCCCTGTATCCCCACCCAAATCTCATCTCAAATTGTAATGCCTGTGTGCCAGGGAGGGACCTGATGGGAGGTGATTGAATCATGGAGGCAGACTTCCCCGTTGTTGTTCTCATGATAGCAGGTTCTCACGAGATCTGGTTGTTTGGAAGTGTGTGGCATTTCCCCACTTTGCTCTCTCGATCCCTCTCTCTCCCGTGCTCCACCATTGTAAAGACATGCTTGCTTTCCCTTCACCTTCTGCCATGATTGTAAGTTCTCTTTGTGAATGCATATGACTGTATGCTTTCAGAAACAGCAGCTTACATTACAGAGGTCTTCCAACTGTGCTTCCTGTTAAGCCTGCAGGACTGTGAGTCAATTAAACCTCTTTTCTTCATAAATTACCCAGTCTCAGGTAGTTCTTTATAGCAGTGTGAAAACAGACAAAAACAAAAATATCAACATCTTTCAGCAGATATTCAAAGACTCCCATGACCCCAAAATTTAAAAATTACTTCTCACATGCAGATGTTAAATACTTTCACATGGTTTAAAACAGAACACTTTCAAAACATAACAAAGCACTTAACTTTCTGTTAATGGTTTATGACACTAGTTATTATTTTATATAATTATAATAACACTCCCATACAGAAACAACAAATTTACCAAAGGCTCCCCACCATCTCTGCAGCCCTTATTAACAGAGTAGATACTAGGGAATCATTGACTACATGAAAATAACTAATGAGAAACACATACAGCTTGAAGAATTGTTCTAGTCAAAATGAGCTTTGATCACCTTGGCAGACACTAACTGCCTACCCAATATCTATGATCTCTCTTTTCTATGCAGTACTAAGAAATACCTTATTTTTTAAGCCTATCAATGTGACATCTAGAATATTATATTCCTATCCTTCTTTGCTACTAAAGGTTAACAATAAAATGCAAGTGGAAGTTGGGTGAGATTCCTGAAAAAATAAAAAAAAACTCTTTGAAAAGGAACTTCCTTCTTTTAAGAAGGAGGTACTTTTTTGCTTTTCTTTTTTATTCCATTTCTGAATGGAATACAGGTATGATGGCAAGAGTTTCAGTAACTACCTTATACTATTAGGAGAACTTGAGGATGGAAGACCTGTGCTAAGAATGGCAGAACTGAAAATTAGAAAGTGGTCCTAGATTGTATCATAAAACTTTATACTCTCTCCAGTGCACTTTTCTGTACATTTTGCATATGAGAAAAAAATACAAACCTCCTAGATTTTAAAGATTTAAGTTTCATTGTTGTTTAGTGTGTGTGTGTGGAAAAGAACCATTATTACTCAGAAATGAATGTAATTTATAACTGTTATAGTCATCTAGCCTAAAAATTTTATTTTACTTTGTTATTTTGCCAGAAAGTAGACCAATTGTTTTATTTTGATAAACAATAATAATGTTTTAACCTTTGATTTTATAATATTGGACATCAGACAATAATGAATGATGATCTCAGAGATGTAGAAAATAGATGATGAGCTCTATGGCTACCCAAGCTGACTGCCATGACACGTTTTCCAAGCTGTGTACAGGAGGGCTGGGGTACTTCCTGAATTGAGGAAACAGACTTGAGAGTCGGAAGACCAAGATGGCTAGAGTTAACAGGATAGAGTTTTAGAGAGTAAAGAGCTTCACTGAGAACTCTGGATATAAGTAGAGGGCCCAGACTGGCTGCTCAGCAGAGTGCTGATCAGTATCTTCATCTAAGAAAACCACTCAAGGCAAGCAAAATAACTATCTGAAAGAATTAAAGGAGACATTATCTAGGAAAAGGACCTAAAATAGTACCTGTTCCCAACAGTAAGACTGGAAAACCTCATAATTCATGGGGCATTGAGTAAAGTGCTCACAAGATCTTGATCAGTACTGGAAACAGTTAGCTTTAGACCAAACACTATTCTGGCCCTGACTAGAAAACCTTAAGAAACAAAACCCAAAGGCTCAAACTCTTTCTAAGAAACTTAACTGTATCTCAGCAAAAAGCTGAAGAATATGTATAGGTATAAAAAATTATCCCAACAATGAATATTTTTACCTAACAAGGTAAAATTCACAATATGTGACATCTAAACAAAAATTACCAAGTAGGCATAAAAATAGAAAAACATGACTAAAAATGAAGAAAAATATCAATCAATTGAAATCAACTAGAACTGACACAGATACAATTGTCAGATAAGTAGGTTGAAACGGTTGTTATACCTATATCCTATATACTCAAAAAGACAAATATTGAGCATATTAAGTGAGATATAAAAGAAATATTTCCAAAAAATTTGGATTAAGTTAGTAAAAGAATAGATAAATGGCCAATAGAACAGTATAGATTTATAGAAACAGTATAGAACCCAGAAATAGATCCATATAAACATAGTCAACTCATCTTTGACAACACAGCAAAGGCATTTCAATAAAGAAAAGATAGTCTTTTCAACAAAGGGGCCTAGAACAACTGAGCATCCATATGCAAAATAAAATTAATCTAGACACAAACATTATTCCTTCACAAAAATGAACTCAATATAAAGACTTAAATGTCACATGTTAACTATAACACTCCTAGAAGATAACTAGGAGCAAATCTAGATGATCTAGGGTTTGGTGATGATTTGTTAGATACAACATCAAAAGTAGGATGCATGAAAGAAATTATGCATAAGGTGACAAAGTGAACTTCATTAATCTTAAAAAATTTTTGCTCTTAAGAGACATTGTCAAGAGAACGAAAAGACAAGCCACAGACTTAAGAAAATACCTGCAAAAGACATATCTAGTAAGGAGCTGTCATCCAAAATATACAAAGAACTCTTAAACCTCAACAATAAGAAAACAAAAAACTTGACTTAAACATGAGCCAAAGACCTTAACAGACACCTAACCAAATAAGATATGCAGATGACCAATAAGCATATTAAAAAGATGTTCCACATCATATGTCATTAGGGAAAGGCAAATTAAAGCAACAATGAGATATCTCTACACATCTATTAGAATGGCTAATATCCAGAAGACTCACAACACCAAATGCTGGTGAGGCTGCAGAGCAACAGGTGAATCACAACAAATGCAGTGGATTTCTGGAGCCAACTCCTTCTTGACTATGGCAGAAGCTTCCTTGGGCACCCATGTCTGCTGAGAAATTTTGTGAGTGTTCCTTAGAAATATACCTACAGTTTGTGTTTCTAGTTTGTAACCTAGCTGTGTCACTTGCAGCAAAGGAATTACGCTCAATACTAGTGGTCTTTACTCTTAAATAGAATAATGCAGTACTTTAAACATATATAGAATTATCAATCAGTCCCACCTCAATATCAGGTAGTTAAGAAATCTATTTTTATCAATAGCCCTTCTATTCCTCTCTCTGTCACCAGAGACCCCACTTAGGTTCATTCTACATTTTATAGCTCCATTCCAATGTGGGTTTTGTGGATTTCTACTGTGGAGGCTCATGATTGGTCCAGACAGGCCACTATTTCTAATTTATTTCCCACTGGCATTTCTAAGATAATTTATGTTGTAACTACTTGAACACAATCTTGTTTTGTGTAAAAAAAAATTTCTGATGCAAAATAATGAAACAGTTGCCTTAAGCAAGTTCCAAACTGAATTTGCTCCCCTGCCCCCCACTGTGGAGTATCCAAGGGCAGTGCAGATTTACCTTCTAAAGTATTTTTTTTTCCTTGACTGTTTCATTGCTTCCATCTTCATTTTTTAGTTTGGTTGGGGAAGAGAGTCATCAGGAAAAAAAGAGCTTAGTGTCCTTGTAATTCTTCTTGTCCATTAAACTCTGTTATTTTCACTTCGATGAAGATAACTAAATTTCTCTGGCACCCCCCACCCTGGATTGGGTAACACTGACAGTAATGCAAAGGGAGCTACAAAATGTTCTCTTGTTCTCCGTCCCATCTCCCCCAGTCTGCCTCCAGATGCCTCACTTTCTGCCTCTGTCTACCTCATTCTCTGGCTGTTTCTGTCTGTTTTTCTATTTTTCTCTCTCCTTCCTATAAAAAAATTGTATTGTGCAGATGATTCACAAATCTTGATTTTTCTCACCCATCTAAATTTAAACTAAATCAAATGGTTTCATGTGTCTGTTTAAAACACCACAGATGTTAAGGAAATTACCAACATCAGCTTCTTTTCCTCCCTTAAAATTACATTTCACCAGGTGTCCAACCCAGCAGAGGGCATCCTTCCATTTCAGATGCATGCATAGTGCAGGAAAAGGGCCCTATAATTCAAGCAATGTATTCCATTTACAATCGTGCATTGCAATTTAAATAAACAGGCTATTTTAATAGGAGGAGAATTCGTTGTTTTGGAGTGTTTGCCATTTTGAATTAAAGATTTAGAAGTAATTTTCCTTTTATAAGCAAAAAAGAAGGGGGAATATCTGTTTCTGGACTCTCTCTAGGTTCAGAGCATTAGCTTAAATTAAAGAAACAGCAAGGTAGCACCTGTATGATAGTTCCTCCTCTAGGCTACCATGTGTATAAATAAAGTGATCACAGAAAAAAGCAACTGGGAAAGAAGCATGCCCCCTATCTCATTTGTCTGTTTCACCCTTCCTGTGAGATTCCTCAAACTATAGGGCAAATAGCAGGACGGGCATTATAGCCTCTTATATTGTCTCAGAAGTAGTGAGAAGATAAGCAGTTTGGCTTCCGAATAAGAACAGCCAACTTTATACCTGTGCATTGAAGGCAGTTGCCCACTAATTTTAACTGTGCAGTTGCACAGGAGTTGAAATTCCACAATGGGAAATGTCTTACATTGTCAGACATTTTCCCAAGTTAAAAAAGGGAAATGTTCATAGCCCTTACAAGTTACATTTTCTCCCTAGTGTGGTTGAGTTTATCAGATCCCTTCTTTGTGAAAGAATGTCTTAGAGAGAGAACAAAAGAATATGATGAGGCAATATAGCATAATTCATCCATCCATTCAACATATGTTCATTTGAAAACTTACTTTGCATTAAGACCTGTTTGTGGTCCTAAAACTATACCAGCAAACAGGCAAAGATCCCTTTCCTTGAGGTGATGTGCCAAAGAGCAAGGGTTTGGGGAGTCAGACAGACATAACTTTGATTGCTGGCCTTGCCACTTAGCCAGCTCTGTCACTTGGAGCAAAGGAATTAATGTTTTCTTTTGCAAAACAGGGATAATTGTTCATATTTCCTAAAAACATACTTTGTTCCAGGTACAGGAACCAAGTGCTTAATATGTATTAGCTCAATATTCTCACAATCAGCCTATGGGATAAGTTGTATTCTTATTCCCATTTTACAAATGAGAAAACCAAAGCACAGAGTCACATGGTAAGTGTCAGGACAGGAATTTAAAACAAGTCTGTCTGACCCCAGTGCTTGCTCTTAACCAGTATGCCATATGAAAGTTTATTTCTAAGACTACCCTGAGGATTACATGAAATGACAGATGCAAAGCTGTGAGTGCAGTAGAGTGTTATTATTACTATTATTATTTATTTTTTTACCATGATTGTTACTGCTATTGTCATTTTCTGCAACCTAAGGATATATGTTGAAATGCAACAAAAAGAGGATCAATACTTCAAATCAGCATTCCTCTACTACAGAATGTAATGTGTGTCCAGCTCTGGTTAAAAGTACAATCACATAGTGTCATAGCTATTGAATCACAGCTTCTCTACATTTATCTTTTCATAAAATGACAGGGTATTAAAACACAGATTGATTCCCTGAAACAAAATGTGAGCATCTCCTGTTCTAGATTTTTATAACCTCCTCTGAAAAATGAAGGTTAAGAGCAGATGCTAAATGAAACCAAGATCCAAGTATCCATCTGTGGTTCGACGGTCTCTGTTCTGTGATAAGTGATCATGTAGTCAGCTCCTAAACTGGTTGCTGGTGTCCCTTGGCTCTTTGCTCTCACCTTTTCCAAAGTGTACTCTCTGGAGCCCTGTCTGTGGGCTTCTTCCACAGGATGTTCACAGATCAATGGGAGTTAACTACACTAACAATATTATTCAAAGAGCAATGAAACAGGCATGTTCTGCTGCTGCTCTGGGAGTTCTCTCTGCTTACCGTAAGCCTGAATTTATGTCTCCAACTGCTGCAGTACCCAAGTTAAAAATAATTTTAAACAAGCAGATAAAATTCTGGCTCCAGGCCCCATTTCTTATTGATTTCATTTCAGGACTATCATCTTAGGTTCATTAGTAGGAAACTGATTGATAATGCTGTATATGAGAATTTATAAATATATATCTTATAAATATCCATTTTTCTTGCCTACACTAAAAATACAGTCTTTATCCCACATGCCAAGCTTCACAGTGCAAAACTGAAGTTAACTGAATATTTTTAAACATTTATTTCTATTCAAAAATGCAGTTTCTTGTTGATTTTATCTCACTGTACTTCTTCAGGGAGGAGCACTGTGGCAGCTCATTGTCTGGGACAGAAATAAGTGCTCCAATCCCTTTGGTTTGAGCTCCAAAAAAACCAGCAAGTGTTCCAGTAGTTACGCTGCAAATGTATAGATGGTTATAGATTTCTATCAGCCCTGGTTGGGTTCTATGAAAAAGACTTTCCTGGGCAGCTTACTTACCCCAAGGTAATGGCCATCAATGAACACAACAGGGAGGGAAGGAGCTTCAGAAACTCGTCGGCATCGTTCGTCTAACTCTTTTCCATATTCACCATTCAGGGCTATGTTTTTCTCTTCAAATTTTACGCGATGGTTTTGGAAAATCTTTCTAACCAGTTCACATCTTTCAAAGGTTGTCCGGACCACACGAAGGCAGGTGGTATAAATCACTACACGGTCAAATTCTAGATCAGTTGATGGTTGCTGAAGGGAAAACATTGAGTTGTAAGAATGTTTGCTTTTACTTTCTTGTGTCTTATGATTTTAAGACAATTAAAAATTGCGTTAAAGCCATGCAATAAAATTGAATGAACACATTTGTCAATTCAAAGACTTACCTTTTTAAGTTACAACATCTGTAATTGGGATACAGATAGCAATCAATATAATATATTACATAATTTAATTTTTTTCCTTTTCTCAGTAGCATATCAAGTAATAGCTAATCTTAAAGTTGATCACATCTCACATGGGATGCCATGTGGTAAAATAGTAAATGACTGAAATATTTTTCTTATGTTTCATAGACATTGCTCAATTACGATATCTGTTTCATAAACCTAAAGTTTATGCCACAGAATAGTCAAGGTTATAATGCATTTAGCCAGTTAAAATTCTTCTACTTATCAATTTATCCAATTGTACAGTCTTTGGGGCAACAATTTCCTGGGAATAACAAGACCTATTATCATGGGATTTTTCTAAGTTTTAAGTAGCATGACATATGTGCAAGGGCTCTGTTGAGTGACAGGGCTCCCACATGTAGTGAGAAAGTTATGCCACAAGAAATAAAACAATTAAATGTTCCAGAATGGGAGTGCACAGAAATCAACACCAAAGTGAGTGGTGGGTCAAAGCCAGGCATAAAAAGGAAACAAGGAATCAGACACACTGGAGGGGAGGCAAGCAACACTCAAAAACAAGATGAAGACTGTCCTGTGTGAGAATCTTTTTCTACATTTCAGATGTCAGTGACTGCTTTCCCAGGAAACCCTGGCCAGCACTGCTAATGTGTGCTGAAGAGCCATACCAGGTAGGTACTGAAATCAATAAGAAAGCTTCTCTTCTTCCTTATCACAGTCTTAGTTGAAGGAAACTGAACAGAACACAACTATACCATGAGACCATGGGATACATGAGTCTTCACAAAGCTGTAATTTTTTAAAGCACAACCACACAATTTGCAAAACCCCTGTGGAGTCAAAACTTTGGAAACCATTCTGGACAGCTAAATACTAAAGCAAGCCAGTAGGACACTAACCTCCACCACTTTGTACGCAGAGAAATCAGACCACTCTGCCAAGATGCACGTGGACAGGTAACACTCCAAAGGTTCAATGTCATAAAGATGCCAATACAAAGTTCTCCACCTTATGGAGAGAGAATTTTTCTGATGATAAAATGTAATAAAGATGCAAGAATCATTTCTTTCCACAATAGAGTGTAGAGGTTAAGTTGAAAACCCAGAGGCCTGGAGGAATTAAGTTGGTATCATAAATGCTGAAGCAGGTCAGGAGTAAAAGAAATACTAGGGAAATGCTAAGAATAGCATCTAAATAGAGAAATGTTACACAGATTAGGCAATTGTTGTCTTGCAGGCAGGTGACTTCAGTGTGGTTACACATAATTATTTTACGTAGCAACTTAAAATCTGGATTTTTATAGGAAATTTTCTGATTTATAAATGGTGATGCCTAACTGTAAATGCTTTTAAAGATCATGTGGACCAATATTTCTGAAGACTGGATTTGGCACATACTGCAAATTTACTACAACTAAGATAAAGAGAGCATAGCAGCACTATTGACAATAGCAAAGACGTGAAATCAACCAAAATGCCCGTGAATGATAGCCCGGATAAAGAAAATGTGGTACATATGCACCATGGAATACTATGCAGTCATGAAAATGAATGAGATCATGTTCTTTGCAGGGACATGAATGGAGCTGAAAGCCGTTATCCTCAGCAAACTAACATGAGAACAGAAAACCAAACACCACATCTTCTCACTTATAAGTGGGAAGTGAACAAAGAGAGGATGTGGACACAGGGAAGAGAACAACACACACTGGGGCCTGTCAGAGGGTGAGGTGGGGAGAGTGAGAGCATTAGGAAAAATAGAAAATGCATGCGAGGCTTAATACCTAGGTGATGGGTGGATAGGTGCAGCAAACCACCATGGCACACATTTACCTACATAACAAACTTGCACATCCTGCACATGTTCCCCAGAACTTAAAATTAAAATTAAAATTTTAAAAAAGGAGAGGATAAGCTTGAAAATCAGATATACCTGAGCTCTGCCACTGGCCACCTGTGTATCTTTGGGAAGCTAATGAACTATTGTCTCAGTGTTCTCATCTGTGATGACAGTGATGAGAATGTGATAATAACAATAGCTACCTAACAAGTTTGCTGAGAAGATTAAGTAAGAGAAAATGTGAAAAAAAAACACAAGTGTAGGACTTGTGACACACTACTATTCTAAGTTGAGCAGAGAAAAATATTGCACTTCACATCGTGGAATTTTTAAGATTAAAAAAACAAATATAAGTCAGTGGAAAAAATCAGTGTAATTGATGACATAAAGGAAATTATTACTATGTTTTGATTTAGAAACACTGATCTTTAGAGGGAGCAACCAAGTGCCCAAGGGTCTATACCTCCTCTTCATATTAACAGGTATCAGCAAGCAAGGCACAGAAACTCACTGCAGATGCTGCAGCTTTCAGAAGAGCACCGAAGTTCTCTTTTTTCTTATTATATTATCTGTGTAATTATGCATTTTTCCTCTGAATACAAAGACTACTATTACTGCATTAGTTTTCTACCAAAATGATCCACTACTTCGAATAGGTACATTTACTTCTGAATTATTTGTTCTGAAATACTTTTCCCAGATGTGTCAAAGTGGAAAAATTTAAGATTGGACCAACTTGCTGCCATGTTAACCAACTCATGTAAGATTCTCTCTGAATCTTATAGAACAAACCATGTATACCACCTTTCTGTGTCTCTAAGACACATGCATTTTCAAAATACTAATAAGATGACCCCTATCGGGTAGCCACGTTGGATGTCATCTAATGTATGAGATCACATGGATATCCCTTTACCTGTTGTTGAGGATGAGCTTTGCCTGGAATCAGTGGATCTCAAGAATGTTGAATGTTAGAATAAACTGGGGATCCTTTGAAAATCTCCAAATCCTAGACCAAGCCCATACCAATTAAATAAGAATCACCAGGCTGGGGCCTCTGAATTGCAATTTTTTTTTAAGTTCTAATGTGATTCTAATGTAGAGCCAAGTTCTAGAGCTAGTTAGATAAAGATTGGACATGCAGAATCACAGGCCTCGCCCCAGATCTACTGACTCAGAATCTACATTTTAAAAAGCTTCTTGGAATTTGGAAACATATTATATATTTTTAAGTTGTACATACTTAAGGTGTATAATATAATGTTTTGATATACAGAGTTAAATAATTACTGCAGTCAAGCAAATTAATACATACATTATTCCACATAGCTACATTTTTGCGGTAAAATTGCCTAAAACCTATTCTTTTAGCAAATTTTGAATATGTAATATAATATTATTAACTATAATCCTCATGTGGCACATAGAACATCTCCCTATTATATCCCCCTTCTTCCCTTCCATCCCCCACCACTAACAGCCACCATTCAACTGTTCCTATGTATTTGAGATTGCTTTTGTTTGTTTTTCAGATTCCACATATAAACGAGATCACGCAGTATTTTTCTTTCTCTGCCTGGCTTATTTCACTTAGCATAATATTCCCTAGGTTCATCTATGTTATCACAAATAGCAATATCTGTTTCATTTTTAAGGCTGAATCGTATTCATTGTTTATATATACCACAATTTCTTTATTAATTTATCCATTAAAGGATACTTAGGTTGTACCTATATCTTGGCAATTGTAAATAATGATGCAATAAACATAAGCATGAGAGTGCAGGTGTCTTTAAGAGTTGGTAATTTCATTTCCTTTGAGTATATACCCAGAATGAGGATTGTTGGGTTATATGATAGTTCTGTTTTTCATTTCTTTAGGAATATTCATAATGTTCATAATGGCTACAGTAATCTACTTCCCACCAACAGTGTATGATTGTTCCCTTTTCTTCACACATGTGCAACACTTGCTGTTTCTTGTCTTTTTAATAGCAGCCATCCTAAGAAGTGTAAGGTGATATCTCACTGTTTTGATTTGCACTTCCCATTGTGGTTTCCATATTATTGATGTTGAGCACTTTTATATATCTCTCTTGGCTATTTGTATGTCTTCTTCGGAGAAATATCTATTCTGGTCATCTGTTCATTTTTTAAATTGGATTATTTGGTTTTTGCTATTGAGTTAGTTATTTGTGTTCCTAAATACTTGGGATATTAACCCCTTATCTATATATGGCTCACGAATATTTTCCTCTGATCAATTAACTGCATTTTCATTTCATTGATAATCTTATTTGCTGTACAGAAGCATTTTAGTTTTGCGTGCTCCCACTTGTTTATTTTTCCTTGCATTACCTGTGTTTTGGGGAAAATATCCAAAACTTAAAAAAATTCTTGCCAGGGGTGATATCAAGGAGTTTTCACCTATGTTTTCTAGGAGTTTTATAGTTTGGGGTCATATACTTAGATCTTTAATCCATTTTGAATATGTGGTATAGGATAAGGGTCCAATTTCATTCTTTTGCATGTAGATATTCAGTTTTCCCAACACCATTTCCCATTGCATCTTCTTAGTCCCTTTGTTCAAAATTAGTTTACCTTGTGTAGTTGGGTTTATTTCTGTTACCAGGAAGTGTAGGAGTCCTCATTTCTTGTTTAACTTAAAAGAAAGAATTCAGCCAAGAGACACATAGCAAGGGTTAAGAAGCAAAGTTTGCAAGAGTCACAGCATTCCTGGCATTGGTATGCCCTCTAATGCACATATGGGTACAGTGACCAAAGATTTAGATCACAGCATTCAATTCCCTTTGAATACTTGGAAAGCCTTCTCAAGATAGATGGGTACAAACAAGCCCATGCTGCAAAGGCTGGAATAAATACCTAACTCTTCAATGCTCACATATTGACAGACATCTATAAGCATTAAAAGCATCCAGGAAAACATATCATCAAATGAATTAAATAAGTTACCAGTGACAAATTACAGAGTGACCTGTCAGACAAAGCATTTAAAATAGCTGTTTTGAGGAAGCTCAACAAAATCTAAGATGACACAGAGAAGGAATTCAGAATTCTATCAGATAAATTTAACCAAGAGCTTGAAATAATTTAATAAAAGAATCAAGCAGAAATTCTGAAGCTGAACAATTCAATTGACAAACTGAAGAATACATCAGGGTCTCTCAGCATCATTGATCAAGCAGAAGAAGGAATTAGTGAACTTGAAGACAGGCTATTTGAAACTACATAGTCAGAGGAGTCAAAAGAAAAAGAATAAGAAATAATGAAGCACACCTATAGGATCTACAAAATAGCCTCAAAGAAGTAAATCTAAGAGTTATTGGCCTTAAAGTGGAGGTAGAGAGAGAGGGATTGGGGTAGAAAGTTCACTCAAAGACATAAAGACAGAGAACTTTCCAAACCTAAAGAAAGATAGCAATATTAGAGTACAAAATAACAGCTACCCATTCATTCAGTCATTAGAATAATTTGTTTGCCAAACACAGTATTAAGCACTAGGTGTATAATGGTGAGCAAACAATATAATTCCATATCAACATGGAGTTCATAGTTAAAAGTAATAGAAAGCCAAAATATCACATAAATATAGAATTACAAGCTGCTAGGTACTATTAATGAAATGCAGAAGTAATTAGGAAAGCATAGTGCGTGGGTACCTTCTCTTCTTGTCTTAGAGATCAAGAAAATATTTTCTGATATTTGAGGTTAAGTTGGGAGAATAAAAGTTAACAAAGAAATTAGGTAGAGAGTGGAGGAAAAGCATTTCATGCAAGTACAAAGATCTTAAGATGGGAGGAAGATAACATGTTTGACACTCTTCAAATGTTATTTCTTGATACACAAGAAGGGAAAAATGGAATGGTATTAAGTGACTCTAGATAGGTATGAAGGGTTGATACCATGTTGTATTTTATAGCCATGTTGTATTTTAATGATCTTGGGTCTTTTACCCTACAGCAACGAGAAACCCCTAAAGGGTTTTAGGAAGGATAGAAGGAGTTGCACTAAACCTGGTTTACGTTTCAAAATGATAAGTAAAGAAGGACCAGTGGGGGTAGTTGTGCAAGATACACACTGCACAAACTTAGGCAGGGCCATTAGTAGCATATTCTAAACAAACAGTTCCCCCAGGGTTGTGTAGTCCACGTTTTGAGCCATTATACTCAGTCTCATTGCCAGTTCCCTTGCTCAGGAGACTGAGGCTGAATATGGGGCAAATTCAGGGTAGAAAGTATAGTTATAAATTAAAATACACTATTCAGTAAAATGTTCTGAAAAAAGATTTTACTGTACAATTTTTGTATGATTTGGAAGTAGGTCTTTCTAGAGGTAGAGTGATAAGTTGGATGATTTCTCAAGGTCTTTTCCAGTTTTATATGAACTTTAAATGATATTGCCTTTGGCAAAAAAAAAAAAAATCCTCCTCTTCTACATTTGCTACATTTTCCTTCCCTCAATAGATTTGTCAAAGCATCTGGCCAGAAGTCTAAAAATAGCCTCTAATGGCTGTCCCTCTTCTCCCTTCCTGAGGGTTACCATGGGAATAGCGTATGAAGGATGGAAGCATCTGAGACAGCACTGAGAAGCCTTTGGGGTCTGCAGCCTCCAGCTCTGAGAGAGCCGACCTAGATGGTAATAAAGATAGGCCATTTTTTCCTTTCTGTTTATTAAAAAGATGAATCTTAGGGATGCCTGGAAGCCTTACAACAACCTGCAGCACATGCAGATGTGTTGGAAAGGGATGGAAATTACTGCAAATCAGACTAAGGAGTTACCAAATAGCTAACCTATGTCCTCAGCCTGCACATCGCCCTGCAGTAGCCACAGCACAACAATGAGTACTTTAGTCACCCCCTCATCTTGGGACAATTGTGGAGCTTCCACATCCACTGAAACTAATCCTGGAATTCAGGCCAAGAATTATTATCCACCCATCCCCCACAGAAGATCAGCACGGAGCAGGCTCAGCTCCTCAGGCAGATGCAAATCCAGTGGGTTATTTCAAGCTATGTCTTTTTAGCTCTAGCCTCGCACTGATTTTAAAAGCCCTCCTGAAATGGGTCTCCTAGCCTTGCCCCAGTGAGTCCCCAAATCACTGAGAACTTAGAGGCCTCCAGAAAGCTGCAAGAATTCAGACCTTAAGCAATTTGTTTAAATAAATAAAAAATAACACATTTGAATATCAGTGGCAGACATAATGCTAATAACTTTATATTCATCAATTCCTCACAATAACTTACATAGTGTTGCTGTATTTACAGATCTAGAAACCTAGGCTCAGAAAGAGTAAGTATCCTCATATCCTTGACAAGGAGACAGAGTTGACGTTCAGCAAAATTAGAAAATTGGAACTCAGTTGTGCACCATTCCAAAGTCCACGTGCTTTCCACTGAGCCAAGACGAAACACTGAACCACACGTGGTTTTGCTACCCACTCCTGAGGATAAAGTTGTTACTAAACTACAAACTGCTATTGGCCTAATTCATTGCTGGTGAGATAATGGTTGTGAATTAAAGAGGTTTGCCTCTTTAATAAATTATGGTCCCACATGTATCGGTCACTTACATCACACGGGGCATGTTGAATATTTTTTTTTCAGTCTAAAATGATTTCTTTGAGATGGGTGAGGGAGAGATATTTTTTCCTATACATAAAGGCAAAGAGGCAAAGTGATTAGCTCAAAGCAATACAGCACGTCAGTAGGCAAACTGGGACTAGACCCAGATTTCTTGATTATCAGGCAGTGGGCCAACCTGGCTCCAGGAACAGCGATTTTAAATAGCAGGCACATGCGGCTGGAAGCAGGGCTGTGGGCCTAGTAAAGGGCAAGAAATTTTACATATATCGCTCTCTCTCCCTCTCCATGATATTCTGTAAACCTCTATAGTTAAATGTGCATTATGAGATTCTTCTTAATACTAAATTTGAGTAAATAAATCTCTGCCCACCTTGCTCTCAAATCACATCTTGAATTCTTATTCTTGCACTTAATATGATTTGTAAATAAACTTTATCCACAGCAAGCTTTATCCACATCAGGCTTCTCTCTTAGCTTATTTCCTAGATCTGTTTCCATTCTAACCATACTCTCTATTCAGCTCTGAAGGTGAGTGGTAATTTTCTACATCAAATTCCCCTCCTCACATTTGGACCACAAAACATCAAAAGGAACTTCTCTATGTGCCTCTATAAGACACAAATTATAAAAAATAATTATTTATCACATGACTGCTGCATATTTATATGCAGTTCTAGAGACTGCAAAAGGAACTCTACATATGCACTTTTCATTTATCATAGTGGTAAAGATTATGGCCCAGGTTTTATAGACATGGAAACTAAGATGTGGAAATAAAGTTAAGGTGCCCAAATGAGTTAGAGGGGAAAAGGGAGCAGAACCAGAATTTGAACCTAAGTCTGCCTCCTAAGTCCTTACTCTTTCCTTAAGAAGATGTTATATAACCTTCTTAAATACAATGACCAAAGGACCACCCTGTTCTAAAATAGTGGTAAAATGTACCATGAAGAGGCTGTCACAGGGACAGTCCTAGAAATTCCATTACTCATCCCTACGCTTTCTTCTAATCTCTGGTTAAATGTCACTTCTCAGACAGGCCTTCCCTCATCGCACTATGGGAAACCCCTCTATCCTCTTACCCAGTTCTTTGCTAGTACTGCTGGATGTTACATTGTATATACTAACTGGTTCACTATCTATCCACACACATTAAGACATAAACTCACTGAAGCAAGGACTTAGTTTTTTTCATTAGAACTAAGAACCCAGAATATAACCTAGTGCATATGGATACTCCATAAATATTTTCTGGCCTCTTTTCCATACATTTAATCAGAACTTGGTGGCCGGTAATTTCCCCCTTAGTAACCGGATAATCCTGGACAGTTTCCTGACCAGTCTTAGTTTTCTTATCTTTAAATATAGACACTAGTGCCTATTTCATGGGGATTTGTGAGGTTTGAATGATTAAATGCATAGAAAAACCCTTATTAGGAAGACTAATGAATCATGAACTCTCAGTAAATGATATATTTTTATTAATATTATTATAAAATGTTATTGACACATATCAGCACTATCACCATTATTGCTATGAACAAAAAATCCAAATCCACAGTCTTCAACCTCATAAGCTCAAATGGCAAACTTTAACCTCATAATTACACAATGATCAAAAAAACAATCTCTTATTGAGGTAAATTGCTCTTTTCTAAAAAAAATCAACAACAGCATTTATTTTTCTCATGAATTTGCAATTTGGCTATGGCTAGGTGAGGACAGCCCATCTGTTCTACACTTCCCACCAGCTGGGGAACTAGAAGCCTGGGGCTGTAATCATGTGAAGAACCTTTCACTCACATGACTGGCAGTTGATGCTGGCTGGTGGCTAGGATTGTAGCTGAAGCTGTCTTCCAGAACACCTACTCATAGCCTTGTCCTGTACTTTCTTGTAACATGGTGTCAGGTTCAAAGGGTAAACATCCTAAAAGAGCAAGGGCCGGGTGGAAGACTTATTGCTTTCTAGCCTTCACTTGGAATCACTTTTGCTGTACTCTATTCATGAAAGCAGTCATGAAAACCCACACAGATTCAAGGGGAGAGGAAATAGACTCCCACTTCTTGATAGAGGAATGGCAAAGTTCTGGAAGACCATGTGGAACCAGAGATCTTGCTGTGGCCATTGTTTTTGGTGGGGGAAAGTATAATTTCCATGCAACCTGGTAAGTTTGCTACAATCCAGAGTCTTGGCCCTCAGACATGCAACCTGGGAAATTCACCATTGGCTGGCTTTTTGGATCAAGATACTGATGTGTAAGACTAGAATGCCTATTTATTATTTACAATAAAAAGAACATGTCCTTGACGTAGGACCGCTCAAATTCTCTATGCTTTCAATATTCTTAGTGAGCATAGAATCAGAACAAAGGAGTAAGGGATTTGATTCAATGGCTTGAATAGGAGCAGGTCAAATTATGTCTGAATTTTTGAGTTGTCAAAGGGATATGAATTATTAGTATTCAGTGACTGAGACTTCTGGGGTTTCTCTCGATGCTTCCCTCTGTGATTCCCCTTTGTGTAGCTTCCTTAGCTGATCAACTGCTCCTTTGGAATATTCTTTCTTTGGGTGTGCTGTTCCACTCAACCTCATCAATCTAGGTTGGCTGAGGGGAGCCATTCTGCTCCTATGAGTATGACTTTCCAATTTAATTTTCTAATTTATCTTGTCTTGATCTTATAGGGTATATCTCAGAAAGCAACCCTAATTCTTTTATTTCTTATTTCTTATGGGAAGAAGAAGTACAACTACTGACAAGAGAGTTCACAGTAGTCAAGGTGGGAGAAGGTGGTTTGGACTAAGGTAATGTTGGTGAGGTAGGGGGTGGTCAAGTGAATGGAAAGGGGTTAGGATGGTATAGTCAGCTTTGTTGGTGCTTTGTGTAGGCCCCTTCACGAGGTCAGTGCCTCAATCCCCCAGGTGGTGTGAGTGTTGCTTGCTAACGGCTCTCAGCTGCCTTCTTCTTTGGAGAATTGGTCTCACTCAGTGGAGCCTACTCAGCTAGAAAAGTGGTGGGAACATAAAGTTTATAACCAACAACTAACTGATACTGGAGTAATAAAGCCCTGCTCTCTTTTCTCAAAATGAGGCAACTCTGCCCTTCACATTTGTTTGGGATATGCTATCAATTCTGATCATGAAAAACAATAGAGTCAAGCATATATAAGCATACAGCAGATGTCATAAAAATCTCTCCAAGTTCAGTTGCCCACTTTGTGGCATAACAGAGATGCATAAGCATAATCTTTGCATAAAAAGATTTCTTCAGAGTGTTTTCTATTTTCTCAGTGCTCTCAGATCAAATAAGTGAATTTCAGTTATTTCCTCAGGAATTATCCATTTGTCCACATCAATTACTGAATGAGCCTAGACGTTAACTGCAAAGACAATGAACCCAATAAATCTTCCACACCAAAAGAAAATCGCTGATTATTAGGCAAATGCAAATCAAAACCACAATGAGATATTATCTCATGCCAGTCAGGATGGAGATTATTAAAAAATCAAGAAACAACAGATGCTAGTGAGGATGTGGAGAAAAGGGAATGCTTTTACACTGTTGGTGGGAATGTAAATTAGTTCAACCATTGTGGAAGAAGTGTGGTGATTCCTCAAAGATCTAGAAGCAGAAGTACCATTTGACCCAGAAATCCCATTACTGAGTATATACCAAAAGGAATACAAATCATTCTATCATAAAGATACATGAACACATACGTTCATTGCAGCATTACGATGACTGGGATCTACCTCTTTAGCAACGTATATCAGAGGAAACTAAGACTCACTCAGTTTAATTATTTGAGTCAAACTTTTCTTTAGGAACAAAAATGTTGCTGTGCAAAGAAAACCAATCTCAAGCCTTTGCTTTGACAGTTAGTAGCTGTGATGGTTAATGTTATGTGTCGACTTGGCTAGGGGATGCTCAGATATCTGATTAAACATTATCTCTGGGTATGTCTGTGAGGGTGTTTCTGGAAGAGATGAGCATTTGCAATGTAATGAGCATTTAGAAGCAGATAGCCTTCCCTGATGTAGGTGGTCAACGTACCATCTGTTGAGTGAGTGAATAGAACAAAAAGGCAGAGGAAGGTTGGATTTGCCTTCTCTCTACCTGGCTGCTTGAGCTAAGACATCAAGCTTCTCCTGACCTTGGTGCTTCTGAATCTTATGCCTTCAGACTCAAACTTAAATCTACACCATCAGTTATCTGGATGTCAGGTCTTCAAACTACATCATTGGATTTCCTGAATCTTGAGCTTGAAGACTACAGGTTGTAGGGCTTCTTAGCCTCCATAATCCCATGAGCCTATACCATGTAATAAATCTCTTCCTAGATATAGATATCTGGATACATAGAGAGAGAGAGAGAGAAATATAGACATAAATATAGACATATAGACATAATGTAGACATATAGACATAGATATTATACAAATATAGATACTATATTGGTTCTGTTTCTCTGGAGAATGCTGACTAATATAGTAGTGGTATGAATTTGAGGAGGTCCATTTACTTTTCCAGGACTAGGTTTTCTGTTCTCTAATATGGGAATAGCTACAGTCTCGCCTACAAGAGAGTTGTAGGATTATATGTAAAATCCACATGAAGACACATTGTTAATTATAAATATTCACAAACATGCCATCTATCACTACTACCCAAAGTGTCATAGCTGGAAGAAAGAGGGATTAGAATCTAATTCAGAAATATCTCCCGGTAACCACATTCCTACTAAACAAAAATGTCTATCTTGTAATATGAATATCTTGGCTTCTATACATATTGTCAAAAATGCTATGTATTGGCATTTTACATTTTGCTAATCTCTGTAGATAAAACTGATATGAGGATGACCACCAAAATCATCATATTCAGGAGCCTCTAATCTCAAAATTATGAGCTTACAACAGTTAAAAGCCAGGCAGCGAATAAGTCAGGAACATCTTGCAAATGGAGAAATTTCTAAAATATTTTTCCTCTTATTTGTTAAAATATTCAAGTTGCAGACCAGAAGAAAAGGGACTACAATATTGAACAATGGCATCAGAGTATTAAGTGGCTAGAGAGCCCCGCATTAACCATTTTCGTAACACCCTTCATCTTTGTTACAAGAACCCCAGTGCTCTCTCTTAAAGGGAAAGGTGCCCTTTCTCTTCTACTGTATTTTATATATTATATCTACAATATTATATAAGATTAAAGTGTTTCTCAATTTTCTGCATCAAGAAAAATGCCTGAATAATCACCTAAATGCAGCCAATCCCTTTCTGTGCATTTGGATGCTGTAAGAATCTACTTTACGGGTTGAAATACCTGTACTTCGTCTCAGCCTGATTCTTTCATAAATGTCAGTGTGATGAAGAGAAGTTATTTCAGTCCCTGTAGAATTCCCAGAATAGACTGAGAACTGAGGGCAAGAAAGCCAGTGAAAATTCAGAATTTGAGAAAATTGGACACAGCCTCAGGGAAACCCCCATTCCCATTTCCTCCTCAGGCTTCCAGGCTTCACTCTTATGTCTCTCTGACTGTACTAATGATCATGGTCCCAGTGTCACCTAAATACACTGAACTCCAGGGAAGTAAGAGCTAGAGGCCATTTATGAAAGCTTGGTTGGTGCAGAAAGCTAATATTTTTTATAAATAGCGAGTCCTTTAACTCTATAAGTAAGGTAGGTACTGTTATTATCTTAGCTTTACAAATGAAAAACCTGGGGCACAGAGAAGTATGTGACAGGACTAATGTCAGGCAACTAGCAAATGATGGAGCTAGTATTTGATTCAAGTAACTTACAGAACTCAACTATTTATATGACCTTATTAGCCATGTTCTGACTCTCTCTATATCCCAACTCATGTGATAAACAATAAGAAATTAGAGGGACTAATACAGGATTTATGAATTTTAAAGTTGTTTTTTTTTTTTTTTTTTTTTTGAGATGGAGTCTTGGTCTGTGGCCAGGCTGGAGTGCAGTGGCGTGATCTCAGCTCTCCACCTCCCAGGTTCAAGCGATTCTCCTGACTCAGCCTCCCAGGTAGCTGGGATTATAGGCACGGGCCACCACACCCAGCTTTTTTTTTGTGTGTGTGTGTATTTTTAGTGGAGAGGGGGTTTCAACATATTGGCCAGGAGGGTCTCGATCTCCTGACCTCGTGATCTGCCCACCTTAGCCTCCCAAAGTGCTGGGATTACAGGCGTGAGCCACCGGGCCTGGCCCAGAGTTTCTTAAATACATAGAGATTAAAAATAGTGTATTGGTTTCCTATTGCCGCTGTACTAAATTACTACAAAGTTAGTAGTTTAAAAACACAAAAAATTTATCTCAACAATTTCATGGTTTAGAAGTCTCATATGGGTTTCAATGGACAGAAATCAAGGTGTCAGCAGACTCATACTCCTTTTGAAGGCTCAGGGGAGAATTCCTTGTCTTGCCTTTGCCGGCTGCTAAAGGGTCCCCCATTCTGTGGATAATGGTCCCTTCCTCCATCTCTGATTCTGATCTTCCTGCCTCCTTTTTATAAGGACCCATGTTATTACACTGGGTCCATCCAGTAATCCAGGATAATATCCCCATCTCAAGAACCCTAACTTCATCACATCTACAAAGTCTCCTTAACTGTAAATTAACATATTCACAGGTTCCAGGGATTAGGAGAGGGACACCTTTCGGCAGGGTGCGGGTGGGGGCGGGGAGCTTTATTCAGCAGCCTATCACAGACAGATGGATTTTAAATACCAAGTTATAGGCATAAGACTAAAGGGCTTATTGGACTACATCTTCCTCGTGCTTATCAACTTGCTCTAGAAACACAATCTGATGGTAATTCTAATAAGGTAACCATGAAACACACTGTTCTTCCAAGACCCTTGATACAATCACTTGTGTGTAGGACTTTTCTCCAAGATGCTACTGAAGAAATGGAAAGGGCATAAAAAAGAAACAAGTGCATTAAAGAAGGGGAGATAATTTGCCTGTTCTTTATCTATCTTTTCTACTGGTTTCTATCTCTTATCTTGCAATATGCTTTCCTTTCAGGTATTAAAAAAAAAAAAAAGCCCTAGAAATTGCTGTGAAAAGCAAACACAGAGCATGACTAAGTGAGGTACTTCGCATTACATGAAAAGGAAGACACAAATGAAAATGTTTTAAATTTTTGCATAAAGCCAGAGGTTGAATTTGTCTATGTGCTCCACAAAGGAATCTAGATAATTTTTCAGCTCAGCTTCAAAGAAAACAAATAACGACAAGATTTCAAAAGCAAAAAAATGTTGCCTTCCCATCTCTTCTGCAATTTCCCCAAATTAGGTTGCTTTAATTAAAGCACCTAAATTGTGAAGCACATGAAACATACACAAGTAGATGTGTGCAATAATAGTTAAAACTATAAAAGTCATCTTTTTTCACTACATGTACTATACCATTTGGCATGACTGATGTAGTTTTGTAAAGGAAGGTTAACATTTATTATTGATTGTATATTCAAACTAAAAATAAATGCAGCTTTTGAAAACAAGATTGATTGCTATATCATTATCAGAAGGAAGAAAAAATTATTTCTGGAAACATTGGGAATTGTTTCTGGAAAGGAAAGCAGACTCTGCTTGGTTTGTCACCACAGCTCCTCAGTGGAGCTAATTATTAGATTTTGGAGATTTAGCCATTAGGAAAGGCAATCTAATGAAATTATTGAACAAAATAATAAGTCTCATTAAGTGGCAGATTTTATCATGTACAATTTTATCAGTAACCCAATCAATATTGGAAAAAGCAATCATTGAATGAAGTCTATATTCCAAGCATTATGTCAATTGAATGTACTGCCATAATCTTCACAACATACTATGCAATAGATATTATTATTTCTTTTTCATTGACAAGGAAAATGAACTACAGGGAGATTTCTAACTTGCTTAAGGTCACAAAATCATGAGACTCTTTTCCCATTGGCAAATACAACATCCCTCGTCCCTAAGTTTTCCCTGACATGTCTGGTCACTCCTCTGTGTCCAGCTAGGGTCACTCTTTCCCCTGAGCCTTCTGGTTCTCAGAGTCTCTCAGCTTTGTCCACTGACCACCTCATCCTCTCTGATGACCTCGTCCAAAATTTCAACAGCTAACTGAAGGCTGTTGAAGCCCCCAAATGTACATCCTCAGCTCAGACTCCTTTCCTACAACCCAGACTTGAAGTCCAGCTATCTGCACTCTACTTGCAAATACTTCCTACACCTTGAATTCATGAAACCTACCAAAACCAGGTCAAGCAGCACTATCTCTAGGGAGCCCTTCAAAACTCTCCATTCGGTGGGTTGTGCGCTGCCCATCTTCTGCACCCCCAGCACTAACTCCGCACCATTACGTACTTTCTGAGATCAAAAAGTGTATGTTATGTAATTTTGCATCCTCTAGACTTAATAGAATATCTGAAACATGATCATAGACACTGCTTTGGTCTAAATGACTGTGTCCCCTAAAAATTCATATGTTGAAATTTAATCCTCAATGCAATAGTATTAAGAGATGGGGCTTTTGAGAGGTGATTAGGTCATGAAGGCAGAAAACTCATGAATGGGATTAGTGCCTTTATAAAAGAGGCCAGAGGGAACTGGGTTTTTCCTTTCACCATGTGAGGATACAGCAAAAAGTTCCCATCTATGAGGAAAAAGCCCTCATCAGGGAAGCAATCTGCTCACTGTGATCTTGAACTTTCTATGCTCCAGAACTGTGAAAAATAAATTTTGTTGTTTATAAATTGCCCAGTCAAGGGTATTTTGTTATAGCAGCCTGAATAAGCTAAGACAGACAGTAAGCACATATTTGTTGAATAAGAATAAACTAAAATTTGAATGTAAGGCAGTCTGATTCTAAAGTGAATACACTTTTCACACTAGGATAATAACACAATGTGACATAAGATAAATTTTTTAAAAAAGAAAAATACCAATAATGTTTTAATTCAAAATAAGCAAGCCAACAAAATCTCACTAGTACAATATCAAATAATTGTCACTTAAGGAAGCATTTGCAGTGACCTTTTTCCTGTCTCATTAACAATTTTTAACATAACGATGATGACTAATTTCCTCCTAGCCAAATACTTGAGGTGGAAATTCAGGTTGTTGCTGTGGCATGGCTATTCCACTGGGTATATATCATTCTGAACAGTATAATTTTATAGCTCTTGCCTCTGATTAAATTGAAACTACATTGCCAGGCCAAAAGCTTCAGGCTGAGTGTTGCACAGCAGCCAACTGCTTACCCTGAGCAACATGATATATTCAAACAAATCACCAGAAGGACTCTTTTGCTTGCCCTTATCTTGTCATTTTAACAACATATAGAGAAGGAAAAGGCTGAAAAACTTGTTTACAATTAAAAGGAAATAATGCGGTAGTTTAAGTTAATTATTTTAAAACACTGGAGAGTAAGACAGTAAAGTGATGCTCAAAAACATGTATTTGTGAGAAGAGAAAGGAGGAATAAAATAAGCTAACCACCTCTAAAATAAGACAGAGAGCATCGTTATCCTTTACTACGTGGTTAAATGCTTGTGCAGATGTTAACCATGGCTGAAGAAAGCCAAGCCTGTGCCCTTCACATCATCTACCCTCCACCTGGTAGCACTCACTGTAAAGTTACCTAAAAAGTCTGCAAGAAAATAACCACCCTCTGTAGAGCTCAATTTACAATCCAAACCTCTATGCCACAGCCACTTCTTCAGCCAGAACTGGGAGGGAGAAAGCATCTTTCTCTCTATTTTCAAAGCTGTGAGAATATAAGTATAGAAGATGCCAGACATGGTGTTACCACTCCCAAAGGTAAGGAAGAAAAGAAGGAAAGAAGAAGCAGAAAGGAAAAAAGAAAAGGGGTCTTGGCAGTGTTTCCACTTTCACTGTCCATCTCCTTTCGTGCCATATCCATGATTTATTTACATGAGTCCATAAATAAATTTCTCCTTCTTTCTTTTTATGAGGTTTTTTTACATTTCTGTCATGAGCAACTGTCTGAGTCAGCTTGGGTGGGTATAACAAAATATCCTAAACTGGGTGACTTATAAACAACAGAAATTTATTTCTCACAGTTCTGGAGGCTGGGAAGCCCAAAAGCAAGACATTAGTAGATTCTGTGTCTGCTGAGGGCCTGTTCCTTATAGATGGTATCTTCTCCGCGTGTCTTCACATGGTGGAAGGGGCAAACAAGCTCCCCTTGGCCTCTTTTATAAGAGCGCTAATCTCATTCATAAAGGAAGAGTGAAGGTGACCTAATCAGCTCCTAAAGGATTCACCTCCTTTACCATGACCTTGGGAGACACTTTCCAATATATGAATTTTGAGAGTGTACAAACATTCAGACCATGACTCCAACCAAGACACTGACTGATACAACCAAGATTCCAGCAGATTTAGTGAGCTAGATTGATTATGTCTTTTGTCCTCCAAAAATAAAAACCTTTCCCAAAACAGCCTTTTTTGAAATAAAGGAGGTAGCATTTTTCACATGCTTTGGGCATAAATTTATCTCATATAGCACCTGGACTTGCACAGAATTAATGCAGACCTTAAGAATGCCTGGCTGAGCTCCTTCCTCTTGACTTCTGGTACACACAGTATTAAGAATTCTGAATTTAGAGGTAGGAAACGTAAGTTTTGAATCTTATCTCTGGTACTCTGTAGCAAGGTGATTTATAACTGATTCTGGTATTCATAAAATAGATAAAAACGTACCTACATATCCATGCCACCCAGCCCTTATGAGGATCAAAGAAAATGAATGGCAAGACTATACCTTTATAAAAATGCATAACTGGCTGTTATTAATTACTGGCATTCCCCAAGGCACGGTCTCTGAACCTCTGATATCTTTTCTATGAATTTCCTCCCATGAAGATTCATCTATTTGATTGCATAAAGCTATCATCTTGCTGTTCCTGGATCCAAGATTAATATTTCTTTTCTTTTTTTCTCGCTTGTGCTATAGTCTAACAGACATAGCACATTTAAAATCCTGATACAATCTCAAACTCAACAAGTCTAAAAGTAAACTTTTCCCCAATTCCATGTTTTCTCTGATCTTCCCTTTGGTTGGTCCATCTTCTACCAGACCCTGTAGTCACCTTCCATCCAGTCTTCTCTAGTCATCAGACTCAATCATAGGCCAATTTATATTGGGGTGGTATCCTTATAAATGTTCTCTCTTATCTGTATTGCTCTGTTCCTATTGCTGCCTTCCTATTGCCAAACGTGTTACAATTATAAAAATACACACTTTGTTAGGATACAAATCTTATTTGCTGTCTTTGTCACTGATACCTAGAATACAGTTTCTCAACCTTAGCACCATTGATATTTTGGATCACATTTTTAATTTCTGGAGGGAAGAGGTGCTGTCCTATACATTGTAGAGTGTTTAGAGGTATACATGGCATCTACCCATTAGATAGCAGTGGCAACCCCCAAGATGTAAAAACCAAAAATGTCTCTATATATTGATAAATGTCTTCTAAAAGGCAAATTTACCCACTTGAGAGCCACTGACCTAGGGCAATATCTGGCACATAGCAGGTGATGAAAAAATATTTCTTGAATGAATAAGTGATAAATATGTACCTCTACTTTAGTGATGCTCATGCTCTTCTCCATAAATCTGTCATTGCTGTTGTTGTTGTTCTCATTTTCATAACTTTGGTTTAGTTGTTTTCCGTGCTCTAGATGCTCCCTGCCTGTTACCTTAACCTAAGACCCACAGGAGGTGCTTATTAAAACTAAGTGTCCAGGACTCTGCCCTGGAAATTCTGATTCAGAAGCTCTAGAACTGGGCCCAGGGATCTTATTCGTTAGCAAGTACTTCTAGCGATCCATAAAATTGTGTAAGTTTGGGAATGAACACTGAACTGGAAGTCAAGACATCAGAGTTCCTTTCCCAGGACCACTAAACTAGCTGGGTGGGCACAGAGAACTTAACTTCAAGGCTTCACTTTCAGTATATTTCCCTCTAATTTATATACACAAATTTTCTTTCAAGGATAAACAAAATAACTATTTATTGAACAATTAACTATGCATCAGGCAATGTGCCAAGTGATTTCCCATGTTATTGAAAATTTACCTATATGTGTTATTTTTTAGAAAGGTGGAAGCTGAGACTCAGAGATATAAAACAATTTGTCCTAGTTCACATAGCTATGATGTGGAAAACCAGGATTTAACTCTGGTACCTCTATATCCCAAACTGATAATGCGATTCATTTATTAACTTGCCACATCCAGCCCTTCCATTAAGGGCTTTGTGGCTTCCTCCTGCTCTAAAACATCGTCCCTTCTCTCCTTACTCTTCAGTCCATGCTTTCCTGTGTCATTTATTAATGGCATCATATCTACAAAGTAAATTGTGAGCACCATGAAGGCAAGGTTCAGGTTTTCAAGGTCTTTTGAGTTATTATTATAGTTATCTATTTTTTATTACTTTCCACTTCTGAAATAAAACAGTATAAGGAAATAGAAAGAGCAAGGAAAATTAAATATTCTGAAATTCCTGCAAGACACAAGATGCTTTTACAAAATGTGGTCAACAGATCACCAGCATCAGCTCTCCTGTGATGCAGGTCCCAGACCCTGGTCCCACTAATTTTGTTATAGTAACCCTGTTGCTGGAGTAAGAAGCCCTCATGATTATTAGACACACTGCAGATTGCAAATCACAGAAACCTGAAGGCTTGCAGTGTTTTCACCATAAGACTGAATTTTCAAACTGCATATTTTATTTGTGCCCCATAGAGAGTAACCAAACATTCTACAGAAAGTTTGCCTATTCTTATGACTGTCAAGGGATGAGACTGTCACTTTCTTTTTCTCATTTTCACTGAAAGAGCTTCTAATTAAAACCTCCCACTGAGCTAACAGTGAGTCAGGTTCAGGTAACTACTGTGCCTTATTTCCTTGATTTTGTGAGGGAAGATAGAGTGAAATCTTATTTAAAAATACAATTTTTCTTTAAAAATACTCATCTGATTTTTAAATAAACTTCAACTCCCCCACCTTTTCTCGGTATATATGTTTCACAATGCATCCAGTTTACCATATCTGGAGTATTCAAAATTAATTATATCACATTTCTTCCTCTTGCATTTTGTAGAAATAATTTCATTGTTGTTACCATGCCTACTATCAGAATAGTTTCCAATTACGATGCTCTAGTCCCACACAGATAATTTTAGCTTTACTCTCTCTTTTAAAGACAGGACAAGAACAAGCTGTGAATTGAAACTCTCACAAACATGTTTTGAAATTATGTGCTCAAGTTGCTGTGTTAGTTTTGCATATATATCAAATTAATAAGGAAAAATGTTTCTTGATAGTTTCCTAAATTGACCTTTCTATATTATTTTTTTTAAAGAGGGAAAATGGATATTGCCACATACCTTAACTCTGTTTGTTTGTTTTGATTTTCAATAGTGGGGATAATTTTGTCTTCTAGAATTTACACACTCATTGATACGTATCATAAGATGACTGATCAATGTTAGGCCCTTCAGTTTATTACCTTTAAAGAGAAGCTTGATCTACACAATGCCAACTAAGGCCCACACCATGGTGTTATAGGGATAATATTGTTCTAGGAATCAGAAGTCCCAGATCTTATTTCTAGTTTGGTCACAACTCTGGAGCCTTTATGTTATCCTTCTGGAACTCATTTGCCTCTCCGTTAAATAAGAGGGGTGGATTAAATCAGGGGAATCAAATTGAAAGGTTTTTCAGGAGCTGAAAAACAAATGTGGGAAGCAGATGTCGGAAGCCAAATAATTATGTAATTCAACAGGGAATAGTGGGAACTATGAGGAACTGAATTTTCATTCCTCCTCAATAGGCATTCAAATTAAAAATAATTTTAAAACATGGTTATAAACAAACCTCTGAAAGTCAAACTTAGCCTTCAGGTTACTTACAATTCCTGACCTAGAGAGTTTTTCCAGTACCTTCTGGTTTTAACTATGCATTAGTCTAAAATAGCAAGTAATGGTAATTGAAACTACCAAAGATAATAACAAGTGTTAACATTTGCTTAGGGCATACTGTATGCCAGGCTCTTATCTAGGGACCTCACTTACAGCTAGTCATTTTAGTTCTCACAACAACTCAGTGAGGTAGATTTATGGTTACAATTCCTCTTTCCCAGAGGAAGAAATTGAGGCAGAGAGAGTTTGAATAACTTGTCCAAATTAATCCATTTATATTTCTGTATGTATAAGAATTATACACACAGGAATATATATTATTCTACACCATACAATAGAGCAAATCAGGCTTAATCAATTTCATAATTGATTAAATATATTCATGTTATAAACCTTAATAAGAGACTTAATGAAGAATAAAAGTAATATTTGAAAATATTTTATATGGCAACATTATTTAATGTTCTATTCCACTAAAAGTAGTAAATAAAATTATTTTGATGTCTCTCTATCACTGAAATAACACCATATGCTTAGAGGACAAATTGTAATTATAAGCCCTAGAGCAAAAACGAGAGTAAAAAGTGAATTATCTAAAATGTGGATAATTTTTAAAGTTAAATGACAAAAGATTTTATCAATGCCATTTTAAAGCTAATATAGGCTCAGAATAACAAAATCAGAAAAGTTTTCTAGAAGCCAACTAATATTATTCCTTGATTCATTTATTGCAATATATTAAAGTTGTCAATCTAATCATAGAAAGTAACAATTTATTTTCTTCCAAAATGCCAAATGAGATCACAGTCATTGAAACTTAATAATTTGCATTTTTTGTTTCAGCTCCAGCATGTAAAGAGGTTGAAAGTTGTTGCTCCCATCCTTACAACAAGATAAAACTAGACAATACTGAAAATTAGTCAGTTTTGGGGTGTTCATGAAAGAACTAAGGTTGCAGGACAAAATGCCACCCTGAAAACTATAGAGACAGATGCATTCAGAGAGCTGTAGCTAAGATCTGCTCATCTGAAGCAGAAGTAACTGAAGCCATAAATTGGTAAGAATATTTACATGGTAATTTTGATAAGCTGCTGGAGGCAAAGTGTGTACTAGCATGAGAGGGAGAAAGACCAAGGGGCCACTGTCTTAGGAGGACTCCCACACTTTAATTCCAGGGTTTTACCTCCAGGAATTCCAGCAGATTCTCACCATGAAGAACTCAGAAAGATCCTCCCATGGCTCTGGCAGGCAGAGGAGCAGAAATAGAATAATCACTGTTCAGTGTGCCCAGAGCCGTCTCCACCACCGAGGCCTGCTCTCCACGGGTAAAGGCTTTGCCAGAGCATTATCTCAATTAAGAAAAGGACATTGCTCCCACTCGGCCCTTCTAATACTTCTGTCTCAACTAAGGGGAAAAAATAGATAACAGGACTCCAAGGAACTAGATCAGGAACACAGATGGAGAATGGAGTAGATGGCAGTGGTGGAGGAGGATATACCCCTGGGCAAACACTGTGAAGGTCACAATGCAGAGACCCAGACTCATCAAAAGACAGAGATGTAATCATAATATAATGGAATCTTCTCCCTCTCCCACATATTGCCACCATACTATCTGGACTCCAGTACAATAATAAAGAATTGTAACTGAAGGAAATACAAGATAAATATTCTTTCTCAGCATGGGTGCTTAGGCAATTTCAAAGTTAGGAGGCAAGACAAAAACAAGAGCATTAGAGGGAAACCTTTCCTCTAAGATATGAAACAAGACAAGGATGCCTACATTCACCATGATTATTCAACATAGTACTGGGAGTCCTAGCTAAAGCAATCAGATAAGAGAAAGAAATAAAATTCATCCAAATTGGAAAGGAGGAAGTCAAATTATCCTTGTCTGCAGATGATATGATCTTATATTTGGAAAAACCTAAAGACTCCACCAAAAAACGGTAAGAACTGATAAACAAATTCAGTAAACTTGCAGGATAAAAATCAACGTACAAAATTCATATTATTTCTATATGTCAACAGTGAACAATCTGAAAAAGAAATCAAGGAAGTAATATCATTTACAATAGCTACAAATAAAATAAAATCCTAGAAATAAACTTAACCAAAAAAGTGAAAGATCTCCACAATGAAAACTACAAAACATTGATGCAAGAAATTGAAGAGGACACACACAAAAATAAAAACATATTTTATGTTCATGAGTTGGAAGAATCAACATTGTTAAAATGTCTAGCCAAAGCAATCTATAGATACAGTGCAATGCCTATCAAAATACTGATGACATTCTTTACAGAAGTAGAAAAAGCAATTCTAAAATTTATCTGGAACCACAAAAGACCCAGAATAGTCAAAGCCATCCTAAGCAAAAAGAATAAAACTGGAGGAATCACATCACATAATTTCAAATGATACTACAGAGCTATAGTACCCAGAACAGCATGGTACTGGCAAAAAAAAAAACAGACACGTAGACCAATGGAACAGAATACAGAACCCAGAAATAAATCCATACATCTACAGTGAGCTCATTTTCAGCAAATGTGTGGAAAACATACACTGGAGCAAAAATTGTCTCTTTAATTAATGGTGCTGGGAAAACTGAATATCCATATGCAGAAGAATAAAATTAGACCCATATCTCTCACCATATACAAAAATAAAATAAAAATGAATTAAAGACAAATATAAGACCTCAAACTATGAAATTCTACAAGAATATATGGGGAAAATCTCCAGTACATTGGTCTGAGCAAAGACTTCTTGAGTAATACCACAAAGCAGAGGGAACCATGAGTACAACCACTATAGAGAACAGTGTAGAGGTTCCTTAAAAGACTAAAACTGTTATGGAACTACCATATGGATGCAGCAATCTCAGTGCTAGGTATATAAACAAAAGAAAGCAAATCTGTATATCAAAGAGGTATTTGCACTCCCATGTTCGTTGTAGCACTATTCACAATAGCAAAGATCTGGAGGCAACCTACTGTGTTCATCAACAGAGAATGGATAAAGAAAATGTTGCACATGCACACAATGGAGTACTAGTCACTAATCAGCCATAAAAAAGAATGAGATCCTGTCACTTACAACATGAATGGAACTGGAAGACATTTTGTTAACTAAAATAAGCTGACACAGAAAGACAAGCTTCACATATTGTAACTCATTTATTGGGGCTAAATATTAAAACAATTGTACTCATGGAGATAGAGAGTAGAATAATGGTTACCAGTGGCTGGAAAGAGTAGTGGGTGGGTGGGGGAAATTTGGATGGTCAGTGAGTACAAAAATATAGTTAGATGCAACGAATCAGATCTAATTTTTGATAGCACAACAGGGTGACTGCAGTCAGCAATAATTTGTTGTACATTTTACAATAACTTAGAGAATTCAATTGAAATGTTTATAACTCAAAGAAATGATAAATGCTTCAGGTGATGGACACCTCATGTACATTGATGTGATTATTATACATTTTATGCCTATATCAAAATATCTCATATCTCAATATATACATACCTACTATGTATCCATAAAAAATAAAAACTTTAAAAACATATGTTACAATTGCTATACATGTATATGAGAATTGAAATATTAAGTAAATAGATGATGGGTGATGGGAGCCAAGTTTCTTATTGTTGAGAGTGGGAATTTAGAAATAAGCAAGGGAAGGAGACTAGAATCATCCATGTGGTAATGGATTAGAGTCATGGGCACCAGTATGAACTCGTGTTTAGCTTGATTCAGATACAAATGGTTGCATATGGAAATATTTATAGATGTGGAAATACACAGGATAGCATACCCACATATATTTCCTTGGTCTGTCAGCTGAGAGGTCCTAGAAACAATGACATCCCTGGAGCAGTGAACACACTTAGCTCTCTTGGCTCCCAGATATTGCTAATACCATTTTCCAATAAAACGAACCAGAGCTCCTTGAAGAAACAGCTAATTATAGCACTGGGGCAGAAAAAAAACACAAGGTGAGCCTGGATCATCTTACATTGCCAGAAAGTACTCAAAAAATAAAAATAAAAATAAAAAAGACCTCAATATGAGTATGTCAATGGGACTCAAGAGCCAATTTCAATGACCAAAGCTGGAACAATTTGAGCAACAAAATAAAGTGGTATTAGATTATATAATCAAATTATAAAATAAATACCTATGAGTCCACACTGATATACATAAATGATTGAATAAATAAATAAGGACTAAGCCAAATCTTCCATGAGAGGAATTTCAAATGCTGTATGTAGATACTTCATTCTCAAGGAAGTAGAGTGTAACTCCTCACCTGGTAAATGTGAGCTGAATGACTTCTTTCCAAAGAGTACAGTGTGGAAAGTAGGGAAAAAGAGTAACTATATAGTGGAGAAACCTAGCAATCAGCACCTCATCCAGGGATCAAGTTTAACTTCAACAATGAAAAGTCATGTTGATAGCATGTACTCTTTACAGAATGATATAAAAATGAAGCATTACTTCTGTTATCTTCCTTTCCAAGACACATAACCATAATCTAATTGTGGAGAAAATACTGAACAAATTCCAACTGAACATTCTTTAAAAACCTGACCAGCACTCTCCACGACTATCAAGATCACCAAAACCAAGAAAAGCCTGAGAAAATGAATGAAATATCTAACCTAGATGAGATCCAGGAACAGAAAAAAGGACACCAGATGAACCCTAAGGAAATCTGAATAAAGTATGGACTTTAATTAATAATAATTTATCAGTATTGGTTCATTAACTGTGACAAATGTACCACACTTATTTTAACATGTTAATAATAGGAAACGTTGGGTGTTGGTCATATGGAAACTCCTTGTACTATCTTTGCAATTTTTCTGTAAATCAAAAACTATTCTAAAATAAAAAATTCTTTAAAAGGCAAAAGGCCAGTAAACATAAAAAATTCTAACACTAGTAATAGTAATAAAATTCTGCAAATTAATGTAAAAATCTTAACAGCTTACTATAACTCAGATTATTAATTAAAATTGGATAAATGGATGTTGTTTTCTTCTTAAACACTAATTTTCAACTTGGTATGTGGTCTCAGATGTCAGCAAATTTTGGTCTACAGTAATTTTTATTGAACATCAGTTTCAATAAAAATTGACCATCTCATTTTCTAATATTTATATTATTTGACAAAGAAACAAAGTCACTCCAAAGAGGGATAATTCTCACCTGTTCCTCCTTGTTGCCCAAATTAACATAAGCCAGGACTACAAGTCTCCAGAGCATAGCTGGTAAATATTTAGTAGAGCATTTCCCAAATTAAATTACATAAAGTGACAAATGCCAACAAGTGTTCTTTCACAAAAACAAAAAAGTAGGATGGGAGTTCTTTAATGAAATATTACATTCCCCCCTTTTAAAAAGCAGTGTTATTTAGTGTAAAAGACTGGAACATCCCAGAGTAAAGAAACCTATTATCTCACTTCGTATGGTCATTGTACAACTTTTGAGAAGGCATATGTTAACATCTGAAGGAACACTAGACTTCCAAGTAATAAAACGCATTAAGATTATTCAAAAAGAACTTTAATCTAAATAATTTTAAATCCCCTTTTTAATCTTGCCAGATGCTTCTGCCTGGCATTCACACCCTTTTACTATACAGCCTGTTTATCCTTCGTTGTACACTCATCCCATGTCTCAGAGGTTCTTCACCACAAACCTCCACTCTTACAGAGCTTCTTTGTATATCTGGATCTTAATTTTATTTCTTACTCGCCTAAGACATTGTGCCATCTGACTGTCAGAAACATATTCTTCCTTCCCTCCTCTCCAAATGCTACCCATCTTTCCAAGCCTAGCTTAAACCACATCTGTTGCACAAAACCCTCCCTCATTTGTCCAGACCCTAATCATTTCTTTCCCCTCTTCCTTCCTATACTTCTGTCTGTAATACTAACTTTACCACTTAGTGCACAACATCCAATTATTTCCCCCAATAGTTCTCAAAATGTGTTCCATGGACCCCCAAGTTTTAATTTGGTGTTGTTTTTCCTATCTCTTGGTGCTAGGATTCTAGATACCTTATTGAGGAAACTGCTAACTTTGCTACTGTTTCTGTCTCTGAGTGCATGCAGCTGTGTATCTTTCTCTCTAAGAGTCTATAATTCTTTGAAAGTAGAAAATATGTCTTTCACTTATATGTAACCTATAAAATGTAATGTTTAACATATGGTACATGAAAAATACTTGTGGCCTTGAAATATTCCTGAGCAGTCAGAGTTTCAGGCATTCCAAAATAATCTGGTTATTCAAGGAACTTTTTAAAGAAACTTTCTGTCCTCACCAGAAGCCAAGAGTTATGGAACCCCCACTGTAATCTTCAACCAAAATCCCAATTCCAGACTCAAATCCTGGGGAGGAAATGTTCATTGCATAGTTTACTAAACTTCAGAGAAAAGTGTAACTGACCATAAGAATAATTTCTGTCCTGGCTGCTAAGCTTTCTTTGAGCTCATTGACATGGCCTCGTCATCACCAATCAACTCTTATCAAGTTCCTATTCAGACATGAATCTGTATGAGTCACTAGACTTAGCTGTTATATATGTGGCCCTTATTATTGCAAAGTTTATTCACAGAGCAGGTTTAATACAAACATGGATAACAGATAAGTGAAAGTATTTTGTAAAAACACAAAATAGAAGTCAACGTTTTAAAAAGCACTCTATTTCATGATAGAGCAAGTGTAGGACTGGAGAAATGTGTAGCATTCTGTTAGCTAAGATGCAAAAAGAATTTCTTCCTTTATGTGTGACCTAAAATCCTTTCTATAGGAAGTTCTTTCATATAATTCACATGGAATTATATTAATTCTATGAAAAGAAGTGCTAATCCATGTGTTCAAGCATAAAAGAAGAGAGAGAAACTCTGTGAGTGTGTGTGTGTGGTGCAGAGGCAAGATGTTAAACTGAATTTCTATTTTCTTATTACAAAATTGTTCAATGCATCCATTTTGCACTTTTTACTGCTTAGTATCTCCATCATTCAAACAGTACTTCGGATATGCTAAACTGTGTGGATACATATATACATATATATATATATATAATATCACATCATACACATATAACAGTTATATTATGAAGTCTCAACTCAACACAAAACTTATGTTTTCAGTTAACTGTCTCTACCTGTGTTCTATGAGATCTCATAGAGAAGAAGAGGCCTCCTTAAAGAGTCCACAAGTTGTCTGCTCCTTTCTGATTTAGAACTCCTTCATTTGGATATTTAAAATAGTACTAATAATTTTGAAACTTTGATCTGGAACATGGACCAAGTTTTCTCCTGCTCCAGGTTCTGCCTGCATCTCCCCTTGATTCATCTCACTTGGGGGAAGGAGGTGGAGTGGCGTGCCCTGCTCTTTACTTCCCCTTTCTCGTCCATCTTCAGAACATCAGCTCCTCCTTCTTGGGGGTGAGTGTCTTACTGTGTTCAGGCTGCTATAACAGAATATCATCAACTGGGTGGCTTTAAACAACAGTTCTGAAAGCTGGGATGTCTGAGATAAAAGCTCTACTAGATTTGATGTCTGGTGAGAGCCCATTTCCTGGTTCAGAGGTGGCATCTTCTCTGCATCTTCACATGGTGAAAGGGAGTCTCTGTGCTCTGGGGTCTCTTTTATAAAGGCACAAATCCTATTTATGAGGGCTCCATGCTCATGACCTAATCACCTCCAAAAACCAACCTCCTAACACTGTCCCATTGGAGGTTAGGTTTTAATATATGAATTTGAGGAAGATATGAAGATACTGATTTAGTCAATAGCAGTGAGGAAAAAGAAGAGGGAAAAGGGCAAACATCTCACTTCACTGAGCAAGTAGTCATCCCATTGTTGAACATGACAGTTGTTGCTGCTACATGAGAGTTATGAGGGGGTGGGTGCTGACTCTAACAGACCCAGGCAGCTCTCCTTGATGTTGTTAGTTCCTTGGAAGAGTGACCACTTCTTCCAGCTGTTCTCCAGCTAGCGGGTTCAAGCAACATGGCTCTGACTCATGAGTCCCCTTTTCCCCCATAAAGCACTGGTTTTAGAAAAACTGTAGCCTCCTGTGTCACTACCCTCAATAGCCAGGCATAAAGAGGTGGAGGTGTCTCTTTTGTACTTATTTAAACTGAGCATTAGACATGGGATGTGTCCTGATTTCCTCTTTGCTTAGTAATTTCTCACCATGCCATGTCTGCCTAATTCTCTTTACCTATGTTTTAATAATAAATTGGCCAGTTAGAAGGTTTTCTCATGAAGCACAGGTCCAATAGTTGAGTAAAGTGGTAGTGTCTCCTTATCTGATGTTCCCTAGAATCATATAGATGATTCTCTCATCATTCCCTGCACTGACCTCCTTTCCTTAGTTTGAAAAAGAGAAAATACCAGATCCCCTTATTTCCTCTCCACCTCAAGGCATAGGATGAGGGTCAATGGAGGAGTACATTCTCCCAACTACTGCCAACTCTCTCAAACTCAGGAGCACTTAACCTCTTTTAAAGTTGGCCTTGGTCTTGGCTGTAATTCCAGGGTGAAAGGGAGTAAATTCTCTCTTAACAAATAACCTGTAAACTCTCTGGGACAGAGAGGCTTCATATTTTTTAGAAGCCCTGCATAGCACAGGGCCCTGTACAGATTGCCTCTCTCTCTCTCTCTCTCTCTCTCTCTCTCTCTCTCTCTCTCTCTATATATATATATATATATATATATATATATATATATATATATGGAAGGGAGTTTAAGAGAAACACTCAAAGAGAGTTTGGCCTGATCTATTTCTCTTGGAGCTGATGAAAAGTTCTACAGGCAAGAGGCTGCTAAGAGACCATGGCTGCATGATAAAGAGATGGCAAACTGCGGTGAAACAAATTCTGGAGGAGTAATGTATTTTCTCCCTGGGACAAAATGTGCGTCATGAAGCAGGGAGCAACCTGGAGCTGTCCTGAATCCTTGTGTAAGAATACTGCTGTGGGAAATATATTCCAGGGACTGAACAGAAACAGCTGGATGCCAGGGGCCAAGGAAGGAATCCGCACAGGCCTGGCAGGAGGACTGTAATGCATACATCAAGAGGAGGGCAGCGAGATGTTGGTCAAAAGACACAAAATTTCAATAAGACAGGAGAAATAAGCTTAAGAGATACATTCTACAGCCTGATATGGTTTGACTGTGTCCCCACCCAAATCTCATCTTGAATTGTAGCTCCCACAATTCCCACATGTCATGGGAAGGACCCAGTGGGAGGTAACTGAATCATGGGGGTGGGTCTTTTCCGTGCTGTTTGCCTGATAGTGAATAAGTCTCACGAGATGTGATGGTTTTATAAAGGGTAGTTTCTCTGCCTCTCTATTGCCGGCCACCATGTAAGACGTCCCTTGCTCTTCCACCATGATTGTGAGGCCTCCGCAGCCATGTGGAACTGTGGGTCAATTAAACCTCTTTCCTTTATAAATTACCCAGGCTCGGGTATGTCTTTATTAGCAGCGTGAGAAAAGACTAATATAGTGACTATAGTTGATAACAAGGTATCATATTCTTGGAAATTGTTAAGGGAATAGGTTTTACATGGTCTCACCATACACACAAAAATGATAAGAATGTGAGGGAGTACATATCTTAATGGCTCAATTTAGCCACTTCACAACGTATACGTATTTCAAAACAAAATGTTGTACAAAATAAATATATATAATTTTTTGCCAATTAATAATAAATTTCTTAAAAAAAAATTGAAAGGACCCAAAGAGGCTATCACAGACACAAAAGTATCTAATGAGAGGAAGAATCTGGCTTGGAAAGGCAAAACTTCTGGAAGATACTATCACAAGGTTACATTTTATCAGCCATAGACTTCTTCTCCCCCTACCAACAAAAAACTTAAAGAAATCAGAGAAATTCTAATGGCAGGTGGCAAACAAGATGAGAAGTAGAAAAGTCCCATATACCCCAATCCCTGCTGCAGACCCACCAGAATGTAGACAACTCCAATTGGAGGGTGGAAGAAGTTAACTTTGAGTGAAATTCAAAACTTTGATTATTATACTGCAAACTTTACTTACTGACTGTACATTTTACTTATTGAAGTGGGCCTGTAACCAGGACAGAAAACCTTTTAGTTTCTATTCAGCCTTACTGAAAGTTTATCCAACATTTTGGAAATAAATAATCCATACATTTAAAGGACAGAAGAGAGAAGGAGTATTTATACCCTTTTCCAGTGCCATTTGTAAAAAGGGAAAAAAAAAAGCTTTATTTTGTCCTCAGGAATGTTGGCTCAAACATGCAGTATTGTCCTTGCATATATTCCATGTCATCACTCAGATATAACTGTTGTTACTAATCCTACTGGCTGTTTGCTTTAGAGTTTGCACCTGATGTAAGTCATTTCTTACATTAGCAAGAAAATTTACTAGCTTGATAAATTTCTAATTATTGTCACAGCAAAAGAAAAGAAATAGAAGAATGGGAAGGAAGGAATTAACATTACTGAGTGCTTTTCTATGTGCCAGGGACTATGCTAGGACCTTACACATGTATTATCTGATCACTATGTCTATCGATGATCTGAGGAATCCAAGGCTCAAAAAGGTAATAATTCACTTATCTGTGGTTGGCTAATAGACAGAGGAACTAAAACTTTAACCCAGACCTTGATGACTACATTATGTTCCAATCTAAGAAAACCAATACTTTTTAAAAAAGAGTCTCTATTTTAGCCATTAGTCTCAATAATCAATCAATGGGAGTCAATATTAGCACTGTGATTCAGATGCCAGAAGCTAGACAACTACATAGAGGGATAAAAGGAGAGGAGAGATAGGAAACACAGAGATTTTGAATATAACCTATTGCACATCTTAAAATTAACATATCCTAAATAAACATCTGGATATTCAAAGACAGACCCATTGCTTGGTTTAGAAGTTAGAAGCTAATCTGTATAAGGAAGAATCTAAAGAAAGAGGGAAAAAGTCCTGACTGAGATGGGGAAATGGTCTAGAGAAATTCCTCATGATGGAGAACAGCCAATGGAATTTTAGCACAATGTTGCCTAATAATAAGTATTAACTTGGTGCTTCTGCTGTGCTGGGATCCCTTCCCCTAGTCTCCCAACCTTTGGTAACACTCTGATACAGGACTGCCTTTTGATGTTAATTGCATTTTAAGAGAACGAAGAAATGTATAAGGGTGATAATAGCCAGGATGTGGCAAAGAGGGCTGATCAACAGAAATGAGATCAAGAATGGACAGAGAGAATCTACTGAGAGCCAAAAGGCAGAGCATAGATGTTAAGGCTTGGCTTCAGCTCTCGGTCCTGCCATCAATCAACAGTGTGGTCTTAGAGATGCACTTGAGCTCTTTATACTTCAGTTTCCTTACCCCTAAAATGGAAATAGTAATAGAATTGGCTCAAAGGAGTGATCATGAGAATTTATGAGATAATACATGCACAGAGGGTATAAAAATGCTTGGAACAATTTTTATGGTGCAGGTGTTATAATTATTATTATTGCTATATCAAGGATTATTTTGAGGAATGGTGGGCCCCTCTCCATTCATTGGATGGGGGCAGCTTGGGTCATTCTATTTGAATACTACATGAAATTAGACCCATTTTGAGAGGCTCAGGCAGCCTACACTTGTGTGACTTTAAGTAGCATTTCTCCGTCTTCCACCTTCTCAAACCTACTCACTTCCCCCACCCACACAAACACAGACCCAACCTCCAAATCCTCCCCAAATAAATACAGGAGTTTCTAAGGGAACTCACATATGCTTATGAGTGAGATTCTCTCCACAGGCACTCTGAGGCTGCCATATTTCTCCTCTTCTGCTTCATCTCTGTCTCTCCTGCCTGATGACAAGATTTCTGCTGAGAAGCCTCCATGACATCTTTGTTAATAAAGGCCCTAATGCTAGTGCCACTGAAAGTGATCTTTTCTTTCAAGACTTCTCTGCTTCCTATGCAGGCTATTATAGGCCACTGTGCAAACCTCCTGTGTGGGGACATTTGCCTGCTGGGGTGAATCCTTATAAGGCCTTGCCATTCCATAGACAAATGGTGCCTCTTGTTCACAGACAGGTCATCATTTTTATATTTGCAAAGTGATTGCTCTTGTGTGACAGCTGGTCATCCTTACATAACCTATGCACAATATAATAAGAGAGTGCTGAAGACATAGTAAGAAATTATATCCAGAACCCAGATGTTAAGTCCAGGTGTGCAATTTTTGCAACCAAATAAGGTAATATCTGGAGTTTCAGATGGTAGTGTATGTATTTTTTTATTTTCTATATATAATGATGTTTTGACATCTTTTTAAAAATAAAGAAAAAAGTCTTTCTAGATGGGGAGAAAGTGCCCTTCCATGGCTAGGCTAGTTCTTAGAGACAGCAAAGGACTAAGCCTGAATCATGCCTTTGATATGCAAACTAGCCAATCCAGAGACACACATCCTATGTCTGTGGTAATGTTCTGCTCTAATTATCCAAGGGTCAGGGATCAGACAACTAGGGACCACCCCTATAGCATTGAGCCAATCCTAAATTGTTTACCCTCCCTTGCCTTGCCTTGCCTTTCCCATGGAAACACCAGTAAAGGCTGTGGCCCAATCTCTCCCCTTGCTCCTATCTTCTGCCTCCTGAGCACTCTGGTGTGCTTCCATGTGCTTTTGCAAGGCAGGCAGTGCCTCCTATCTCTAAAACCTGTGAGTATAACAAACATTGTTTTCCTGAGCCTCTCTTCCATCTCCTTTTGTGGCCACACCTGCCTGACTATCCCATCAAAAATACCAAACACAGAATAACGCAATTACTCATATAAAAGTTATGATTATCCCCTGCCAACAGGACCTTACTCTGGGGAGGCAGAAGACCATTGCCTCTAATACCTCTCTCAAGAGGAAATGGAGAGACATAAGGAACCAAGCTTCCTGAACATCCTCAGGCCTGATATTTCCTCATGTCATCTGCTGGATGGGTATTCTTTATACTTATTGTAGTGAATTCCAACTTCTAAAACATGTTATTATCAGAGTGATTTTAATGCCAAGCCTGGAAACGTGTGCAGGACTATTTCTCCATATGTGCTTCCAAGAGTAGAAGTACTACCTAATACTCCAATGATTCACGCATTCCCAGGGTGTGTCACTAATCCTGCTGCACATGCCTGTAACTCTCTACCCATCGGCTTGCTCTCTGCTGGAATTCTGGAGAGTTAATGCTCCATGAAGTAACCCTTAGCCAGATAAGTACTGGAGGATAAATATGCCAGATTCCTTGCCCCTCTGAAGAGTGTTCTATACAGGATTGAGCTCTAGCTGTCTACAGCAGTAACTTGTTTAAGCTCAAGCAAGTTTGGTTTTCTTTTATTGGTTTTCTTCCCTTCTCTGCTCAATCCCCACTCTCCTACAGGGGCTTCCTGAGATCACTTCCCAAATAAATTACCTGCACACAAGTTCTTGTCTAGGGAACTCAACCTAAAACATTTACCCTTAATGGGGAAAATTTCCCTCCCCACTTTCCTACTTCCCATATTTCTACTCTATTTTCTGTTCTTGAATTTCAAATCAAGCTTCTCTTGGGTCTCCAAGGTTTCCAAAAGATCTTAGCAGAATTATTTTTTTTTTCTGTTTTCTTGCAGTTCTTTCTTTCTTAGGTCCAGACATTTAAATCATCTTATTCTATCACTGTTGTTTCCCATATATTCATCTCTCTCTCCCAGGTAGCAAGAACTTGGGTGAAAGAATTGAATTTTAAACACCTTTTTACTTCTTTAAGATGCCTAGTGAAAAGTTTAGCATTTTAAACATTTCGTAAAAATCTGTTTGTAAATTTATAGCAAATTTATAGTCTAGGTTACATACTGTCAGATGCCATTCTCAGAGGAATTTCTGTGAGGTCTCTAGAAGCATCATTGTAGCAGGGGCGTAAGCATGCTCTCTCCTTGAATTTGGCCTTGTTAACTAACTTTTGGTAGCATCATCTCCAGCATTTGTCTTCCATATTTGGTTTCCCCTTGGATATTTTAATCATGGTTCTCAGATCATAGCAAGACAACCCCAGCCTCAGTATGCTGAAACAGTTTGCCACAATGTATTTCATGCAAAACTACCAGCTGGTCTACCCCTTCCCTGGAAACTAAACTAGGCCATCCCTGAATCCTGTGGGATGGTTGAGAACCAACAAATGCTCTTTAAGAGGTCCCATTTGATCCTAGGTAATGTCAATGGTGGCATATGGGTAAAGACAAATAAAAGGTCTCAGAATAATAATAATGATTTGGGTGATGGTTAGTTTTGTTTTCTGTCTCCCTTATAACTCCAGAGCTTATAGTCTATGACAATCAGTTTTGCATTTCCAGCACTGTAAGCTGTGTTGCAAAACTTAGTAGATGCTCAATATGCATAAGCTGAATTAATGAATCAATGCAGAATAAGTAACTCCAGGAGAAACGAAAAGAAAACCATGGAAAACCAATATGCTATTTGGGAACTGATTTTTCTGTTGGATGATTAAAAACATCTTCAACCACAATTTAAAAGTTAATTAATGAAAGACATCTTCAGCCACAAGTTTAGCTATCATCCCCAATTAGAGCATAAGTCAGCTACAGGTTTTGGTGTCAAATATGATCTGCAACTAACAGAAACTTACAATTTCACAAAAAAAAAACAATGTGAAATATGTGTAACGTTAGTTTTGAATAGTAAAATTGTACAGCACAATGTAACTAAGCATTCAAATGTAACAGGAAAGTCCACATTATCACTGAGTCAAGGGAATGCTTTCCAAAAGTTGGAAAAAAAAAACAGTATTCCCAAATCTGTGAATGGTGAGTTTTAAAAATATAAGTTGGGTGATACCAGCTCCATTGTTCATTTATTTTAAATAAAGTTAATTGTTCCTCTGCTATATGCCAGGCACCATTCTGTGCACTGGTGATACACAAGTAAATAAAACAGACCAAAAAATAATTTCTGCTCATATGGAGCTAACATTCTCGTTTATACTTCAAGTATTTTTACCTGTATTCACCCAGGGTTGAGCAAAAAGAAAAAAAAGAATGAAAGGAACATCACAATAAGCTTGTCTCTTAGAACTGCCAAATTCCACTTGGTACTGTTAGGATTGCTTGAGTTTATGAAATCCTACAACATAGTGCAGCCACTCAGAATCATTGTGCACTCACTAACAGCAATGTGACAGCTAGCAGGAAACATATTAGTCGAGTATCTTCAAGTGGAAAAAGTCGAAAGGTTAGAACACTTTGGAAACAAACTTTTTTTCTCAAGGAGCTTGGAAATGTTCAGTGAAAGTAGTTTTTTCCATGGCAGTATTTAATAAGTCATTAATGACCCAGAGTTATCTGAACTTCCCCCACCCAAACTCCTTCTACACTAAAGTTCTCACTCATTTATTTCCAGGAAGTGTCCAACTCGGCCTTATGTCTGATCTATGGAGCTGGTAAAATGGCTGGTGGGATTAATTGAATCAGCTGTCTTTCAAGACTACCTGTGTTTCTCCATATTCTGCCCCTATCAGAGTAATTTCTCTCCATGTTACTCTATCTTTCCAGCTCATTAAGTCCCCTGCAAAGATGGTGGAAGGGTACAAGTCCAAGTGATTCTGTTTCATTTCTAACTGTGAAGAAGGAAATAGACTGCAACATTTTTACATGAATTTAGCATATTTTTTGAAGACAGTTATATCTGAGAATATCATTCTGAGAAGGTCATTAAGAAAATTGCTGAAATAAATGGCAATGATAACCAAATTGCCGGAAAAAAATGAGCAGGCAACTGAAATTAGCAAAATTTGGTTAACTGGGCTGCTGCAATTTATTCTTAAAATGAACCTTTGATTCAGGATCCTGATGCACTTTATAAAATGCCTCACTTCTTATTTGCTTGTGGAATTGAATTATTTCAAGTTTTTTACATTCCTTGAGTAATACAAACATGAAATGCCTTCAGTTGTTGGAACATCCTACTTCCATTGGCAATTTGCCTTTACTCATGCCCCCCAACCAATTCTTCACCAACTCTCTCCTCTCCATTAAATTTCCTTCCACCTTCCAAAAACATGTAATCTTGGTCCTAGTTAAAGGGGCATCCAACCTTTACACCCAAGAATCACAGGAGCTGTACCTACTTGATATATAAGGACCTATGTGCTCTTTAAATATACTCAGACATCTTCTCATGCTTCCAGAAACTCCTCATAAGCTTTCTTTTTTTTTTTTCTCTTTCATGCTTAGGGCCAATGCATACATTGGCATATAATATAACTATTATCTGCAAACAAATTGCAGAAAGCAAGTAAAAGTTTCTGCTAACAAATGCATATTGTTTACAGGGAAATTGTGGAATTTAGATATTTCAATAAACCTGTCAAAGTCTTGGGAAGCCTGGCAGTTTTTAGACTTCCCTGACGCCAGATGTAATATGGCACCTTACTCTTGCCCTTACCTGTTACCCCCATCCTGCATTCTCAATCTCCTTTCCTTTTGGAAGTTTGCTTCAGAGCATTTATCATGACTTGATGGTACATTATGCATTTATTTATGATATTTGGTTGATTAGTATTTGCCTCTAATTAGGAAGTAAGTTCTAGGAGGGCAGGCAGGAACATTGGATAGTTTCTGCTGTATACACAGCACCCAGAAACATTCCTAGCATTCATAATGGGTCTTCCAAACATTTTTGTTAAGTAAAGGAAAGAAGTAAAGAAGAAAGGGAGAGAAGGAAATTGTGACTAGAAAATTGGTTTGGATTTAGAAAGTCCTGAGCTGCAAGACAGTTTTCATTGCTTCTTAAATGTACAACCTTGGGCGGATTATGTAAATTTTCTGAGCCTCTGCTTTCTTATCTGTGAAATGAAATTAATTTTGCCTCTCCTGCAGAGATACTTTGAGTGTAAGTGTGACAATATAGGTAAAATCATCAATCATCATTCCAGGTGCCTTACACACACACCCACATGCATACAAACACACACACATATGTGTGTTTATTATACAATCCAAGCATTGTTTCACATAAATATTTCTAACAATATCAAAACTATGTAAAAGTAAAACAGTAGTTAATGAGCACTTGTCAAATTTGAAAGTGAATTGTAAGACCCGATTCTTGTATGTAGGGTCTGCCATGAATTAGGATTCCTCTCAGGCATCTCCCAAGCATCAAAGCTTCTCCCTTCATTATAGCATCTTGCTGTCTATTGCTTTTTCTACTTTAGGTGAGCTAGGGAATTGCTTGTCAACTTTAGTATCACAATCAGTTGTGCAATTTGTGGCAGGCAATTTATTACCAATAACTGCAATGATGTTGGTGAGTGGTTTACTTTTTAATATAAAATAGAGTGAATTCAAGGTCTTCTCCATAATCACTTCTTGCTCCCTCACCAGCATCTTGAAACTTCCACCTGAATAAAAGGGAATAGGGTGAAAGTACCACCCCGGAAGCTATGCATCACCTTCAGTGCTACCCATGAAATGTTGCTTGGCCAGTGAGCAGTATCTATCATGTGTGTCTCTGAAGCAAAAAAAAAGAGGCATGTTGAAGCATCCTTGGATATTTTTTGAGGATTTGGTTTTTGTGGGAATACTGTGTGTGCTTCTCCTTACCCAGTGACAGATGGAGGCATAGAAGCATGGGGCAAGGCTAGGAAGAAAAGGAATTAAATTGTTAACTTGGATGTGGCCCAGGACACATTTTAAAGCCAAATTACAATCATGCTATTTGTGTAACTGTGAGGTAAAATAACATTTCTGTACACAAAAAGCAAAGATCAAGGTAAACATTTGGATAAATAGTCCATTTTTTTAACTGGCAAAGTTACCTCCTCTAATAGAAGATATATTTTGTTTGCATGCATATTAGGATATAGAGAGATTTGCTTATTGGGCCTCGAATGGACTACTGAGGTTGTAAGCCAAGAATGTAAGCACATAAGGTACCTAATAATTGTGGGTCAACAGCCTCTCTTGGGTTTATTAAGAAACAAACAAACAAGCTCAGTTATCACATATCCTACTGCTATTACCCAGCTTACATGAGCAGAAGGTAAGGGGGACAGAGGACCATTGAGTAGGCAGTTGTTAGCCTGGGAAGGCAGGGCTATCTCTTATCCACTCCTCCCTCCCTTATGGAGGGGTGAATAAGAAGACTCCTCTGCTGAGCCCAAGCCAGGAGAAGTCCAAGAGAATCATTCATCAAGATTGAGAGGTATCTGTGAGAAAGCAGACTAATGTCAGGTTGGGGGTTGAGTGTTCATTTATGCAATTATTGTGCAGATCTGATGTCAGTGACTATTTTGACCAAGGAAAACAGAAGTGGAGAGAGCTGGCAAGGTGATGGAAGGGCACAGTGAAGCCACTTACTTTCTTACTATTTAGCACTGTGAAGCCAGAGGAGGATACCGTAGGTGAAGTGAGTACCACAGAGGCATCTTGCTGGCACCATATGAAAGAAGATTGGTCTCTAGGTGAGAAAATTCCAGCAGCAAAAGGCCATGAAGGGGTATCTAGCATGGAGGTTATGACTGATAACAAAAGACAGCAAGGGGAATATATTTCCCATATTTACAAGCCATTTACAAGGAGGCCTCAGGATCTCACTGATACCACCATTACTGCTCCCTCAGAACTGGGTAACAGGGGCCAATACCTTTAACCTACTCTCTAGAGGACTTCATTCTTGCCCTAATGGGGGACATGGGGACATACATATCTGAAACCTTCATCCTCTTCTAAATCATGTTCTAAGTACCCAGCACTGCAGAACTATCTCTCCAGATGGGCCCAAGCCTGCTTCCAGAGCCTCATGGGCTTCTTCGTGAGCCCATTATCTTGCAAAGCACAAACTTCAGATTCAAAGAGTGGCCAAGGGGTGGCAATTTGCAGCTGATCGCAGGAGGTAAGAAGCTTGAAAATGTCAACTAGGCTGACCACACACAGGTGTAGGAGGTCACGGTTAGTGTGAGACAGACCTAGGGCTAGAGAGAGAAGGACAGAAGGCCTTGGGCCACAGACAGACCAGGAGGCAGGGGCAGTGACAGTGTATCCCATGCCACCATGCTAACATACAAAATTCCAAGAAGTTCAAGAAGTCTAAACCCCAATTTGACTGTGCAAATCATTATAAATATATATCTATCAAAATAAGGGCATGGAACATATTTTATTTAATACTTTGTTACCTTGATCTATAACTTCTTAATATTTAGACAGAGGAAACCTAGACCTCCATTTGTACTCATATCCCAGGCCTAACAGATGTTGGGGCAGGCAACAGAGAGAAATCTGTGGCCACCAACCAATGCCAGAGAAGTGATAAACAAGAAACACTGTCACTTCCAATCGCTTTTCTCCTTCCTGCAACACAGGCATGTGGACACAGGAAGGGGAGGAGGATGAGGAAAAGGAAGGTGGGCAGCATGTTCCAGGAGTAGGGCACAGACCCTCGTCTCTCCTAGTTCTTCCAGCCCTAAGTCAAGTCAGCAATAGAGAAAAGAAAAGATCGAATGGTATCAGAGAATGAATGTTTTAGAGGTAGAACATTCTGGTATCATTATGGAATTTAAGATGTTGACAAGATTTTTTTAAGAGAAATTCGATAAAACATATTTAAATATGGTAATCTGAAAGAAATAAAACCATCCATTTTTTAAATCTCACCAAATTCACACTAAATAAGCTGTTTAGAGAGGGACTGAGTACATATACTCAGGTATATCTATATATACATAGTACACGGTGTACCCCATACTCTGCCCATGAATTCTAACTAGAGAATTATTCAATGTCTGCCATCATAGTATTTCCTGCAGTTGGATATTTAGTTAACCAGAAGCATGATACAGTTCTGAATTTCCAAATTTAGAAGACTCTTAGAGAAAAAAGGAAATTCTAGAAACAGATGTGTCTTAGACCACTTGGGCTGCTATAACAAAATACCATAAACTGGGTGGCTTATAAATAACAGTAATTCATGTCTCTGAGTTCTAGAGGGTGGGAAGTCCAGGATCAAGGTACCAGCAGATTCCATGTGTGGTGAGGGACCGTTACTTGTAGATGATGCCTTCTCACTATGTCCTCACATGGTAGAAGGGGCAAGCAAGCTCCCTTGGGCCTATATTATAAGAGAACAAATCCCATTTATGATGACTCCACCCTCAGGATCTCATCATCTCCCAAAGGCCAACCCTAACGCCATCATCTTGGAGGTTAGGATTTCAACATATGAATTTTAAAGGGACACATTCAGACCATTGCAGAGTAAAAAGTGGATGTAGGTACTAATAGAGCCTGTGTGGAAAGCTCATTGGAATTTGTTTTCTGTAATAGAGATTAAAGAGAAAATTATTGCAAACTTGAACTTGAATGATAGCCGCATAGCAAAGTAGACTGGGAATAATGTACTGGACTCTACTTACTAAAGAAAATCAAAAAAACCAGAGGGAAGAACTATTAAGGGCACTATCATAAGGATTTAATCAGAATTAGTGTAATGGCTCAGTGTAGGAAATGAGAGAAGAGTAAAATGTACATATTTGATATTCCAAAAATTATTTTTAAGACATTTTATAAGAAACAAAAGAAAAATGGAAGGAAGGAAGTGAGGCAGGGAGAAAAAACTTATACCCTGCAAGAGTTATCCATCTTGATAAGATAAAAGGACCCACTGACATGCACTGGGATCTGCAGTAGAACCTCTGCACCTTTCTAATGGCTGCTTTGTACAAACCACGTCAACACATTCTCTAAGCTTCCAGCTCTTCTAGGCATGCTTACCATACATTACAATGCTATTTGCTATTTCTGTGTGACACATTGTCTCAACTTATATATCGTTATTTCATACTTGGCTTTGAATACCATTCTTCCTGATGTTTGCATTTAATGTGGTGGCAAAGGTAGCAAATTAATTCACTCATTGGGCCATTATAAGTTGTAAATAAAAGGCTTTTTGGCTGAATGAGCAGGCATATCATTAGAAATATTAAAACATTCTCTTTAGTTGAGGTAACTCCTCAATGGTATATACTCACTGCCTGTGCTCACTGCTCATCCCTCTTCCTTCATCCTTCACCTTGCCAATTGCTGACTCCAAGTAGGGCAGCCAGTTCTAGAAGTCATTTGTCATTTGTCTATTGTCCTTCAATAAACTCTGTCAGCCAGTGATGCTAAAGAAGCTCTGCTAATGAATGGTCAGCAATGTCAGACCCCTGCCTGCTCTGCAGACACCAGCAAGACTTGTTGCTCTTCTCTAGGAGGTTTGAGTCCATTTCCTTTTACCACAAAGGCCATGATGCTTTGCACAGAGCAGAAACTCTACAGACATCCTGAAAACATACATAACTCTATATTCCATTTCTCCCGCAAACCACATTATATGATGCATCAGACCTCTGAGAGATGAAGTCAACTGACAGATTTCCAAATCAATAATATAAATGATGAAGAAATTTATATTATAGAAATTTACATTTCTAGAAATCAAAATTTTAATCTCAAAATATAAAATAAAGAATGAGTTCTGGGAATATATTCTTTTCCCCAGCATGTAACACATTTCCTGGAAATGGCCTTGTTTCCCCTGACCCAGTGGAAGATACTGTGTGTTCTAAGGCATCCAGTGAGAACAATGAAGAAAACATGGCCTGGTGAATTGAGTTTTGTATCATCCAAATGTATTTCTTTCACATTCTGTTGAGCCCTCAACTCTGAAGGCAGTAATCTGAAATACCTCAATCTGTTTATCTCTGGAATCACAACACCCCAGATTTATCCTGGAAAGGAATAAAGTTTTGTAGCGTATCATTATAAAATGTAAAGCAAAAGTGAATGGCACACTTTTAAAATACCACATCCAAGAAGGTAGACTAAGAAGCTGCCCCATATCCTCAAATTCAGACACCCACAGGAGATAAGCAAGCAATGTACACATGAAGGACATGGGCCAGGTATAAAACAATAAAAGAGTAGATATGAGGATAACTAACAAGAACCCCTGGTCATGGATTTAGGGACATAATAAAGACGAGTAGAGACAGTGCTGAACTGAAAGGCATGACTGTCTGACAGGCCAGCCTCTACAGCTGCTGCTGCTATTACCTGAAGAACTATAGGCCCCGTTTTGCCATGTTGGTCAATTTTCTCAAAAGATGACACTAATCCCCATTCTGTATAAAATATCTTGATTTTAAATATTAGCAACTAATACAGGTTTTTTTAACCCAAAGTATTATTAAATGGTTATGCTGGCTATTATTGACATGACAACTAGAAGAAGAGGTTATTCTGATTTCTGCTGCCTTCTATTATTTTTGTAATAAATTCTTGTGTTTTGACCATCTCTCTTTTGATACATGACTTCTCTCCCAATAGGTATCTCAGTTAATTCACATGAACAAAACTCTAGACTCCACTCGCTTTTTAATTTTCCAAACAGGAAGATCAAAGGAGCTCTTCTATCTACAGGATAGAGTGAATTTATCCTGTCCAGCTTGATCCTAGGATAGATTCACTCTAGGATTGAGCCTGTAATGGAATGTCAAAAAGGGAGCATAGTCTAGAGTTTTATTCGTGTGAGTTAACTTAGATGCTTATTGGGAAAGAACTCATGTGTCAAAAGAGAGATGGTCAAAACACAGGAATTTGTTACAAAATTAATGGAAAGCAGCAGATATCAGAATAAATATTCTTGGTGTTGTCATCTGCTCTTTCAAGGCAAAGCACAAAGGACTTCAGCCCAGAGCACAGGGGCACCTGTGGAGGGAGCACTCATGTTCAGCAGAAGTGGATGTTCACAAGAATAAGCATCAGCCACAGTGGGAAGCAAAAAATGGAACTGGAACATAGAGGAGAAAATGGGGGCATACCATGAAGCCAAACTTTATGGTTTGAATATTTGGTCCCCTCCAAAACTCATGTGTTGGAAACTTAATCACCAACGCAACAGTGCTAGTAAGAGTGGCCTCATGGGAGGTGTTTAGGTCATGAAGTCTTCACTCTCATTAATGGGTTCATGCCACAAGTAAAAATGGCTTTCAGGAGTGAGTTTGCCTCCTTTTGCTCTTCTGCCTTGTGAAAACAGTGTTCCTCCCCTCTAGATGAGGTGCCATATTGGAAGCAGATACCAGACACTACCAGACACCAAACATGCTGGCACATTGATCTTGGACTTCCCAGCTTCCAGAACTATGAGAAAGACCATTGACAACACCAAGAGTATTTATTCTGATCTCTGCTGCTTTCCATTATTTTTGTAACCAATTATGCAGATATATATTTCAGTTTCAATATATAATCAGTTTCATATGAAACTGATTCCAAACCACTTTATACACAGATAAAAGTAAGTGCTGACTTTTCTGGAATCCTAAAATGCCTATTCACCAGTTAGGTTTTGTATCATATCTCATAATATTGAAAAACTAAATGTTAAGATGCTTGTTCATGGACTTCCTTCCCTCTCTCACTTTAATTGTCTAATTTTTATCTTGTCCTCTAATAGTCCTATTAGAACATTATGGTTTGTACTTAATAGCCCCCGTTCATCCTGTTTCCCCTAGAAATACTAAGGTAGCCTTTCTGCCAGGGCAGCTTCTTTTCCAGTAAAATTTATTCACCCTAAGAAACTCTTATCTCAGGAACTCTAAAAAGCCCTCTGTACCTCCATCCTGACTGGCCACCTGCTTCAGTGACAATTTAATTAAAACAGGTGTCAGTGGCTCCATTTGTCACTCTCCCTATGTAAGGGAGAGAGATCATAAAGTCATGAGTCGCTGCCAGTGAAGTCCTCTCTGGTGAGTCTCAGCTGAGCTGCAGATATACAGCATTTTCACTGGCAGTTTTTCCAACCCTTCATTTGGGATTAATTACTCTGCAGGAGCAGTCTGCCTAGCACAACAAAACAATTTCATTCATCAGCTGAGGGTGTGAAATTAATGAAAGCCACAATCTCATTGGAATGAAACACGGAGCTCTCATTTGTGCCATCAACACCAGAGGAGATGGGATACTTTTTTTCTCTCCCATATATTTCTACTTTCAGCAATAAAATCAGATTAGATTTTTGTAAATGCCAAGGATTCCACTTGATAAATAGATAGACAGAGAAATAGATAGATAGATACCAAATGTATTGGGAAACCATCAGCAGCCTCTGGAGACAATGAATAAAAGCAAATTACATAAGACATCTTCATATCAGTCTTCTTTTTAAGGGGGAAATTCTTGGTTTTGTTTCCTCTCAAATTGCCTTTGACCCTAAGCAATCACACATTTTTATGGCAAAATAATAGTTTATTTGTCAATCTATTGATCCTCAATATGTATACTCAATATGTATATATTGGAGAACCTTACATAAGGTTCTTCCTTACATAAAATTACGGACTAATAACCATAGGGAAGAAATCATCATCTTGCAAACTTCATTCTAAAAACTGATTCAGGCAAAAATAATCAATAGATACTTAATCTTGGATGTAGAACTTTGATGAGGAACAGATTATTTACATAGCCTAAAAGTATCTCCCAACAAATTATTTATTAATTACATTGGGGAAAATGGCTGTACAGTAGAGAAATTGGATAATACCATAGTAAAATGATGAAAATTAGTATTACTAATAGGGAGTGAACGGAAATTGTGCGCCTTCAGATATTATGCCCCCAGAAGAATGCAACATCATTCATATAATATTCCAGACAAGAATGTTTATGTACCCTGAATCTAATTAGGAGGAAATATCAGATAAATCCAAATTAAAAGATATTGTATCAAATAATTGGCCTATGATTTTCACAATGTCAATGGTATGAAAAACAACAAAAGGTTAAGGCGATATTATCTCAAAAAATGACAGATATTCATTTGCTTAACATTTGAATCATGACTATTTTTTAGCTTGTGTAGTTCTACCTGGTGTTTATAACTTACTGTTTTCTTAGGTGGTCCTCTTTGTGCCTGAAAACTTCCCTTTAACTACCATTTAGCCTTTAATGAAGGCTAAATGAATTAATCCAGTCTGGACCAATTGCTCTCTGGGTCTGCTGAGGGCTTTCATCATGGTATCTTCCTTTACTGTTTTCCTGAGTTGCATCCAGTATTTCTTGAGTTCCAAATCTTATTTCCCTGCTTATAACTTTCTGTTTTACAAAAGCACATGCTTCAGTAATCTTTTTTTTTTTTCTGAAATGATGTAAGAAAGGTAAACCCTCTTGAATCTTCAAACATACGGAATTTTTTGTTCTATTCTTATACTAGATTAGTAGCTTGGCTGGGAATAAAATTGTCTGTTCAAAGTCATTTTTCCAAGAGATGTCCAGTCAAGATGGCATTGTAACTCTAAGTTTAGATGTGCCTCCAACCCAAAGTTCCAAGTACCTAGCAATGGGAGGTAAAATAAAAAAAGAGTAAAATCTTAAAAAAATCTAAACATGACATTCATGTTAAGGATTAGAAATGAAACAGAAACAAAGTAATAGGCAAGGATGAAGCATCTATAGGCTCCAACCATAGGCTCCACAGCAATGGACTGAAGCCAGAATCACTGCTTGAAATGGGACTGGGCTATGACTCATCATCTCATGACAGGTACAAAAAAAATGAACTCACTAGATATATAGAAATGCAGCTTATATGAGACGTGTCAAGATACACACAGAGCTTTGCAAATAGGACCTGAGCCAAGCTACTCTGTTGTTTTGTAACAGGATCTGAGACATACCCTGTATCACCACAAAACAAAAGTCTTAAATCACCATTTAAGATATAGTTCCAGACTGGGTGGAGATACTAAAAACTACTAAAAAAGGAGGAAAAAAAAGAGAGAAAGAGAAAAATATCTTTTCATTAAAGACAATCCTACACACCCTAATTGATTCCAAATCTGTGAAGAAAATGAGCTCTAGGAAAAATAGTCAGTGCAAGTGAAATGAAAATGCTGGTGCAATCTGAAGAAGACTTTGTGTCACATGCCTCTCACATACCACTTCAGATTTTCATGGCCTTGCATCGTTCCCATCCCATTCTTTGCTATGATGGCAAGCTGTACATTGGATCAAACCAGATTTAAGTGGGTGCAAGTTAGCAAGGTTTACCGCAGGTTTACCCCGCCTCTTTTACTGCTGCCCAGGGAGTGCCCACTCAACACTAGACTGAGACTACAGGTTTGTTTCTCTGAACGTAGCAAATTGTATTAGTTCATTCTCATGCTGCTATGAAGAAATCCCCAAGACTGAGTAATTTATAAAGAAAGAGGTTTAATTGACTCACAGTTCCACATGGCTGGGGAACTTACAAGGCCTCAGGAAACTTACAATCATGGTGGAAGACACCTCTTTAGAGGGTGACAGGAGAGAAAATGAGAGTCAAGCAAAGGGAGAAGCCCCTTATAAAACCATCAGATCACATTAGAACTCACTCACTATCATGAGAACAGCATGGGGGAAACTGCCCCCATGATTCAATTATCTCCACCTGGTCCCAGTTTTGACACATGGAGATTATTATATATGCTGCCAAAGCAAGCACAACACATGGGGATTATTACAATTCAAGGTGGGAGTTGGGTGGGGACAAAGACCCAAGCCATATCATTACAACCCTAAACCCTCCCAAATCTCATGTCCTCACATTTAAAAACACAATCCTGCCCTTCCAACAGTCCCCTAAAGTCTTAACTCAAAAGTCCAAGTCCAAAGTCCCATCAGAGATAAAGCAAGTCCCTTTCACCTATGAGCCTGTAAAATCAAAAGCAAGTTAGTTACTTCCCAGATACAATGAAGGTACAGGTGCTGGGTAAATACAGCCACTCCAAATGGGAGAAATTGGCCAAAACAAAGGGGCTACAGCCCCCATGCAAGTTCAAAATTCAATAGGGCAGTTATTAAACCTTAAAGTTCCAAAATGATCTTCTTTGACTCCATGTCTCACATCCAGATCATGCTGATGCAAGAGGTGGGCTCCCATGGCCTTGGGCAGCTCCACCCCTGTGGCTTTGCAGGATACAGCCCCCCTCCCAGCTGCTTTCATAGGCTGATGTTGAGTGTTTCCACTTTTCCAGGTGCAGGGTGTAAGATGTCAGTGGATCTATCACTCTAGGGATTGGAGGATGGTGGCTGTCTTCTCACAGCTCCACTAGGCAGTGCCCAAGTGGGGACTTCTGTGGGGGCTCCCACCCCACATTTCCCTTCCACACTGCCCTAGCAGAGGTTCTCCTTGAGGGCTCTGCACCTGTAGCAAACTTCTGCCTGGAAATCCAGTCATTTTCATACATCCTCTGAAATCTAGGTGGAGATTCCCAAACCTCAATTCTTGATGTCTGTGCACCTGCAGGCCCAACACAACATGTAAGCCACCAAGGCTTGGGGCTTTCATCCTCTGAAGCAATGATGTGAGCTATACATTGACCCCTTTTAGCCTCACTGGAGCTGAAGCAGCTGGGATGCAGGGCACAATGTCCTGAGGCTGTATAGAGAAGCGGGGGCCCTGGGCTCAGCCCACAAAACCATTTTTCCCTCCTAGGTTTCTGCACCTGTGATGGGACAGGCTGCCATGAAGGTCTCTGACATGACCTGGTGATATTTTCCCCATTGGCTTGGTGATTAAGATTCAGGCTTTTGGTTACTTATGCAAATTTCTGCAGAAGGCTTGAATTGCTCCCCAGAAAATGGGTTTTTCTTTTCTATCTCTTCATCAGGCTGCAAATTTTCTAAACTTTCATGCTCCAATTCCTCTTGAATGCTTTGCCACTTAGAAATTTCTTCTGCCAGATAACCTAAATCTAAATCATTTCTCTTTAGTTCAAAGTTCCACAGATCTCTAGAGCACATGCAAAATGCTGCCAGTCTCGTTGTTAAGCGTAGCGAGGTCACCTTTGCTCCAGTTCCCAAGAAGTTTCTCATCTCCATCTGAGACCCCCTCAGCCTGGACTTCATTGTCAATCTCACTATCAGCATTTTGGTCAAAACCATTCAACAAGTCTCTAAGAAGTTCCAAACTTTCCTACATCTTCCTGTCTTCTTCTGAGCCCTCCAAAGTGTTCCAACTTGTTCCTGTTACTCAGTTCCAAAGACACTTCCACATTTTTTGGTATCTTTACAGCAGTGCCCCACTCCTGGTACTGATTTATTGTATTAGTTCAGTCTTGCCCTGCTGTGAAGAAATGCCTGAGACTGGGTAATTTATAAAGAAAACAGGTTTAATTGACTCACAGTTCTGCATGGCTGGAGAGTCCTCAGGAAACTTACAATCGTGGTGGAAGACACCTCTTCATAGGGCAGCAGGACAGAGAATGAGTGCCAAGTGAAAAGGGAAACCCCTCTTCACTTATAAAACCCCCTTATAAAACCATCAGATCTTATTATAACTCACTCACTATCATGAGACACTAGAGGGGAAACTGCTCCCATGATTCAATTATCTACATGTGTCCCACCCTTGACACATGGAGATTATTACAATTCGAGGTGCAATTTAGGTGGGGACATAGAGCCAAACCATAACACTAATGATTTAAAATTTTTCCTCACTAAAGTGATGAGATTTATATTTCATATCACTAGGATCAGCACTTTAGTTTCCCAATGTCCCAATACTTTTTATAAGATAATAAGGGCAAAGTATAGAAAATGTTGCAATCTCTGCACATACATGAATATATAATGGTCTTGTCACTGCTGAAACTAAACTATTGACTAATGAACAGAACTCCAAACCTGGCATATGAAAATTGTTCAGGGCTATCATTTAAATATGAAGTAAGAAACTTCCTGTACACATGAGCTGTGCTAGTTTACATGCAATGAGCATTGACTTCCTCCCATGGTTGTTTTACTTCCATAAAGGGTTCAAGTTCACATACTTCTTTGAACATTTCCAAATGTATTGAAAGCAAATCACAATGTGTCAATATAAAAAATGAAGCATGAATTCCACCTGATTATCTTCAGGTCCTTTTCAATACTAAGTCTTTGTAATTCTATGGAAACAAATACGATTTTAAATAAACATGCAGTGGTTTCTTCCTAACCTACAAACTGCTCTCCTTCAATGCATCTTACACATTTATGCCGGATAATCTCCTCAAATCCCCATGACTCTTGTTTAAATACCCATTTTTTGAATATTTTTATCAAAACAAGACACTGGATAATGAAAGTTGCTCTGATAACTATACCTGGACAATTGACAATCATTAAATGTCAATTATCCAGGGAAAACCAAGATATACATTCACCCTATCTTTGTTTGCTCTTGTTACTGGCTCACTTTTTGAATCCTCACTAAGAACTCAGAACAGCTTTCCAATTTTATCTCCCATCATTTTCCCACATAAACCCTCTGCTGCAAGTAAACTAATCCCCTCACTGGCTCTTAAACATACCTTATGTTTCTGCTAAAAGACTAACTTCCCCATTTTTAATGTAAGTTATATCACATGTAACAGAAGTGTTATATGCCAGGTACTGCTCTAATCTATATACATGTGTTAATGAATTTAATCCTCACACTAACCACATGAATTAGTTATAATTACTAGCATCAATTTACAGATGAGGTAACTAGATTTTGCCCAAGATTTCACAGCTAATGGGTGTACATGATCTAGAAGTTTGAGCCTAGGGATTTTTCTTTCCCCATAGTCACTGCTGTAAATCACTACACACACTGTTTAATTAAAGTCCTATCTGCTGCTTGGAAACCTAGTTGCCCTTCTATCACCAGAAAATCTCAGAATTCTCTGATATCAGAGAATATATATTTTCTGCTACTTATTTTCCTGTTCACCCATACTATCTTGCAATATTTCATATTGCAGTGTATTTCCCCCTTTTATTCTTATTCATCGTTTGATACATGTGTGTCTTATCTCTACTGAATTCTTGACAGCAGAAGTTGTATGTTCATTAGTACTGATTTATTGTTTGATTTTATACACTTTTGTTGCTATTGCTTTTTTGATTATATGTATTAGAGGCATATTTGGAAACCTAGTAAACTTCTTTCAAAATATATTCATGCTTCAATTGCTTTGGAATGGCCTAAAATTAGATTGGATTTTCCTTTTTTGTAATATACCAGCTTAGCCATCCATTGCATATCAGAATGTATTCATTCATTTAGTCCACAGGTATTTATGGAGCATTTATGATGTAGCCAAGTACTATGCTAGGCACTCAGGATATGAAAATAAAAAATACAGTCCCTCACAGACATGTGGGGAAGCTGGGTAGTAAACAGATTTCTGTGTTAGAGTTACAGTATGTTGTAATAAGGGCTTTTGTAGAGCTATAATATGGGTGTTACAAGAGCTATAGAAGACTTAACACTAAGAGGAGAACCATGGAAACTTCCAGCAAAGAGTCACATCTGGAGTTAGTCTAAAAGATTAAACCAACCGAGAGAAAAAAAGTGGCAGCATTTCAAGAATCAAAATCAGCATGCACTCCCCTTCCAAAAAGAATCAGACAATATAAAATAGCAAAGTACGTTTAGGATACCTGTATTGGTATATATGTGCTGTAAGGGAGAGTGTGTCCAGCGATAAGACTGGAGGAGTCAGAATGGAAAATCAAGGACAGCTTATATGCCACGTGGGTCAGCTGCATCTTTTGTTCCATCTCACACCCTCCAGGCCTCATGCTGAATTCCAGCCACAGCTTCAATAAACAGTTTTATGCGCAGTTTGTACTAATAGAAACTTGCTGAGAGCTTATGACCTGAATCATTTATTTTCTATCCTGTGCTTTTTCTGACTCCTCCATGGGGCATTCACGGAAGCCCACTCAGCATATGTAGCCCAGGAGTATAAGTGGATAGATCTCTTGGGGCAGCTCTTTAGAAAAATGAGAGAAAGTCCATAAATGCATCTCCCTGTTATTGCTGGGTGGTGTAGATTCTGAAAGTCATTCTAAATATTCCTCAGAAGGCCCTGGAGAGACGCAGGATCAAATCCATGTGGTTCATAGCAGTAATCAATACACGTTGTGTTATGTTTAGGCTTTGTGTCCCCACCCAAATCTCATCTTGAATTGTATTCCCCAGTTGTTGAGGGAGGAACCTGATGGGAGGTGATTGGATCTTGGGGGTGGTTTCCCCCATGCCGTTCTGGTGATAGTGAGTTCTCGTGAGATCTGATGATTTTAAGTGTTTGGCAACTTCCTCCTTCACACTCTTCCCTCTCGTCTGCTGCCATGTAAGATGTACTTGCTTCTCCTTCTGCTATGATTGTAAGCTTCCTGAGGCCTCCCCAGCCATGTGGAACTATGAGTCAATTAAACCTCTTTCCTTTGTAAATTACCCAGTCTCGGGGAGTATCTTTATAGCAGTGTGGGAACAGACTAATACACATCTGTATTGGCTTTTCCTCCTTCCCTCTTGAAAATGCCTTCATCCCTCCCTCCTACCCTACACAAGTCTTTATTCACACTTGGCTTTTGAGAGGGACTCAGGCTAATACACCAGATTAAGAAGTTTGATTTTATGTATAAATGCTACAGAGAAACATGGTTTGTTTTTAGCAGGGGAGTAACATGATCAGAGTTACAATTGGATGATGAACAGATTAGCTGAGGGCAAGACTGGAGGCTGGAAAAGAAAATAGGAAGAGTTTCTTCATATTTCATACTGCAACATAGACGTAAAGTTACTAACCAGGAGGTAAATGGATTTTTTAATGAGAAAATAACAATAATGACCCTAAAAATTGGCTAACCAGATGGCACTTTCTGATTGCATTTTAGAAAAAGGAAAATGTGCAGGGACGAGCTCTGGCTCCAGGATACATTATTAAATATGAAGAGTTTGTTTTGTGTTTTGTTTGTGTTTTCTGTTTGTTTTGTTCCTTTTTCTTTTTTGATATTGTCCTTAGAAACTTTCTAGTATCCCCACTTCCAGAGATGTGCGGGTAAACTAACTTCGGGGTATGGGGGAGCCTTAATTTGTAGTCTTCACTAATTTTTTATGACATATAAAACTGCCACCAAGGCCCATTTCGAACTGTCAAGGGTTTAATAACTTATTTTCTGTATGTTAGACAAATCTGACAGCAATAATTTAAGCATGGCTTAAGAATTACCCTGTATGGCAGATGCACCTGCAGCAATAACTTAAGGAATGAGGGTTGCCACGTAGAGGTTACTGGGGAAAGGGTGCTAAGTGAAGATGCTATCTAAAGCGTTTGCTTTTTACAAGCAGTTGTGATTCTCCTGTTCAGCTCACAACCACTGGGGCATCCCCGCATGTAAGTCCTCAATAAACCCTATGTCTTGTTTGCTGGCTCTGGATCTCTTCGTAGGCTTCTTGAACCTGGTGCCATCTCCACTGGACTCAGTAGGGTTTGGGCACAACATGTGCCAAATTTCTTCATATTTAACACTCCTCTCTCCAGCACACCACTGCCAATTCCCACAGGAAAGGGCCCTGGCTACTCAGAATCCCTGGCAACCAATATTCTCCTTTCTCATTTCTATCAAAATGTGTCTGCCTTTCATTGCCTGTATTCATGCAATTTGTTCAGACATCCCAGTCTCCTAAATTGTGATTTTTTCTCCGCTCACCACCATTCCTTGTTGTCTGCAGATAATCTAATTTTGTGTTAACACCATGTAGTAGATGTTTTGATGCGCATCCCCCATCCCTCTTCAGGTTTTAGAATCCATTTATAAATAGGCATAGAAGATTACTTGTTTTGAGTAGAACTAACAAATAGAAGGACTTTGCAATAGCTGCAGGCTAAAATACAAGAAAATATGAAGCTTACTGCACACAATTCTGCAAATCAGATGTCACTAAAGTTATCTGTGGTAAAGAAGGTCACCATCTGGAGTCTCTGGCCAGCTTCAACCGAAAAGTCACAGCACCAACTCCTAGGGTTCTGGATCAAGCCCAGGCAAGATGCAGGAGATAGCTACACAGTATTTAAAAGCAGCTTCTGGCATGACCTCGGCCCTGGTAGAAACTCAGCATCTACCCTACCAGACCGTTACAACTACCTGTCAGTACCATAACATGTATACCGTCATACTCACAAGGTCAGGCAGGTATAGCAGCAATTCAGTGTAAAATAAAGGTGGCTTATCTAAGCTCAGGCTCAAGCAGGTTCAGAGAGCTCAAGTGAGCAATACAAACAGGAAGGAACACTGGCCCTGCCAGGCATCATGCCATGCAGACCTGCCACCTGCTAGAGCTTTAGAGTAGCATCTCGAAGGTGTGGCTGATGCATCAGTTCAGGAGATGACCCCCCTGTAGGAAGGCAGCATCACTCTTCAGGATGCCACTTATACCTAAACCAGTGGTTATTATGTGGTGCTACATTGCCAATGGCTAGAATTCATGGATCCAGGAACCAATGGGAAGCTGTAGGAGCATATTCACCATTACTCCCAGTCACTCACATGGAGGATTGTGATTTTCTCTGCAATGTTAGGCATTCAGAGTCCAAGTCCTTGATCCCAGAACGGAGCTTTTCCCCCAAGCAATGCAGTAAGAGTTCCACTAAACTTAAAGTTATAGCTGACATCTAGTCACTTTGGGCTCATCATGATAGTAATCTAGATAGCCTAAAAAGCAGTTAAAATACCGGCAAGGTTAACTGACCATGACTGTCATGAGGGAGTAGAACTGCTACTACATATAAGGAGCAGGGAGAAATATGTCTGTTTGGCACTCAGGGCCTCTCTTGGTATTCATGGGTCTAGCAGTGAGTCAGCAAGTACAGCAGCTACTTCCTGAGAAGGACATAATGCTCAGAGCTCAGACTCTACAGGGACTGAAAATACAGTGCAACCATGTGAGCCACCTAATTGAGTAGAAGTGCTAGCTAAGAGGAGAGGTGTCTAAAATGGATAGTGGAAGATTATCAGCTATCATTTCAAAGCCAACAGCAGTGTGGGAACTGTAATTTATCCCACTAACTCTCCCATTAACTGTGACAAGGCTGTGCTTGGATGCAATAAACTTAATGGAAGGAAGCAGATACATCTGAAGAGTGCAAGAGGTGAACTGTAGTGAATGTTCCCAGACCCCTTAGTAATGCTGGCTGATGCACCCCCAAGCTACTGAAATATTGGCTTCTAAAAGCTCACAGCCAGTGGCCAAAGACAGGTGAGGCCAAATACATGCTACAATTTGTATTCCAGACCATCTCCAGCGTCTGGGCTGGCGCTGGCTTCTAGCCAAGATGACTACCTTGTTTCGCTTTCTTCCCTGCCTAACCTGCTTCCTTCATGCCCTTTCTTCTGAGATCCTCCCTTAATAAATCACTTTTTACAAGAATCCAATTTCAGTTTCTGCTTCTAAGGAACTCAATTTAACACGAAGGAGATCTCTCGAGTGTGGAAATAGGGAAAATAATAAAAAGAATTTCACATGGCAGATCAAAATGAAAGCCAAAATATTCGGGGACAAATGTTTTTTCATTGTCCTTTAAATTACTTTGGTTTGTTGTCAGTTTATCTCATGTAAAATACATTAATATTTACCTTGTAAATTTGTCATGAGGATTAAAGAAACAGTATTATAAGAGAGGCACCTGCGATAGTTTCCATCACATGTAGGCATTCAATGAAGGGTTGCTTGTATTGCTAATACTACTAGTATCCTCTTAAATAGTTCAAAAATAAAAACAAGCTTGCTGGTGACCAATAAAATCAGGAAAGCTGGAGCTGCATTGCTGAAAGGCTTGCTGAGAGTGGGTCTGCCCTGCTCTGCATGCAGAGAGCTTTTCTAACATTATTCTCCTCAGATGTGAAATGAGTTCCAGCTCACTAACTGTGGAGCCCCTGAGGTGACTGGCATCCCAGGCAAAGAGTAAAGGAAAGAGCTGTGGGAATGACTGCTGTGGCTCTGTAGTCACTGTGTTTTATACTTTATTTTGCTTTTGATGTAATGGAGCAAGCAGCAGAGAAAAATAAAGCCAAGTGCGCTGTGGTGGGAAGTTTCTTTCTGTTTTAGACTGCCCAGCTTGGGTGAACTATGGTGCACATCTTTTTAAAATTGGACAGCATCTTACTATACAGAGAATAGATGACTACTAGAGATAATGATAGGTAAAATAGATAAATACTATACTAACACTTTTACTGCTGTTAATGAAAAACTGTTCACCAGCCCTATTGTCTTTTGAGGTATCCAAAGTTGTCGTGTTAGAATAATTAAACCCAAAAGGTGAAAAGCTGTGAACCTGAGAAAATATGGATTTAAAAAAAATAGAAAGATTAAAATCCTCAAGGACAGGCAGAAAAAATGTACACAGTTCATGAAATGAGATTACTATAAAACGCTTTTGTCATTCAGAAGCATGACCCAATGTGAGCCAAATTACATACAAGAAAAATTAATATCATAGCAAAATTCCTGGATAATGGTGTGGCAGGCACTGTTGCTTGTTTGTTCATCAGCTATTTCCAACCCCATCCTCCCATGCTATCTTCTACCTAGGAGGCAATGCCAGATACATTCCTGCCCTCTTACAATGACAAGGAACGATCACATGAAACGTAAGACACTAAATGTAACAGAATGCATCGGTAATTTTCTGGAATTTTCTTTTCCTTTCTGATAAAAGAGGCACACCTGTAAGGAATGTTTTCTTTTGCCACACTCCCTTTCAGTTTTGACTCTGGTCTGGCTGTAAGCTATGGCATCCATTTTGAATCCATGAGAGGACATCAACCAACAAGCCAAGAATGACCAGACAGAACAACGGGAAACGTCTGGGTCCTTTATCATATATAAAGCCACGAAAAAAACTCAGCAACAGCCTCTTTTGAATGTCTTAAATGATGTAATAAATGTCTGCACAATTTCAGCCATGTCTAGCAGTCCACCGTGTGGCTCATAGCAGAAGGCATTCCATAGAGATACAAATAATTCCTTGCATTGGCATGGAAAGGTATTAAAAATCAATCCAGGCAATTACTAAAGAAGAGATTGATTCTGTCTCTACCCAGAAGGCGCAAGCAAGGCTTTCAGGATGACAGGTGTTACCAAGGAATACTCAGACACAAGGCATGTGGGTGGCTGGCTGAGTTCACAGGTATAGAGCCAACTGCAGCAGAGCCAGGCTGGCAAACATTTGGCCAAATAGACACGGAAGTTAATATTAAGGAATCCAAGGCAAAGGCCTAGGTAGGGGCCAAAGCCAAGACAGGATCTCCAAGAGAGGAATTGGCCGCAAGACAACAGGTTTGTGTGGCAGGGTCGGAGCCAAGTTTGGAGGCAGCAGCTAAGATTTTTCAAAGTGAAGTGATTTCTGCCAAAAAATCTTGTGGTACCAAGATGCCTTTTACGGAGTGGCCCAGGACTTCCCACACAGCCTTAATTTTAAAAATGTTATCTGAGAGGAACAGAATCTCTATAAAATTTATAGAATTGGGTCAGATGTCCCACCTCTGTTCCTTAATAAGCTCTTGAGTTCTTGCCATATGTTACAGTAGCTATGTGTTTTGTGTATCTCATAAGAAAGAATTAGATTCTCTGAGGACTGAAATCATGCTTTTTTCATCTTTGCACCCTCAATGACTAGCAGAATACTTAGTAGTATTTGATTCACAATTTGTTTGAAGAAGGATAATAAAAATGATAGTATTTATTGAGTACTTATAAGGTACCAGGCATCGAGAAACATGCTTTATACACAATAACTCATTCATTTCATAGAAATAGTCACAACCATTATCCCCATTTGACCAATAAAGAAACTAAGATTTATAGAAGATAAGTACATTTTCCCACATTAAACAACTAGGAAAAGTTAGACTGCATCTGAAACCAGGTCATCTCCCTCCAGAGAATAGTGCTCTTATGTCTAAATGGAGAGAAAGCGAGCACAGTAATTATTTAAGACACTACTGGGGAATAAGGTATTTTTCTCTTCTTTCTCTCACAAAGAAAAGGGGGGCTTTGATTTCTAGAACTTAGGTTTTCTCTTGCTCCTAAGAATAATTGATAGAAGAATGTTTTCAAGAGTCTAGACATAAAGGCAATGAAGGTAAGTAGTCCCAAGAGTTGGAAGGAGCGAAAGTTGGGCATCTTATGTGAAGGGCTTTGGGCACTGCCTGCAGCATCAGTGTAGCACATGGACTGAAGGAGTAGCAATGAAGATGGACACCAGAATCCATGGACCAAAATCATCTCTAGACATTCTGGCCCCTTGTGAACCCATATATCTTGCTGATCACAATGTGTGGGGAAAGAATCCTGAATGATGTCTAGTACAGAACTCCCTGTCCATTCCTACATGGAGGATCCAAGAGCCACTTTTAATCTGCTTTAGAAACATCAAGGCGAATTATGTTCCCTGAAATAGTTGGTTGTGTATCATATTTAAACCTCCAGCAGAAAGGAGGTAAGGAGAGAGGCAAAGACTCTTATGCAGGATGGGTAGGCAGCTACTTAATTTCCAACACAGGCTTTGGGTCTGTTTCAGTTCTCATAAGCTCTCACCACCAAGGCCTTTTGGGAGGGGCAAGTATAATTTCATCTCCAGAAATTCTTCATGGAAATATAAAAAATATTCCCTGAAAAAAAATCAGCTTGTAATTGAGTAGCTGAAGCAGGAAACATTGGCCTTGGAAAATGCTGAAGCAAGCGCAAATTTAGGGGAAAAAAGAAAAATGGGAAGGGGCATATATAAATGTATGAAAAGGGAAATTCCATAATTAGAGGAAGAGCCTTGAAAGCTGTGATTAAGAATATCTATCCCAGCACTCTGGGAGGCCAAGGCGGGCGGATCACAAGGTCTGGAGATAGAGACCATCCTGGCTAACATGGTTAAACCCCATTTCTACTAAAAAATACAAAAAATTAGCCTGGCGTGGTGGTGGGTGCCTGTAGTCCCAGCTACTTGGGAGGCTGAGGCAGGAGAATGGCATGAACCCAGGAGGCAGAGCTTGCAGTGAGCCGAGATCATGCCACTGCACTCCAGCCTGGGTGAGAGACTCCGTCTAAAAAAAAAAAAAAAAAAAAAAAAAAAATCTACAAAGCTGTGGCCCAAATTTTTTATTTGGTTTTCTGTGTAGTTAGAAAGAGAGGTGGCATCCTTAGTAAGTATCATTGGTTGATTTGTGTTATCTTTGTAGTAGATTTTCTAATATTATTTTAAATAAAACATGTGTAAAACTGTACTATAAAGCCAGCTGTTTAAAGCACCAGGCACTGAGAGAGGCAAATCTTCAGCCTTCGGGCTCCGGTTGTAGCCTCTGGGTTTCACATGAAACCTCCTGAGTTCTAGAAGCCCAGTGCTGGATTATTGATTCAATTGATTCAATAATGTTTATACTCTGACAACAAGCTACACGCTTCTCTGAGATCATAGTTATTTCCCTCAGACTATAGGAATTAAGATGACCCCTTGGGGACAAATGACTCCTTTTCTGAGAAAAGTTTCTGGCACTACAAGAATAATGTGTTAGAGTCATTCTTCATTTTTCTTCAACTTTTATTTTAAGTTCAGGGGTACATGTGCAGGATGTGCAGGTTTGCTGCATAGGTAATTATGTGCCATGGTGGTTTGCTGCACAGATCATCCCATCACCTAGGTGTTAAGCCCAGCATCTATTAGCTATTCTTCCTGAAGCTCTCCCTCCCACCACTCCACCCCTGAAATGCCCCAGTGTGTGTTGTTCCCCCAAAATGTGTTCATGTGTTGTCATCATTCAGCTCCTCATTCCATTACAAAGATACATGCACACGTATGTTCATTGCAGCACTATTCACAATAGCAAAGACATGGAATCTATCTAAATGCCATCAATGATAGACTGGATAAAGAAAATGTGGTACATATACACCATGGAATACTATGCAGCCATCGAAATAACTGAGATCACATCCTTTGCAGGGACATGGATGGAGTTGGAAGCCATTATCCTCAGCAAATTAATGCAGTAACAGGGTCACTGTTATAGAAACTGATAAGAGGACACCCTGGAGTCCTCTGAGGCTGATGTGTTCTGCATCACAACCACTCTCGCATCATTTGTCTTTCTCTTCTTTCCATAAAACCACTAGTTTAACTTTATTGATGTATAATATTTACTAAACCAAACATTTGTTGCTTCATTAGGGGTGCTTAATCTTCTCTTAATTCATTTCTTTTGACTCACTTGGTGTTATTCTATACTGACAATTTGCCATGATCAACACTGTGTTATATTTACTCAGTAAGGTATATAATACTAAGATACAACTAGATTCAAGACCAGAGTCCAAAAAGATTTTAAATGCCTGGACTAACATAATAAAATTAAATTATATTGAATGTAGCATCATATACGTAACTACAGAAAGGAAACACACAAAACAGCATTATAATGTTTCCACAGGAAAGGTATCTAAGAGGGCAAGCCCAACAATGCAAACCAGTTTCAATACTTTGATTGTGCCATATTTATTACCATCCTTTCAGCCAAAGGAAGTCACATGGTCAAGACCAAAGCCAAGGGCTGTGGAAATACACTCTATCCCCTGGTGGCCATGGCAAAAGTATGCCAATGTATGATACTACCACAGGGAACCAGGAAAAAATGAAGCCAATGATTTAGTCTACAACAAGGCCTCAGTCTTTTCATGTACAAAATAAGCTTAATACCAAGTATAGAAGGCAGAATAATAGCTACCCATGTCCTAATCTCTACAATCTATGAATATATTTCTTTACACAGCAAAAGGCACTTTGCAGACATGATTGCATTAAGCATCTTGAGATAGGAAGATTATCCCAGACTGGATAGGCCCAACGTAATCATGAAGATCTTTATATGGGAAAAAGGAGGGCAATAGAGTTAGAGAAGATGTAATAGTGGAAGCAGAAGTCAGAAGGATGCAGGGCCACAAGCCAAGGAATGTGGACAGCCTTTGGAAGCTGAGAAATGCAAGAAATGAATTCTGCCGTAAAGCCTCCAGAGAGGAAGCAGCACTGCCAAAACTTTGATTTTGGTCCCATTACAATCATTTCAGGCTTCTGACCTCCATAACTGTGAAGAGATAGATTTGCGCTGATTTAAGGCTCTAAGTTTGTAGTGATTTGATTTGTTTCAGCAGCAATAGGAAACTAATACACCGGGTGAGTAGTAATTGTTGTTCAGTCTCTTCTGAATATGGATACCGCAGGCTTTATTTTTCACATAACCAGCATGATTAATGTGGATGCCAATGACCATGTTCTTGATTTCTGGGAGAAATCATGAGTCTTGGGTCCTTAAAAAGGGGATATTTACTTGGGACAGTTTAGAAGCAACAGAACCTTGGGAAACTGGAGGGCATCCCTTCTGCTAGATGCGCCACAAGCATTGTGCATTTGACAGCTGTCAAAGGAAGGTACTCATGAGAGGGCATGTGAACCTGGCTCTTCACCAAAGGTGATACGCGAATAAGAACAGTTGCCCTGTGGCATGGATTAGTTCTGGGACCCTCATGAGCAGAGTTACCCAGTAGCCTCTCCCTGCTGACCCTGCTCTAGACCCTCCCCTCAATCTGTAGACCCCCCACAAGTTCCTGAGGTCACAGACCACCCAGCTCTTGTCCCCTTTTTAACTAAGATGACCCTCGTTAGTCTCCATTCATTTGGTACTCTAAGTTTCCCTATTCTCTTTCCACTGACCTGTAATAACACAATTCCCCAGAGCCTTCTCATCTGACAAAATCTATCTCTAGCAAATCAACACCTTGGTTTTCACTACTCTACCCTCTTTTGGGCTAGTCAAGCTTATACAGAGTTTTCATATAAAAGGGATCTTAAATTTCTTATAATTAATTACATAAAAGATACAAAAAAGAAGCAACTAATTATTTCATAGCCTAACTTTGTTATTTAAGAATCAAAAAAAGGGAATACTCCTATTATTTACTTTATTTGCTATGTAAAAGAGTCTATTACTTCACTCCTGATGCAATGTTCTAAGGCATAATTTATCAGCAATTAAATGAGATAATGAATTATTAGAAAAATAAAATTGAGCAAAGATGTCTCAAATCTTTATTGAGTAGATTTGTGCACGTAAATAAAATGCCCTTAACTGAAAATTTCTGCATGACATCTTATTCTGTTTATAATTTTGTAAATCCCTTCCAGGCAATAATTATTGAAGGATTGATACATTTATATGCTGTGTCAGTGTATAGACTATTAAATGTTTATATTACTTTTATACAAAATTTAAAATACTGGGTTTCAGAGAAAATATCAGCATGAGCAATATCTGCCAGCATGAGCAAGCCAGCAAAAGAACGTTTGCCTTGCTCAGCTGTTAAATTGCATTTTTAAGTTTTAGAAACATTAGGTGCTAATTCCTTAATTATGTGGTAATCATGGGCCACCCATAAGCATTCATTAAGCAGTTTCAAGTCATATTGTGGAATCTGTGACTTTGCTCAGCAGGTTGTTCTAAAGCCAGAATTCAGACAGATTCATAGGATTAAGCTCAGGGAATTACCAATGTTCCACAGTTTAAAATGTCATGATACAAAGATTCTGATGAACCAGGAAAAAATGTGATTTTCCAACTTAGATATTAATTGAACTAACTTTAGAAGGAAAGTTTTAACATGATGAGTAGAACTTGGATAAGTCGGTGCTAATGGTCAGAGTCACTGTTATTCACTTCTAGAGATTTGCAGGATCAAGATAAAAGTCATTATACAGATGAGCCTTCAGTTATTGTCCTTGAGACAGAACTCAACTAGAAAGAAAGCAAGAGCAAGCTAAAGAAAAAGATCCAAAATAAAATGATGGTCTAATAAGAGAAAGACTAAAAGGAGAAAAATATAAGCATTGGCCTGAGGAATGCATAGAGGCTGGTAAACCAACAAGAAAGCAGAAAGAGAGAATCTTCTGGGGATGAAAACAAAATCTTTTGTTTCTGAGTTCCTCCAGGAATTGCTTTACACAATCATTCACAACACACTGCTGGATAGTCCATGAAGGCAGGAATTGGGTTTTAGTCCTCACATTATCTAACATATTTTTTGTCTCACGGTAGATATGCAGTAAATAGTTATTAATGAATGATTGAAAATGATCAAAAGAAAGAATGGAATGAAGCAAGCCAGCAACACTTCGCCATGCAAACTCTAGTCCTGTCCGTTATGGGAAATCTCCAAACCCAAAAGAGATGGAGAAGAGGAAAATAACCACTAAGAGGGTTAATTCATTAACTCAAGGAAGAAAATTTATTGAGGTCCTACTCAGTATGTGCGCTAATACCATAAGCAAGAGCCAAGGATGGTATGTGCAAGGTGGTCACAGGACTCTAAGTTCTATCAGTTTACAATTCTTTAATTGTGCATAAATATCAGTAGTACCAACTCATCTTTGCTGCTTTTTCTTTCCTGCTTTTTACATAAGTCACTTAATCTCTTAGTGTAGTTTCTCGCATCATTTGGAATTGTATCAAAAATCCTAGAGCTTCTTTACCTACCTCTTAATATCTAAAAAGATAATATTTCCATTAATACATGATAGTCTTGACAGAACACTACATAAGAATTTCTCAGGATACATAACATTTTAAATCCTATAAATTAATGTTTCTGTCAGAGAAGAAGCTCAGATCATAATTAATTGATAATTAATTGATTAATAGTAATATACCTCACAGGGTTGTTGTAAGGAATAAATATCAATGCACATAAATAATGTCAACAGTGTCTAATATTCAATAAGTACTTAATGCTAATTATTTTCCCAGAGTGGTCCAAATGAACCACTGGGACTAAGGAGTCATCAAGAATATCACCTTGTTTTTACTGAACTATTATTCTATTATCGGAGTTTGATTCAGTGAACCAGAGATGCATAATAAATACTGCTGGAAAGGTGTGTTAACACTACCCATCCTGAGATAGTGAACCACTGTAAGCACCAGTATACTTGAGGTAAACAAGTCATCCTCTTTCAGTGTCAATCCTTGCAACCTCATGACACTTTAATCAAACGATGTTATAGAAATGATATAAACCTTTTAAAAATACAATTCAAAGCTGAATTGAAGCTATTTAACTCTGCAGAAAAAAAAACCTTTCTAGATGAAGATCAAATGTTCAATAAATGATAAATTGTAAAACCTGCTAACTAAATGTTGAAATTTCAAAAGGCCAGATTATATAATAACATGATATGTTTAGTCTTATTACATGATACATTTAGTCTTCATGTTTGTTATCATGACATTTCAAAACATAAAGTTGGGAGTTTATGCATATAGTACAACACTTTTGAAAACTGTGAAAGCCAAAACAGCAAAGGGCAGAGTTCTTGCATTACTAGCTTTGGGCCAGAGACTGGATTTCTCTCACACTTAGTTATCTAAAAACAGACATAATAAGAATAATAATAATAATAATAATAATAATAATAATAATAGTAATAACTTTTCTGTTCACTTTATAAACTTTTGGGCACAATTAATTAAAATAATATATGTGAAATCCCTGTGTAAAATGCAAAATAACATTTTATTCCTCATTACTGAAAAATTTTAGAAAAATTATTTACTTTCTTTAAAAATTAGCCATTGTTACTTCATGCTAAAGAAATTACAAAATCACCACACAGCTCATACCTCTCAGTAGCCAGTTGACATCATTAAATTTGAGGTATACTTTGTTCTTAGCAGCAAAATATTTCCAAAATCTCTCAGAATGAGTCCTTAGGTTTTTCCACAAACATACTGGTTTTTCCACAAACATACTACTTTTATTTCATTTGTCTTGAAATATTAGAATGCTTATAAATACAATCACACTAACCGGAAATATCCATGTACATACATAGACGGAGGTTATATGTTTAATTTGAGTTCCTAGAAAGGAAATGCCAAATTATAGTATGTGTTGTAATTATTTTCCTTCTTTGCACCTATTTATCTCTAATACAGTAATTTTAAATTTGGAGAAGGAAAGGAAATTAAAATTATGGAAATGACAGTACAATATTCTAACAGTTTATTCACACAGTTTGAGGATAAGGTCAAGAAAAAAATCGCTGTCTGAAATGTAATCTCATAAGAATAAATTATCAAAAATAAGCAGCCTTAATTATCTGCATCATTGACCCACTCTAAGAGAATTTGGAAATATTTTGCTGCTAACAGCAAAGTATATCTCAAATCCAATCATGTCAACTGTGTACTGACAGGTATGAGCTATATGTTGATTTTATAATTTGCTTAGCATGAAGAAACAATGGCTAATTTTTAAAGAAAGTAAATATATTTTTAAAATTTTCCAGTAATGAGGAATAAACTTATGTATCTAGATAGAGATATTCTAAGAGCAGAATTTCTTAAAGAGTATTAAAAAGAGACCAACTACATCAGAGTGTCCTGGTAAGATTTCTGGACCTGTTCTCAAATTAACTGATAAATTTGAATATTCATGGGAAACATGGCTGTTGGGATAACCTTTATTCATCTTTGGCTCAGAAAAATTTTTCTGATAATCTAACCTGATCAAAAGAATGAATAACAAGTCATTGCATATCTCATTCATTTTCTTTATTAAATATTGAAGAGATAAGGAACATTAATATTTTTATTTACCCTTGGGAACTGGATGAATTTCTCTTTGATACTCTAGGTCAATGATTCTCAAGCCTTAGTGCATGTAAGAATAACCTAAAGAACTTCTAGTAAACGCCTATTTCCAGGCCACAGTCATGGCTAGATTCTAGGTTTTCAGATTTCCAAATTGGCCTCTCTCGAGCTCTGTATTCTTGTTATCTCTGGGAGAGTTGGCAAATTCAACCACCTGGAGCTGAAGCGCCATAATCTAGAACAGCTAGAGACATTTTGCTTCACCATTAACCACTCTCTACAACGCCCACCTGAGCAGCCAGGTGGCCTTCTGCTTTTTGCCTCCTGGTTCATCACTACCTTTAACAACCTTGATTAATTTTGCACATCATCAAATACCCAGGATTATATAAGGTAAACTAATTGACCAATAAAATGGAAATTCATTCTGATATTCCTTTAATAGACAACTTTCTAAGTAAGTGCTGCTACAAAGTAAAAATATTTTAAGGCAAAAATTGCAATGACTTTTTTCTGTGCAGTTGAAATTTTTGCAGGACATATACCAATGTTTTATGAGACAGGGATAAAAGAGTGGGAAACTAATACAGAAGAAGCAAGTGATTGACAGGGTCTTTGAAATATTTTATTTATATTTAGGGTTTTCTTTCACGTTTAAGGTTAAGTGCTTTAAGGTTTTAAAACTTAAAAAGAAAAGCCTCACTGTTTCTTCAATCACAGTTCCTTGCTTCAATAAGATTGGCTGTGCATTGAAACCTTAATCAAATATCCAAGATACCGACTGCTCACTTTTTCCTCCCTGAGGGAGATTACTAAATTACATCCAGTCAAGTTTACCGCTTACTTTGCAAGGGATATGGAAAATATATAGGGGGAAAAGTCATATCTGGTAAAGGGTATAGGAATAACTGAATAATAACTTCTGCTTCTAGCCCCTGGGGCTTCTCTGTGGGATGCCTATGGGAATATACACTATCATCCTAAGACATATGCCTAAGATGTACATTACCCCAAATGACATACACATACCTTAAAAAGTGTGGCAAGCATCCAAATCAGATCTCTACATAATGTTGAGTAGGGTGTATTGCACAACTTTAAGGGGTACCATTCATGCAGACAATGGGGAATGGAGCTCCTTGGGCAATAATGCAACTAGCAGCCCTGATCCAAGTGTAGCCACTCCTTTAACTTATGTTTTGTCCTGGAGATACCAGAGAACATTCACACAATTAAGATGCTGCTGATGACAATGAAACTAAAGATAATGACCAAAATTTGTGAATGCCTACAATAGGCTGATGACTTTGCCAACATTATAAAGAAAGGACCAGATTGGTGGGCAGTTGGGAGGGATAGATCTGATTAAGTACCAGAGACCTTGAAGGACCTCTGCTAATAATCTTTATTGCTCTTCATTGCTCTAAAACAGGGAATACGTGGAATGGGGCTAAATTATTAGAAAAAGGCAGTTTTATTGCTTTTTTCTCAAAATGGGGCTATGGAACTATGCATAGAAAAATATGCAGGTAAATATTGTAAACTAATCTAGTGTTAAAATTTTGATTTTGGAATTTCTTCTCTTTCTTTTTTGTGAGTTTAAAGCACTGTCAGAGTAAACACATAGGGAGAAGAAAGTTTTTCTCTTGTAGGTTTTAAAGGCTTAAGATATTTACTCATAAACAATAAATTTGGGGGGAGATTTGAATAAACAGATGCAAATCAAAGTACTAAAACTTTTAGTTTTGTAAACAACCCTCCAAATCATAAGGCAATTCAAATAATAACAAACTAAGTTAATCATAATGAATGTAAACATTTTAAAACTTCATTGTTGCAAAAAATCTTGGTCTACTCCTTAGCAATAATAATTTCTGCATTTGGTGAAACTTGGTGGCCACTAAGATTGCCATAACCAAATAATCACATCTCTAGAAACTGAAACAAGATTGTTGCCAACCTAGTAGAACACAACATCAGTTTCTGATTTTCAGTCTCCAACCTCACCCCAATATGTAAAATTCTTTACCGGTAATTGCCATATATTAAAAAGAACCTTTGCTGTCAACTGTTTTTATCCTTTAACAAAAACTAATTTTTTAAATCCTCCTGATATTTTCAAATACTTTCTTTGAAATAAAAAATATTTAAGTACTTTCATTGAAATCCTCTCTCTTCACCACTCACACATTCTAATATAATATAGGGACATTGAATCATCACAAGAGATCATTTTATTTAAAAATTGAGAATATAAAAAGGAATTACAATGAAAAATATTGGCTACCTTAATGATAGCAATCATAAATTCCATTCCCGACATAATGATATCTGTTTTTAACAAAAAAACAAATCACTTTACCAATGCTTTCAAAAACTTGTTAACATTAGATCATTGTCAAAAGCCCCAATACCTGAATAATATATTTCTATATTACTCTGCAGAATCTATCACATTTAAAGTAATAAATGTTAAAAATTATTATACAAAATCTAGATCTCAGTCTGTACATTTATAGAGGAGTAATTTTTTCAAGCATCATCCTAGAATTTTTATGGGCAATTTAATAGAGAAATTGATATTGAATGAAGCCTGCAACCTCCTCAGGAATGGGAGGAAGTCGAAGTTAGTCTTTATTGCTGCACAACCTTCCAGTTGAACCCAACCTCGCTGAATTCATGCACTCAACATTTTCTGGTGTAAATATCTACATAAGTAATGATAAATGCTACACTGGTATTTCAAGGATAATAAACCAGAATTTAACTTTTAATCTTTGCTCAAATGCTTTGAACAGCATAGTTTTATCTTTTTCCTTAGCAAAGAAGTAGACAGGTTATATTAGTCATCACACACTGGAAGGAAAAAAAGACCACTTATGTGTTAGAAATTTGGCTTTGAGAACTCAGTCTATTTTCCCAAGCACAATGACCCAGTTTTTAATTGATAGCTGTTAGGACAGTATCTTAGGTGGAGGAGCGTCTCATGAAGCATGTAGGAGTTGCAAATAAGAGAGGCTTGCTTTAACTGGAGAACTGAGAGGTGTTCAGATGGTGAGTTAGGAACAAAGAGCAGGAGAAGGAAACAGCAATGACTTACCTGTAATACTTTGGTCAAATTGTTAAATAGAGCCTGGCCAGCACTCACTTTGTATTTGACGCCTCTGACTGTGCCATTTTTGCTTAAAATGTTGACTCTTCTTGTACCAAAACCCTTCTCACTGGCAGCCCTTGCTAACACCAGCAAGCTATCCTGGTCATTCTCATTCTCATCACCTTCTGACTCTATGTGGCCATTCTGCTGTCCATCGGAATCACCTAGTCCATCTATCCCACAGATACTGGCACATTCAGAATCCAGAGAGCCTGACGGTTGCCCATCTTCATACACTTCCTTCAGAACTCGCCCACTGTGAGAGGACGCGATCCGAAACCGGACTTTCCGTGGCCTGTCACTTTCTGGCTTCATCTCCCTTTTAAGCATGGTCACCTCCACCCATATGAACAGTTTACAGCATTCTGGACCCGTTGTTACTGCACTAGTCCACTTGCCAGATAGCAATATCAGAGCCAATTCTAGTGATGGCAGCACTCCTGTGAAACTAACATCAAAAGGAAAGAAGATTCCCAAGGACTTACAGTGTGTCTCTGCTATTAATAATAAATGTGTGTGTGTGTGCTATGGTTACCTTTAAACTAAAACCCGCAAAATGATCTCAGCCTTTAAATATTAAATAGCCATGGTGGACTCTTTAACAGGACAAGTGCAAGAAAGTGGCATGCAGCGAATCTGAAAATATGTATGGGGCAAGAAAATGAAAGGCTTGAACTTTGAAGCCAATGGTGGGCATTGAAAAGGACCTGAGCAGTGGACATGTCTCTACTATTCATTGTCCAAACCAGAGGTTAGAGGTAAAATGTGGAACCAAGTTTGTAGGATAAGAGCAGTCACAGTTTTCTCACAGGACTTATTTATTCTTTAAAGGGCAGTGAACACGCTGCATGCTGCATGCCTGCATAGAGCTATTACTATTAGTTCTTATTAAATCATCAGTTAGATTTCATCTACATTGCATAAGATGAATGTCCAACTTACATCTGTCTTTACCAAGCTAAAGAATAGCTTGGTAACAAAAATGCGATTTTTTAGCTTTTTTGAAAAGGAGAACTTTTGCTTTGTTGCTTTCCCCCTTCTGCTAGTAGAAAATGTTGTTCTCTTTGACAGAGAAAAGGTTTCAGAAAGAAAACATATGCAACAGTAAGGGAAGAATGGAAAAACCCTCCAGGCTAGCCAGATCAGCCAAAGCAATCCAGGTAATCAGCATTGATAAATATTATATCCAAATCACCCATGCATAGAGAAAGTTCCTCCTCATGCTGTGCTCAGTGTATTTTCTATCACTTTGGCAAGCACCTAAGGAACCTGTTACGATATATAAGGTTATATTGAAATGTACACTATAGTGAGTTCCCCAAGCTGTCTGCACCTCCTGAGGGAGGAAAGCAGCTTGCGTGCATAAAGTACCACGTTTTTAATTTTTATAGTTTTGGTCTCATTATGAACTTAATTTACATTTATTTTAGAAAATTCAGAAAATAATAGCAAGAAGTTGAAAATAAAATCATGAAAAATCTCACTAGAGATGTTAATAATTTTGTGTATTTTCTTCCAGTGTATAATGGCAGAGATGCTCCATGGCTCACAAAACCAGATTGCCCAGACTCTTGAATTTAAGGGAAAAGGGAACAAGTGCCTAGCTTTTGACAATAATTGTGAGCAAAAGTGATGCATCATTTACGCACCAAGTCAATTGAGACAGAGCCTGCCCTGTCTGTGCTATGTTTCTTCCTGCCTCAACTGCTAGCTGCATGGCCCCAGAGCAATCTGGAAGCACTACACTGAGCTTGTCAGAGTTACAGAGAAATTAACAACCACGACCACCCTGCATTAGATGATGTCATGGGAAAAAATAAGCCTTTATTGTGTTAAGCAATGAAGATTGAAATTTAAGAGTTGTTTGTTAGAGCAGATATCATTACTGAATCTGATTAATATGCTCTCATATACAAAAATATATTGCATTTATTTAGTATCTTGGTTTTTTCAGTCAAACTTATAACATGAATCATTTCCCATACCATTATTTCTGAAAAACATAAATTTAATGTGTGTATTAAAAAACCTACTGATAGCCATGTTGTATTTTACTTTATTCTTTCTGGATTGCTAGATGTTCATAATTTAAAATATTTGGTAAAATAATGCCATAATTAATATTCTTGCTTAAAAATCAGTGTACATATATCTGGTTGTTTAGCATAAATTTATTTGGGTAAAATTGATGAGGTAAGAATTTTTACAAATTTAAAGCTCTTGAAAAAAATTGTCATTTGCTTTTAACACAAATTGTATAACTTACACTTCTACTAGTATATGAGTGCCTGTTTTATTGCACTTTTGCCAGTGCCAACACTGAATACAGGCATACCTCAAAGATATTGTGAGTTTAGTTCCAGACTCCTGCAATAAAGCAAATATTACAATAAACAGTCACATGAATTTTTTGTTTCCCATTGCATAAAAGTTATGTTTATACTATACTATAGTCTATTAAATGTGCAGTACTGTTATGTCTTTATAAAATGCACATATTTTAATTTTAAAATATTTTACTGCTAAAAAATGCTAACTATCTCCTTAGCCTTCAGAAAGTCGTAATCTTTTTGTTTAAAAGGGGTCTTCCCTCCATGTTAATAGCTGCTGACAGATCAGGGTGGTAGTTGCTGAAGGTTGGAGTGGCTGTGGCAACTTCTTAAAATAAGACAACAACAATCTTTCACAAAAGATTTCTCTGTTTTATGCAATGCTGTTTGATAGCATTTGATCCACAGTAGATCTTCTTTCCAAATTGGAATTGATCCTCTTAAACCCTGCCACTGCTTTATCAACTAAGGTTTTGTAGTATTCTAAATTGTTTGTTTCCATTTTAACAATGTTCACAGCATCTTCACCAGGAGTAGATATCATCTCAAGAAACCACTTTGCTCGTCCATAGGAAGCAACTTCTTATCCATTCAAGTATTATCATGAGATTGCAGCAATTCAGTCTCATCTTCAGGCTTCACTTGTAATTCTATTTCTCTTGTATTTCCACCACATGGAAGTCATTTCCTCCACTGAAGTTTTGAACCCCTCGAGTTATCCAGGAGGGTTGAAGTCAACTTCCAAACTCCTGTTAATGTTGATATTTTGACCTCCTTCTATAAATCACAAATGTTCATAATGGCATCCAGAATAGCAAATCCTTTCCAAAAGGTTTTTAATTTACTTTGCCCAAAGCCAGCAGAAGAATCACTATCTATGGCAGCTATAGCTTTACCAAATGTACTTCTACAATAATAAGACTTGAAAGCTCAAATTAGGCTGGGCGCAGCAGCTCACACCTGTAATCCCAGCATTTTGGAAGGCCGAGGCATGCAGATTGCTTGAGCTCAGGAGATAGAGACCAGCCTGAGTAACATGGCAAAACCCCAAAATCCCCTCTCTATAAAACAAGACCAAAACAATTAGCCAGGCATGGTGGCTCATGCCTGTAGTTCCAGCTACTTGGGAACTGAGGCAGGAGGATCACTTGAGCCCAGACAGTCAAGGCTGCAGTGAGCCAAGATCATGTCACTGCATTCCAGTCTGGGTGACAATATGAGACCCTGTCTCAAAAAAAAAAAAAAAAAAAAAGGTTAATGTCCTTGTGTATCTCCATCAAAGATCTTGGTTGACCAGGTTCATTGTAAATGAGTAGTAATATTTTTAAAGAAATCTTTGTTTTTCTGAGAAGTAGGTTCCAACAGTGGACTTAAAATATTTAGTAAACCATGCTGTAAACAGATGTACTGTCATCTGGGCTTTGTTGTTCTATTTATAAAGCATAGGCAGGGTAGAATTCATGTAATTCTTAAGGGTCGTATGATTTTCCAAATAATAAATGAGCATTGGCTTCAAGTTAAAGTCATTAGATTCTAACAAGAGAGTCAGCCTGTCCTATGAAGCTTTGAAAGGATTTCTCCTCTCCAGCTATGAAAGTTCTAGATGGTATTGTCTTCCAATAAATGGCTGTTTTATTCACATTGAAAATCTGTTGGTCAGTGTAGCCATTTTCATCAATTATCTTAACTAGATCTTCTGGATAACTTGCTGCAGCTTTTACATTAGCACTTGCTGCTTCATCTTGCACTTTTATGTTATGGAGATAGCTTCTTAAGCCTACAAACTAACCCTCTGCTGGCTTCAAACTTTTCTTCTATAGCGTCCTCACCTCTCTCAGCCTTCACAGAAATGAAGAGGGTTAGGGCCTTGCTCTGGATTAGGCTTTGGTTTAAGGGAATGTTGTGGTTGGTTTGATCTGCTATCCAAACCACTCAAACTTTTTTCATATCAGCAATTAGGTTGTTTTGCTTTCTTATTCACATGTTCACTAGAGTAGCATTTTTAATGTCCTGAAGGAAATTTTCATTTGTATTCTCAATTTGGCTGTTTGGTGCAAGAGGCCACTCTTTCAGCCTATCTCATCTTTCATCCTGTCTTCTTCACTAAGCCTAATCATTTCTAGTTTTGAATTTAAAATGAGATACATGTGAGTCTTCATTTCACTTGAACAGTTAGAGGCCACTGTAGGGTTTCTAGTTAGCCTAATTTCAATATTGTTGGGTTTCAGACAATAGAGAGACCTGAGGAGAGGGAAAAAGACTTGGGAATGGCTGGTCAGTGGAGCAGTCAGAACCCACATAGTATTTATCATTAAGTTTGCTATCATATGGGTGCACTTTGAGCTGGCCCAAAACAATAATGATATTAACATTAAAGATCACTGAACACAGACCACCGTAATGGATATAATAATAATAAAGTTGGAAATATTGAAAGGATTACCAAAATGTGACACAGAGACATGAAGTGAGCACATGCTGTTGAAAAATATGGCACCAATAAACACTGAACACAGGGTTGCCACAAACCTTCAATTTTTAAAAAGTGAAATATATATGAAGCACAACAAAGCCAAGTGTAATAAAAAGAGGTACGTCCACATTGCCAATTTTCAATTCTTTTTATTTTGCCACATTGAAGAGCAGTATTTCATTGATGTTATAGTTTCCCAACTTTGAACACTATTGATGACTTTCATTCTAAATATTTTTTAAAAAGAACTCACATTGAAGAGAAAGATAGAAAATAAGGAGAATCTCTCCCTCACAAATAATCAAATTGGGAAGTAAAATGATAGAGAAATCTATGTAACACAGAGAGAAAGAGAGAGAGAGAGAGAAGATGGTTAATTTTATTACCAAAGGAAAATATAACAAACATGTCTAAATGACAGTGTAAGTGGCTTTATCTTAGTAATGTAAGAGTATGTAGTCTTTTACAAAGTATATAACAACAGAACCTAAGTGAGGAAACACTTATTGGGACAAAAGAAAAATAATGCAATTTTCTTTCCAAATATCCAGATCTTTCAGAATATACAGCAGTGAGTGAGGGGGACGTGGATATTTGCCTAATAAGGAAAAAAAAATAAAATTCTATGTTTGTACCAATTTTTTTTCATTCTAAGCTCCTATTTAATCTGCTCCAATTCCATCTTTCTAGTTTTTTGAGTTGGAAACAGTGTGTTGTATCACGAGCAAGATTTTGGAGTTAAAAACACCTAGGTTCATCTCCCAGCATACCTTAGTGAGAATGTTCTTTTTACCAAGCAAGTTTTCCATTTTCCCAGTAAAATAATGGATACAACAATATACCTCAGAGATTGTGCTTGCAAAGTATCTGGAACATATAATCACTTAACTCAATTAGCACATACATATACTGTGGCATGTATATATACTGTATAATATGTGTCCTCGGAATAAAAATAACTAATTTTAGCCTGACTATGGTAAGACAAAGGCTTGCCATGTGATCCAAGCTCACAGTCACAGATACAAGGGAATATAGATAAATAATGCAAAGAAATCAGAAAAACAATTCAAGATGCAAATGAGAAATTTACTAAAATGATCAATTTTTTTAAAAGAATCAAATAGAAGATCTGGAACTGAAGGATTTACTGAAGAAAAAACAAAATACATTTGAAACATTTCACAATAGAATAAATAAAGCAGAAGAAAAAAACCTCAGAACGTGAAGATGAGTCTTTTGAAATAATTCAGTCAGATAAAAGTAAAGAAAAAATAATTCAAAAGAATAAACAATGTCTACATGACTTATGAAAAACCAAAAAGTGAGCAAATATTGGAATTTTTGGTGTCCCAGAACGCAAAGAGAAAATGAAAGAGATAGAAAACCTTCTTAACTAAATAATAGCTAAAAACTTTCCAAGTCTAGCAAAAGATTAAACATCCAAATACAAGAAGCTCAGTTATCCCCAAATAGACACAATTCAAAAAGTCTTCTCCACAGCACATTATAGTCAAATTGTCAAAAGTTAAAGACAATGAGATAATTCTAAAAACAGTGAGAGAAAAGCAACTAAACACTTATAAGCAAACCTCCATCGGACTAACAGCATAAACCTTACAAGCCAGAAGAGAATAGGATGATATATCCGAAGTGCTGAAAGATAAAACACTGCCAGTCAGGGATACTATGTATACACCGGAGTTATCCTTCATAACTGAAAGAGAAATAAAGCCTTTCCCTGAGAAGAAAACTGGGAATTCATTATCACTAGACCAGTCCTACAAGATGGGGAATTCATTACCACTAGACCAGTCCCACAAGAACTACTTAAGGGAATCCTACACCTGGAAGCAAAAGGATGCGATCTACTGTTATGTAAGCACACAAATGTATATAACACCTACAGGTAGAACAAACACATAAATAAAGAAGAGGAAGGACTCAAATGTTAACTACAGAAAGCCACCAAACCACAATTATAAACAATGAGAGAAATAAAAGAACAAAAGATATACTTTTAAAAAGCCTGAATCAATTAATAAAATGACAGGAATAAGGTCTTACATGTCAATAATTACCTCGAGTGTAAATGAATTAAAGTTTCTACTAAAAAGATATAGATCAGCTGGATGCTTAAAAACACATGATCCTACAAGAAACTCATCCCACTTGTAAAGAAACACAGAGACTGAAAGAAAAGCAATGGAAAAACAGATGGCAAGCAAATTGAAATGAAAAGTGAGCAGGAATACCTATACCTACATGAGTTAAAACAGATTTTATATCTAAAACAGTAAAAAGAAACAAAGAAGATCATTATATAATGATAAAGAGATCAATTCACTAAGAGAATATAACAGTTACAAACACATCCACCCAACATTGGAGCACCAAGATATATAAAGTTGATATTATTAGTTATAAAGGGAAAGATAGACTCTGATACAATAGTAGTTGGGAATTTCAACACCCTACTCAGCATTAAACAGCTCATGTAGAGAGAAAATTAGCAAAGAAACATTACATTTAAACTGCACATTAAACAAAATAGACCTATAGGCATTTACAAAACATTTTATCCAACTGCTGCAGAATACACATTTTTCTCATCAGTACATAGAACATTCTCCAGGACAGACTATGTATGTGAGCACAGAACAAGTCTCAAAAAATTTTTAAAAATCAAAATCATAATAAGTATCTCAGATCATAGTGGAATAAAACTAAAAATAAGAGGATCTTCAGAAACAGTACAAATACATGAACATTAACAATACGACCATTGAGTCAAGGAAGAAATTAAGATAGAAATCAAAAAATCAAAGACCAATGAAAATTCAAACACAACATACCAAAACCTATGGGATAAAGCAAAATCAGTGCTTAGAGATGAATTTATAGTAACAAATGCCTACATCAAAGAGTAGAAAGTTTTCAGATGAACAATTAAACAATTAACCTCAAGGAAACAGAAAAGCAAGAACAAACTAACCCAAAATTAGTAGAAGGAAAAAACTAATAAAGATCAGAGTAGAAATAAACAAAATTAAGGCTTAAAAATTACAAAGAATCAACAAAACAAAAATTGGTTTTTGGAAAAGATAAATGAAGTCCAAGCACCGTGGCTTATGCCTGTAATCCTAGCATTTGGGGAGGCTGAGATGAGAGGATTCTTGAGCCCAGGAATTCAAAACCAGCCTGGGAAACATAATGAGACCTGGTCTCTACAAAAAATTTAAAAATTAGACAACTATAGATGCATACACCTGTAGTCCTAGCTATTCTGGAGGCTGAGGTGAGAAGATCACTTGAGCCCAGGAGTTCAAGGTTGCAATGAGCTATGATCACACAACTGCACGACAGCCTGGGTGAGAGCAAGACCCTGTCTCAAAAAAAAAAAAAAAAAAAAAAAAAAAAGAAACAGATAAACAAAATTAATAAAGCAGTAGCTAGACTAACCAAAAAACATGAGAGAAGACCCTAATAAAATCAGAAATGATAAAGGAAACATTACACCTGGTGCCACAGAAATACAAAGATTTTCAGAAACTATCATGAATAACCATTCACTAACAAACTGGAACACCTAAAGGAAATGTGTACATCTCTGGACACACACAACCTATCAAGATTGAATCAGGAAGAAATGGAAACCCTGAACAGACCAATGGTAAGTAATGGATTCAATAAATAATAAAAAAAAGTCTCCCAACAAAGAAAAATCTGGGACTCGCTGGCTTCATTGCCAAATTCTACCAAACTTACAAAGAAGAAACATCACTTCTCTCACACTATTTCAAAAAAAAGTGAAGGGGAGGAAATTCTCCCTAACTTGTTCTATGAGGCCAGCATTACCCTGATACTAAAACCAGGTAAAAGTGAAACAAAAAAGAAAACTACAGGCCAATATTCCTGATGAACATAGGCACAAAAATAACAAAATACTAGCAAACAAAATTCAACAACACATCAAAAAGATAATACACCACAATTAAGTGGGATTTATCCCAGGAATGCAAGGATAGTTCAACATGCAAATCAATAAACATGATATATCACATATATAGAATGAAGAACAAGGATCATGTTCAATAGACACAGAAAAAAAAAGTAATAAAATTTAACATCCCTTCGTGATTAAAATTCTCAACAATAGAGGCAAAGAAGAAACATACCTCAACATAATAAAGGTCAGATATGACAAACCCACAGGTAATGTCATACTGAATGAAGAAAAGCTGAAAGTCTTTTCTCTACTATCTGGAAGAAGACAAGGATGCCCATATTTGACACTCCTATTTAACATAGTTGGAAGTCCTAGCCAGAGTAATCAGGCAAAAGAGAAAAGTGAAAAGCATCTAAATTAGAAAAGAGGAAGTCAAATTGTCTCCCTCTGCAGGTGACATATTCTCATATCTATAACAACCTAAAGACTCCAACAAAAACTCTTAGATCTGATAAATAAATTCAGTAAAGGATAGAAAATCGACATACAAAAATCAGTAGCACTTCTACACACACTAATAAACTAGCTGAAGAATAAATCAAGATAGAAATCCCATATACAATAGCTATAAAAAATATAAAATACCTAGAAATAAATTTAACCAAGAAGGTCAAAGACCTCTACAAGGAAAACTACAAAGCACTAATGAAAGAAATTGAAGAGGACAAAAACAAATGGAAAGATTTTCCATGCTCCTGGATCAGAAGAATTTAATATTATCAAAATGTCCTGAAGCAATCTACAGATCTAATGTAATCCCTATCAAAACATCCACATCTTTGTTCACATAAATAGAAAACATAATCCTAAACAAAACAAGAGACAGAATAGCCAAAGCAATCCTGAGCAAAAAGAACAAAGCTGGAGGCATCACTACCTGACTTCAAAATATGACAATGCTTAATAACCAAAACAGTATGGTATTTGGCATAAAAACAGACACAGACCAATGGAACACAATAGAGAACCCAGAAATAAATCCACATATTTACAGCCAACTGATTTTTGCCCAGATGCTAAGAGCATACATCAGCAAAAGGACACCCTCTTCAGTAAACGATGCTGGGAAAACTGTGTGCAGAAGAATGAAATTGGACCCCTACCCTCACCATACATAAAAATCTACTCAATTTGGATTAAAGACTTAAATGTAAAACCTGAAACTTTAAAGCTACCAGAAGAAAACATAGGAAACACACTTCAGAACATTGGTCTAAGCAAAGGTTTTGTTACTAAGACCTCAAAAGCATAGGCAACAAAAGTAAAAATAGACAAATGGGACTATATTACCACAAAGCTTCTGCACAGCAAAGGAAACAATCAACAGAGTGAAGAAATGTCCTGTTAAATTGGAGAAAATATTTGCAAACCATTTGTCAGACAAGGGTGTAATATCCACACTAAGCATCAGAGAAATGCAAATCAAAACCATAGTAAGGGATCGTCTTATCCCAGTTAGAATGGCTACTATTAAAAAGATAAAAATAACAGATGCTGGTGAGGATTCAGAAAAAAAAAACTTATACCCTGGTGGTGGGAATGTAAATAAGTACAACCACTATGGAAAACAATATGGAGATTTCTCAAAAAACTAAAAATAGAAATACCATATGATCCAGCACTGCTGGGTATTTATCCAAAGGAGAGGAAATCAGAATATCAAAGGGATGCCTGCACCCCCATGTTTATGACAGCACTAATCACAATAGCAAAGATATGAAATCAACCTAGGTGTTATAAACAGATAATAAATGGATAAAGAAAATGTGGTATATAGACACAATGGATACTATTTGGCCATAAAAAGAATAAAATCATGTCATTTGCAGCAACATGGTTGGAACTCGGGGTCATTATGTTAAGTAAAATAAGCCAAGCACACAAAGACAAATATCAAATGTTCTCATTCACATTAAGAACTAAAAAAGATAATCTCATGGAGGTATAGAGTAGAATGATAGATACCAGAGGCTAGGAAGGGTGGGTGGGTGGAAGGGGGAGAGGAAAAGACATTGGTTAACAGATTCAAAGATATAGTTAGATAAAAGGAGTAAGTTCTAACGTTTGATAGACTAGGGTGATTATAGTTAACAACAATGTTATGTATATTTTGAAAGAGCTAGAAGAGAGGACTTTAAATTTCCTACCACATAGGAATAATAAATATTTGAAGTGCTGGACACCCTCAGTTCCTTCACTTTATCATTACACATTCTATGCATGTAAAAAAATATCATATATATCCCAACATATGTACAAACATATGTATCATTAAAAAAAGAAATAAAGATAAAATATAAATCATTACAAAAACTGTCAAGAAAAAAGTGGACAAAATGGGAAATGATAAAAGGAAAGAGCATACTTTAGACTAAATAGACATAGGAAGCCTCTCTGAAGAGAAAACGTTAAGCTGGAGTCTACCAAAATTATAAGAGATTGAACATGTAAAACTTTAAGAGGTGGGCAGGAGTACTTGGACATAATTTCTTAGCTGCAAGCGTATATGCAAAGGTCTTGAAGCAGAAAGCCAGTAAACTTGTTCAAAGAACTAAAAAAAAAAAAAAAAAAGGTAAGTGGCTAAAGATGAGTATGACTCTCATTCTACAAAGCTCTTCTAAGACAGGAAAACCAGAAAGATTTTTCCTTTCTAACCTAATCCTTAATTTATATAACCCCTCAAAATATAAAACAAAAAAAACTGTAAGTTATATTACCAGTACAGAAACAGTTAAAGATAGGTTTGACACCAATGGATATCTATTTATTTAAAATAGTAAATTCCAAAAGCTATATAGAGGGTAGAATGCTGTGTTAATCAAACTAGAACTACTTTGGAAAACACTATTAAAGATGAATTTAAAGATTACAAAGTATCTTTTCTTCAATTCTCAGTGTAAACAGTAACCTAACAGCTAGACCTAAACTTGGATATTTCTTGTTGGTGTCAATTTTCTAATTAGAATATCTAATTATTTATTTGCAGAGAAGGTATGACATCAAAATATGATTATTTATCTCATCTCCAAAATATTACCCTCCAGTACTGTTCTGTGTGTGATTATATTGCATGATGAGAACTAATTTTAACCATATTCCTGGCTTTGTTGTATAATTTTGTAAATCCCTTGAGTTATACTAAATATATGCAACGTTCCTCCATTTGCTACTACTTTATATGTATCACATTATTTTGTTTTTTCCTCTTGAAAACATTAAGAATAGATTATTGAAAGAAAGTAAAGCAGAAACTCTGCCATTTGGCAAAGCATTTGTCTTTTCTCCAGCAACATTTGTCACTGAAGAATCAATAATGACTCACTCTCCAAGTGCTGGCCTCACAACTTCTGGATGGATGGGGAGAACTCATAAATTTTTATTTTCTAACTACGTTGATGATTAGAGAAGAAAAAGATTTACTAGCCATCAGTAGAATAGGGAAAATAAGCTTTTCCTGAAACTTTGTGGCTTATAGAAGATTGAACCTTTCTTAATTAATACACATTCATAAATCAAAATTCACAGCCCAGTTGTTAATCTAAAGTGCAGAGAATTTCTAATCTGAAAAGAAGCTAAATACATTCAAGAAAGTATTATTTGGAGACAGGCTCTTTTTTCATATGATAAGAAAGATGGATGAATTCTTAGTTTATAGATGAGTGGTTAAGAATGTATTTGTGTACACACAATACAGGGTTTGAATCTTGGATCTGCCACCCTTTGAGAGATCTTGAGCAAATTGCTTAATCTCCTTAAGCCTTAGTTTCCTCACCTGTGCTATAGTAGTTCCCACTGCATACAGTTTGGAAGGATTGAATGTAATGATGTATATGAAGTGCTTAGTGTGGTGTTCAAGAGGCAATAGCTATAATTTTAATCAGTTACCTAAAGTAGCTAAATACACACTCTTTGGAGGACAGCGAGAAGAACGGAGCTAGGTGAGCATAATTAACTTCAACAGGGAATCAAGATACGCTCCTGGCTGGGCACGATGGCTCACACCTGTAATCCCAGCACTTTGGGAGGCCATGGCAGGTGAATCACTTGAGGCCAAGAATTCAAGACCAGCCTGGACAACATGACGAAACTCCCTTTCTACTAAAAATACAAAAATTAGGCGGCGTGGTAGTGCATGCCTGTAATCCCAGCTACTTGGGAGACTGAGGCATGAGAATCTCTTGAACCCAGGAGGCAGAGGTTGCAGTGAGCCAAGATCGCACCACTGCACTCCAGCGGGGGTGACAGAGCAAGACTCTGTCTCAAAAAAAAAAAGATGCACTCCTACCTACCTATTTTTGGTCTGATTTTAGGACTTCAAGGTTTAACCAGTCTGTCATCACATAGCCCCTAGAGAAGTGCTCCAGCTAGCCACAGCCTCATTCACTCTGTACATCTGTGTGCTGAGTGGTTACTATATATGAAATGCTGTGCTGGGGGCTGGGAATTTCAGCGCTGGATTATAGGCTGTCACTGTGGAACGTGAGGGGGCATGGACTGCCGCAGAGTCCTGGGGCTGCTCCACTGTGAATGTAACATGCACACAGCAATTCTGTTAGTTAATTATCTAAATTCTCTAAAAATTAACACAACCACAAATCAAGGAGGATCAATAAAGAGTCCCCTAAGCAACAGCTTCCCCAAAATAGACTTTTACAGTTCATTTTCATCTTTCAATCCTACATTGTATCTTAGAGAGTGTTTTGCATATAAATAGTGCTTAGAAAAATATTTTCTGAATCAAAATGAACTAAGTTAGATTTTAATGTCAGAACCAAACTGACCTCACACTTAGGAGGGAGGGAAATAATTACATCTGTCTTTTTTTGTCTTGCTTCCAGTTTGCTAGGTGATAAATACCATTTATTTACTTGTCAGGCAAAATAACTGAGTCATATAACATTGATCCCATTAAAGTCACAACCTACACTCCTTTAGAAATTTTTGAATGCTAGAAAGCAAATAGTAAACTCTGCCTATAGAATCCAAGTTCCAGAAACAAAAAAAATCAAAGAGCAAGGAGTCAAGTGTACCTAATTCAGTGTTGAAAACTTGATTTGGCTACCTATAATTTATATGATCCAAGTGGCTTAAATATCCATCCCTCTTAGCACCAAGTAGCTACAAGCCCAAGCATAATTCTCAAGCATGAAACAATTCTCACGTATTGTGTGGCATAGATTCTTCAACCTGGAAGGAAAAAAGAAACATATCTTTTATGTCCTTCTTAGACTATCACTATGTAGATGTAAATATGTTTATGGTTATAAGACTTTTAAAATAACTGCATTATTACTCCAGTATATTAGTATGTTGGTACTAGTATATGGGTTTCACATCTCTTAATTCCCAATAAAGAGATGATCAATGAATGGAATTATGTATATTTTCATATGACACATGGGAAGTTTGTGTCTCAAAATTCTGCTTGGAACCACACCAATAGTAAGTACAACTGCCATGGACTAGGAAAAAGTTCATATATGGTGAATGAACAAGTCATTCAACAATAATGATTAATGAATAAAGCACCAGAAATATTGAGTCAGACCCAGAGATAGTCAAGATATCCTACTATATATCATGAAAACTAGGGTTCATTCTTGAGTTTCTGCCAGAATCAATACAGAAAGAAGAGAACAAGGGAGTAGAGTCGCATTATTAGAAATGTCAGCCTACGAAATGAAAAGCAGCTTTCAAATCAACAGCAGATTTCAAAAGAATGTCAGTACTGAATGTGGTAGCTTGAGAGTGTAAGTCCCTAGAGTGTCAAGTCAATTTCTTTCTCTATAGTGAAAACGTGGTTGTAGAAAGTGCAAATATCCTTAAGAAATTTCACAGCTACTGAGATAAAATGGCAATACTCTCAAGGGCTGCCCTGCTGATAAGTTTTCTTAATCATGTTTAAATTGATGAAAAAGTAGAATGTTAAGAGAAACACACAAAACTAACTGGAAAATACATGATAGAGAAATCCTTACCCTAAAACAACCTTCTTGTTTTATTGCTGTGGCTAAATTTCTTTTCAAATCACTGAGAGTTTAATGTATATTTTCCCAATAAATGCCACAAATTTAAAATTAGTAGACACTGTGCCTTTAAAGTATCACAAATTATATTTCATAATTGTGTTGTTTATCTTTTCTTGAAAGAGCATGATGCTCAAATGGCGCCCTGGGACATTCTAATTCTATTATCCTATCATCATTGCCAAGGTAGTCGTGGACTTGATTCTGACGTGTGAGATGAAGGTTAAAACTGGCGAGCAGAGGGAAAATAGGGACCGGGAAGCCAGAGAAAACCTGTGCTCATTTAGAGATCGAGAGATGTCTTCCCTTTTTTGGTGGAATTGCAATTTTGAGTCTACAAATAAATGAGAAAGTTTTTTTGAGAGCATGCAAAAGAGACCAATGAGAGGTACCCAGAAGAGGCCAGTGAGAGGAAAGTTCCCCCGAAGAGAAAGCATGATGAAATATTGATTATGAGCTCTGTGCCTGGAAAAGCACATCACCCAAGAAACTATAGCTTTCAGTTCTTGAAAGTTCTTGAAAGTTCCAATTACACACTGAAGAGAGGACTTTTGAAGAACATTAAGATATCTTCATCTGCCCTGCAGCGCCTCTTGCAAAATGAGTTAGTACAGTTTCCAAATCTTTGCATATGTAAACTGGGAATTGTAAAATAATCTCACTGATTTGGTTTTTATTTTCTCTGTTTCCCAAAGTGCTGGGATTATGGGTGTGAGCTACTGCACCTGGCCACAGATAGAATCTTTTATAGTATGAATATATCAGTCATATTAGAAACTAAGTAAATTTCATTGATTGTTTATGTTAACTGCTCACCATTAGAAAATATTCATAAAGGATATTTGAGACAATGTTTGCTGTCCAGTAGTTTATAATCTTACATTCATTACAAAGAGGAGGAAGTGTGCACAAATTGAGTAAAAGGTCATTCCTGTTGGCTAAAAACAAGTATGAGAGGACATCAATCATTATACCTCCTCTGCCTCTTTGCTTTGCACAAATTGCAGTGTACAGGTATCACTCCTATTTGTGGCTAAAAGAAGTATTGGTGGAGGGAGGGAAGAGACAGTATTATTGTATTTTTTCAGGGTCAAGCAGGGAAGCAAAAAGGACATTGATGAGTTCAGATGGTGGGGTGCAAGTCAATGATGAAGACGATATTTTGTATCTGTCTCCCTCTTGGAACCTTGGAATGGTTTAAAGCCCTAAGATTACAGCTGGAAATTTAGAGCCTCTTGGAAGACTCTGTAAACTCTCAGAATAAGCCTTGATGCTTTGAGATCCAGAGAATAAAATAAGACAAGGAGTTGAGGAGAAGACCATTGTCCCCACTTCTGTATGAAAACTCCTATATCTCTGACACTCTAGGGATTAGCGATCCCTGGGAGCATTAGAAGACAGCACCCTTGGCATGGATATTGTAGCTTTGCAAGGGGCAGAGGCAGCAGTTGACATCCATAAGTCATCTCTAGGCAGCTCCAGGTGTGTTGGGTACTGCTAAGCATGAGCCAAATGCGGAAAGCCTGCCACATGGGGCTGGCCTCAGAATATTGTGTGGTTTTCCATATGAGACTCACTGCACTCTCCCTTTCCTGAAATCATGGAGGCTTTGGAGTTGGGGAACCTGAGGCTCTGCCATCTGTCAGTTGAAAGTTCAGAGCTATTGTAATTTAGGAATCATTTGTTCCGCCAGGCTATGGAATCCTGCAACATATGTTCCCCAGCACATGCATGTGAGAAGCTCAATCTAGAATGCTGTTCAGCTACTTAAAGGAGAATCCTGAGGATCTTAGCACTGTTGAGTATTTATTCCCATATTTTATCCATTCTAAAGCATGCATTTTGTCTTCACATTTTAACAACTCTGAAACTGGTGCACACCTGATCCTCAGATCAGTCAGTGACAGTCATGAAATAGTTGTTATTGCCTGCACATTAAAGCTTAGACTGGGTGTCACTGGCTTTGAAGAAGATTCCAGAGACAATAGCAAAGCACGATTTTAAGAAATGCTGCATCATCAATGCCCTCGATTGCAGGAAGAACCAACAGCATTGAGGGAAATAGCACATACATCAATAACTCTAAGTGGAAAAGTAATTCGGAAAACTCAGACTGAATATGAATACATTTAGGAACATTGAATAAATTTACTTTACATTTATTTGCCTTTATATATATACTCAAGAGTGATAAATGAGGGAAATCTATGTATAAATACATTCAGAAGAGCTTTTTTGCACATGTTTAAAATAAAAATTTCAAGTGACAATAAAATACTGCCTCATGGTTAAGTTAGTAGGGTTTTTTCCTTTCTTAGTGGTTCATAAAATAAGGATGTATCTTTCAGCTGATTGCATCTTAGATTCAATGAAACATGGGCATATGCCACAATACTCATACATATGTAATCTTTATTTAGCGTCATGCAGCATCCAGAGGAACCAGTAATAAATAATTTTATTACCAGAAAGGGCACATTCTTAGTAGCATATCATCAGGAACATACTGGGATCCAGATGATGGGCCATTCATTTCTTTGTGATCTCCATAGGGTCATCTTTCTCTCCAATAAAACCAGCCTTGGGAAAGCATTCAGGATTTCCTTCTCCCTGCTACCCTCTTCCTTCTCTGCCTCTCTGCCCTCCTGCCAGGGCCCAAGCTTCATTTTGTTGCCACTCTGTGGGCCAAAGCCACTACATCAGTCTCCACTCACCCCTATACAGGAACGGGCTCCAGTCTTGTCAATATTGATCACATCTCACAGCATAAGTATGACGTTTTATTGTAGGGGAAATCCCCCCTGGCAGGGGTGAGGATGGAAAAGAACAAATAGGTGAAACAGACAAAGAACAATGCCTGTCATAGGTGAAACAGACAAATAACAATGCCTATCACTTTATTTAGTCTCATAATATTTGTGATAATAGTGAATTATGAAACACAGATTTTACAGATGGGAAAACTTGCACTAAATGTTTGAGTCACATGCTAATACTAACATGGACCAACAGAATGAGGATCTCCAGGATCACATTAGCTGTGGACTTACAATGGGGGGACTAACCTTATATTTTACTTAAAATAGTACTAAGCAATACACAGAGAGAGTGTTAATAATGACCTTTCATATATGTCTACAAATGTTTGTTTACAAAGAGTTTATGAAGGCTTACTTATAGGGGAACTAATTTAAAATAAAACAGCTATGATTATTTATATTCATATTTACTCTACCCCATTCTGATAGGGATTAAAAGAAGCCTACAAAAATGCATATGAGGTAGCTTATATAGCAACATAAAAATAAATTACGTTATGAAACAACTAAAGAAAAGGAGACATAGGAAAAATAAAGATAGAAGATAAATATTAACATATTCGCTTTCAAGATTGGTGAAAGTGAGGCACCACAAGATAAAATTAGTCCCAGTTATTATGTTATTCCTGCCAGTCTGTGTCCTATATTAATGGAGCATTTGACTTGAAGTTGAATGCCAGTAACTTTTCAAAAAGTCAGAAAATCAATCTTCATCTTTATCTTTTCACTTTTCCCTTTCAATTGCAATTGTTTAATTTCTCATCCCATTAATTTATTCAGCATACATGTTTTAAGCACATCTCATGTACCTAGCATTGCCCTTGGCCCTGCCCATATGTATATGAACAAAGTCAATTCTCACCCAACCAAAAAGTGGCCTGCTCAGCTTTTTCCTCTTCAGGTTACCGTGCAGTTCAAATACCAACACAGAACTATTTGAACATGAATATTTTAACCTCCCAAAGTTTGTAAGCCTACCTTGAATCATTTGTGTGTAAAATAGTGGTATTCTAAAAATAGAGTTTCTTCAGAGAAAATAATTCTCTTTGTTCTGAGTAAGTACACAGTAAAAGAATGAGATATTTCCTAGTCTATAGTCTGCTTTCAGCTCCCTTCTTAAGGAAAGTAATTGTCCTTCATAAATAAATTATATTATTCTGATGCAAAGCACAGTGCATAGCAAATTATATCCTCTCATCAAAAAATAATATTTTCATGGAAGCTTATTTCATCTTTTTCAGAAGTTTCTCATCCCCCATAAAAGTCTAAATTTCAAACAAGTGCAGAGAGTTACATTTTAGAAAGGAATTATTGTTAACACCCTCATCCTGTTTGTTTCATACACTTGAGTTTTTGGAATTCCTTTTATATATATCACTTTGTATTCTATATCATAGAAAATTTTGAAGTTAAATGTTAAAGACTCTTTTAAAGAACAATTCTTAATCTAAGTGTATGAATCTATTTAATTTGCGTATGCTAAAATAAATCCTTCTTCATAGATCTGTCTTGTTCAGCATGTCAATATTGAATTCTCCAAAGTCAATTTGTGGAAAATCATTGATGATCTAAAAGTATCATCCTAGCCCTTAAAGATTTGTATCAGAGATGGCATAAGAGAAGGGATGAATAATCGATATGTACATCAAACACCTAAAAATATTGAATCACTATGGAATAGAATGGAGTGTAAATATTGGCTTAAGTCCCCTAAACTGCATAAGGAAACCTGCAAGGAGGTTTAGCATAAGAAAAGTAAGCATATTGCTAAAACTGAAGGATTTTATTTTTAAAATTCTATGCTACTCTAAGGTAATTCTGGCTAATGAGTCTAGGCATTTAAGTTTGGTCTCCCTCTGCAAAAGAGACATGATATTCCTCATGGCTGTTTTTTACTTCCATTGACTAAATGTATGCACAGCAACATGACTGTCATGGTATATAATTGCTCTGGAAGTCAAGTTTTCATTTCCTGTCAGTTTATCATTTTATTTATTGAATCATTTATCTTTTCATTCAACATTTCATTAGTTTCTTCTAACTAAAGAGTTGTACTTAGAAACGCTCCAAGATTAGTGAAAAGTGGATCCCTATTCATGTTCAAGTGTCTGTGGATTATTTAATTATTAATTTGATAATTATGCTGCTTTACTGGAGTCTTGTCTGTGTCCTATATTAGAAGTATGTTTTACCTAAATATAACAAAAAGGATCTCAGTAAAACAAATGATGATAGTACAATAATGAATGTCTGGCTTTAAATATAGACATTAGTATGCTATTTTAAAACATGAAGAAATGTCCATAGTAAAACAGCTTTACAAGTAAATTACATAAAAGGAAAATTTCTGTTTTTAATACATAGAGAAAGCTAATTAAATACCTAAGTGTCAGAGAATGGAGAATCTTCCCAAATTACTGATGGGCTTGTACACTGATATAGATATTCTGGATCCATGACCCAGCAATCCCACTCCTGGGTATGTAACCAAAAGAAGTTGTCTCACAGAACCATGAGGGGACATGTATGAGGATACTTGTTTCAATATTGTGTGGGGTTGTGGGAACCTGGTAAACAACATATTTGTAAACTGCTTTGTAGAAATGGGACTCAATAAACTGAATTTACACAAACCCAGATAAATCCTTAATACTTTGTATTGAATAAAATAATTTCAAAATAGAATGGGTTCTAAAGGTAATAACATATCTTTTACATAGAATAAAAACAGATTCATGCATGAAGCAATACCACATATTCTACAAGGGTATTGTAGAATATGTACAATATTCTACATATTCTACTGAATATAAGTCAAATATATATCCAATAGGTATATATAAAATAGAGGAGAGAAATAGGAGTGAGAATAAAGAATGAAAGACAACAAGGGGATTTCCATGGACCAGAAATGATAGTTTTCCATGAACAGTAGAGTACAATTAGTTCACCCCACTGTGCTCAGAAAATAAATATGTGATTACCTGTGGTTGCAGTGTTATGGTTAGGTTTTACTTTTTTGTACTTTTCTGTATTTTCAAATGAGCATGTATTATTTTTATATTTAATGAGCAAAGCATAGTTGTTCCTTAAGTTTTTCTAGTCACATAAGTATAATTTACATACATTAAAATTCACCCTTTTAATGCCACAGATTGATGACTTCTAACAAACATGAACAAGATTGCTTAGATTTTTAAGTGACTTGCTTCAACCAAATTTTCTATACCCAAAGATAGTGCTCTTTCCACTACATCAAAATACTTTGGAAGATCACTCAAAAACTTTCGTTCACTTCTGTTTGTATTTCATAATACACCACACTCTTTTTTGCCTTGAAAAATTAATTACTATAATAAATGCCTCTGTAGAACTGCATGTGGGAGGAAATCATTAGACATGTCCTTTGTTAGGTGAAACAATGGAATTGAAGGAAAATAATTTTCAGCAGTGAAAGAGCAGAGGACCAGGCAGGAAATCAGGAAACCATAAGCCTGACATTTTCTTTAGTGTATTTTAATGCCTAGCCTTTTTTTCTGGATAGCATTTGACCTGTCTTAAAAGTATGCGAAGGTAAGTCTTCATGTATTTAAAATCATGCCATTCTAGCAGGAGTGACAATTTCCAATTCATTTATGTTTGTTTTTCTTTTCACTTGCCATGGATAGTTGTGAGGCTCCAGGGAAATTTTTGGTGGAGCTAGGAGCAGAGAAAAGCAGCTAGACAGACACGTAAAATAAAAGTAATGTTGAAGGGTAAGAAAAATGAGCTGCTCAGGTCCAACTGCCAGTGCATGGTTAATCTGGACACAGGAAGATGGATATGATATGAGGTCAGCCACCCAGAAGATGCATGATATTCCTACAGCTGTTAGGACATTGTCCTCAACTACACTGGCAACAGCTTGTAGTCTAGCTTAGAAATCAGATCTCCCTCACCCAAAATAAATTAATTAACATCCACCCCTTTGAATTAAAGAGCCCTGTCTGCCTGCCCAGCTTCTGTCAGCGTTCCTTCTTCCTTATTGCTTGTGCCTTCTCTGAGCTTTCCAATTGCTCTCAGAGCTGCCAAGCAGGCAGTTCCTGTTCTTTAATTCAGTTCTATCATGTCAGCAGATTGCAATCAAGCCCTAATAACATTCTACAGCCTGTGGAGACATTAGCTGTCCCTAAAGCCCAGCTAACTTTTTGTTACAGGCATCTGTTCAAAATAGATCAAAGACTGCCCAGGCCCAGTCTGCACAGGACATACACTCCAAAGAAGTGTCAATGAGAGGTCACAGAAACTGGGCTGTCAACTTTAAGTTTATTCCTTCATTTGGGTTTCTTATTTCTGATAGAAATTTGCAAAGATCATCAAGCGATGTTCTACAATCTAGAAGATGACTAAGCACAGTTGAGACGAAGATCTTAAGAAGCATTTTCTACTACGTTATCCAGGTGGCATTCAACTCATCATAAAGTTATATGATCGTGAGATTTGGCATTCGTTTTCTGCTTTAGTTTCCAAATAGCTCTCATATGCTGTGTCTTACACATCAGGTGGTAAAAGCAGAATCTGAAAAAGTCAGTTTTGCAAAATGATCACTCACAAAACTTCTTAATGAGAGAAAAAAATAATTTTCAAAGAGGTGATAATGTTGGCAGCCAAATACATTGGGGTAGGCTGTGATGATTCCTGAATGACCTCAGACACACCAGAAAAGAACAGAAGGATGAAACCAAAATCTCTAGCTTCCCAATTTGGCTTAATACCAATTATAGCAAACATGTCAATTTGCCTCCTGTACCAAGTCCCCTCCTGAGAGTATCTGCCTATATCATCACCAGATACGCAGCCAGAGGTCACAGAACCTACTTTGACCTCCGGGAACCTCTGACCATATCCTGATCAATTCGCTTGTCTCTCCAGGGAATTTCTAATTGAGATGCAGTGATTTTCATCAGTCTTTGTGGGCAACTAGAATTCAGGGACTTCCCTGGAGTGATAATTTTCCACTATGTACATAGATAAACTGAGAAAGTTGTTTATAAATAGAGGAAAAAGGAGATGCACACATCTAGAGGAAAACAGAAGCAGTGTTTAGGGGGCAGTGGCAGCACAAAGAGAGATTCCTTGGTTCCTGGTCTCATTCCTATTACTGGTTCCAGTCCCATTCTAGTAAAAGGCAGTTTCCCAGCCTACTTTTATCTCTAGACATCTTGAGAGACTTGGGATTTAATGAACCTTCACTGAAAACTAATGCTCAGCTTCGAGCAGGCTTCTGTTTCACATCCAGACCACAGCATTATCCTTGCAGTTCTTCTTATCCAGACTCTCATTTGACTATTCTGTTAATTTCCCTTCTTGATTCCCAAGCTCACGGTGCTTTCTTAGTGTTCACAGCTTGGGTGTTAGGATTTCATCCTCTATTCCAGATATTCTAGCACTGGGTCAGTGTTTTGCAGGATTACAGAATTTTATAGGTTCCACAAAGCTCCCTACTTCGTGTGTTCTAGTCTGAAAGCTTTCCAAAGACAGAAGCAATTAATCTACTTTATACAGCATCTAGTCTGTGAGGCACAGTGGAAGAACCATGAATTCAGGAGCCAACTGTCTTGCATTAAAATACTGGCTCTGATTCCAGATGTTGGGCTTTGACAAGTTTCCCCCTGAACTTCCCTTTCTTTGCCTAAAAAATATTAGGTCTAATTATAGAAAACTGTGATTTCTGCAGGTCAAAATGATAGAGCCTAAGTAACTTCACACAGATCCACCTAATAGCATATACCCATCTCACAGGTACGTGAGGAAGTATCTGGCAAAACATGCCCCATGAATAATGATTGTGAATCTTAAAATATTGCTGTTTTTGTCATGTGCCACAACATCTTGTGCCCACAGGTGCTTTATGGTGATGAAGAGGAGGAGGAGGAGCCAAACTGCTAGGATCCCCAGCCTTCTAACTCCAGAGTCAGTTTCTTGACAGAATATGATCTTACTGGGCTGAGCAGGGTACGTGTAGAGCAGGAGGCAACAGGAAAGCAGCCAGAGGGTGCTCAATAAGATGAATCATGACACCCAACAGCAGCAGGGTGAGCACCCAAAGCTGTTTGAGGATACCAAGAGGGCACCTAGAAGCAGAGTCTCCCTTGTACAGAAATTGGAACACCCAGAAAAGAGAGGCAGCAGTTATCCCACAGAAGCCATCCTGATTTGGTCAAGCCAAGTCACTAGACAGAAAGTGTTTCTCAACATAGAGTCACAATTAAGCCCAGCCTTTTTAAAAGCAACCTCCTCATGAAGCCATCTCTCTCAGAATATAGTTTGGAAAAGGCTGCCAATTGACCAGCAAGGCTTCTACTCCTACGAACAATCACCTGCATCAGTGGTCAGGCTCCAACAGGGCAGTCCAGACGGTCTTCAAAGACTCGTCCTTGAGGTAGCATTCCTAGGAAAGGCAACGCCATGGTGATATCCTCTCCTTGTTTTAACAATTATAAAATTACAAATATCCAATGCCCAGTCCAGGCAGAATGGTTCAAGCATTCCCTCTTCCTGGTCCACTTTGCCTCAGATAAACGCACCTCCTGCTCTCCAGTATCTCCTGGTCCCTGCTCAAAAGCCACTCTCTCTGGAGGGGAACCATGCATTACAGGTTGCCCTTGGAAGTCCCAACTGATGCCTGTTATCCCAGAGAAATTACTCAATAGTGCTTGCTTTCATACTCAAAGTATCCCCATTAGACAATAAATTATATCATCACTCTACATATCACTACTGCCTTCCCCTGAAAATAGATAAAATCATATTCCTCTGTCATTATTTCCCTTAACCTGATGTATTATTCTTCATATTTCACATGTCTTTGTGTCTTATGGTCTGCATTCCCCCACTGGAATGCAAGATGCACTAGAACAAAGACTTAAACAATTTTGATAAATGCCACATCCCAGCAGTGACTGGCACCTGGAAGATATTCCAAAAGTGTTGAATGAATTCTAAAAATGAAGGAATTAGACAAATTGCCTTTCTAAAGATTAATATTAATTTTAATTTTCCAGTGAAATAATAATAAATTTAATTGACTAAGTTCATACCAAATCTTTTCTTAAAATGCTTTGATATTGCAACAAAGCACCATGTTTTCGCCAATTTGTTGTCTTGATGTATTTCTGCCAACCTGCTCTGGATCCACCGTTTTCCACATAGTCAATAGAATGCCTCATCCATGATATTTTTTAGCAGGTATATTTTCAATTTGCTTGCCTTAGCCATGCCTCTTCACAGATCTGTTCCAGCAGCTCTACCAAGTGGGCAGTGGGTCATATAATCCTGCCCTTTGGGTGACCCATCAAATTACATGTAATTAGAAGAGAAAACAAGATGGAGAAAACTGCTGCTTTGATTCCTGGGATTTCCAGCTCTGGACTCCTTATGAGTCCTGGCATTATGTTCTGGCATTATGTCCTGCCTTGTATACCCCTAGTTAATACCCCTCTTTACTTAACCTGATTTGAATAGCTTTCTGTTGCTTACAACTAACAACCCCAACTGAGGAAAATTCGCCAAAATTCACCCCTTTCTTAGTATAACACACCACTCAGGCTTAAACTCCCTGGTGCTCCCTTGTAAACAATCTCAGGTATGTCCTTTCTCCTTATTCTCAGAGTATCCACTTAAGCCAAATCTTCCTTGCAAAAAGAGACCTGCACTCAGAATTGGTAGGTCTGGGTTTATTCCAAATTTCCCTACTCACTGGCTCTGGCTCCTATGTTGTTAAATGTAAAAATATAAGCCAGAGACTTTGAGTGGATGAACCAAGAGCAGCAAACCCAACTAGAACAATTAAGTGGATTAATGATTGTTTCTTATCCAATAAATTCACCCTGCTTAATAAACTTCTAAGTGCACTTTACCCATCAAAGTGTTTCCATATGGCTAGATTGTTTTTTCTCTTTTACCTTTTCATTTACCTCATTCCCTATTCCCATTTTCTCTTTCTATTTGTGAAACATCTTGTTTCAGCTTTCTCCACTTATGATTTTTATTCCCTGGCACCTGGTGAGCATATGAACAAGTTCCAGTTTTAGAAGGTGGCACAGCTGGGCTTTTATGGGAAATGGAAAAGGACAAAACCTCCTTTTGACAATCTGCAGAGCTCATCTGGCTTTTTTGACTATTGCTTTATGTTTCATTTTTTTAGAGAACTAAATAGCATTCTCATATCAACAAAGCACATATCAGTGGCCCTGAAAGCAATCCCTTATTGTAAAAGCAGGTAAAGATAAATAGCCCGACTTGTACATTTCAATATTTTAAAAATGAGCTCTCACCTCAGAGAACCATTTCAGACCCCAAGTCTAGGTCATAACTCAGTCAATGATTCACTGCATATGGTTATTCAAAAGTCTGAGTTTCTTCAACTGTATCAATGGTTCCTAACTGTATCAAAACCAAAATCCTCTGTTACACCAAATATTTTAATATCTCTTTTTACTATTCTGAAAAGAACTGCATAGACGCTATATTCCATCTACACATTAATAACACTTTTTTCACAGTTTCTTCTCTGTAATTCTAAAGCCCGATAAGCTCTGAAAACTGAAAACTTTTATCTAAGTTTGGTGCTAAACCTCACATCACTGCGTCTCCTCAGCTGAACTGATGGGGGCAATTTATTCTATTTATCCCACCTACTTGTAAATATTTGCTACAACAAATTCAATGTGTTTGGTTACAGGGTGCTCCCATATTCCACTGAGCGTTACATTATATTAGGTATTGTATTAGTCCATTCTCACGCTGCTAATAAAGATACCCAATATTAGGTATTGTATTAGTCCATTCTCACGCTGCTAATAAAGATACCCAAGAATGGGTAACTTATAAAGGAAAGAGGTTTAATTGACACATAGTTCAGCATGGCTGGAGAGGCCTTAGGAAACTTACAATCATGGTGGAAGGGGAAGCAAACACGTCCTTCTTCACATGATGACAGGAAGCAGTGCCAAGCAAAAGGGGAAAAGTCCCTTATAAAACCATCAGACCTCATGAGAACTCACTATCACAAGAACAGCATGAAGGTAACCACCCCCATGACTCAATTTCTAGCAAAGAGATTCTGTAAAGGAATCTTGGAACTATATAACCTACCTTCACACAAAGCACAATCTAACACTCTAAGTTTACCATGAAGAAGAAATAAATGAATACTAATTTATAAGAAGCCATATATTTTTGGCTGAATTATGACCCCCCCTCCCCCGACTAAAAAATGCATAAGTGGAAGCTGTAACCCTAAGCGTCCAGACTGTGGCCACATTTGATGATAAGGTCTTTAAAGAGGTATATTAAAATAGGGTATTTAAGGTGGGTCCTAACCCAGTATGATGGGTGTCCTTACAAAAACCGGGATTACGACAGAGACAGAGAGACACTAGACATGTGCGTGCACAGAGACAACCATGTGAACACACAATGAGAGGGTGGCCATCTATAAGCCAAGGAGAGAAGCCTTAGAAGAAATCAACCCTGTAGGCACCTTGATTTTGGACGTCCAGCTTCAAAAACTGTGAGAAATAGAATTTTCTGTTTCAGCCATCGGTCTGTAGTATTTTGTTATGGCAGCCCTAGCAAATTAATATACCTTATATATTTCATTATGTAAGCAGTTAGACTTGCCTTACACTGGAAAATGTATTATAGTGGCCTGATGCCTGCACCAGTACAAAGAACCACTCATTACTGGGTATGACAGGCAAACTCTCATGGTTTGCAAACTGGCACCCATGCAAATTAACAGGTGTGTCATGTCAACTGCTCAATTGCATGACCAACATTGCAGTCTGCAATCAGTGACATGATTTTCTGAAATGATGAATAACTTTTGGTAAATTGCTGAACAAAACAAAATGCTATACTCTTCTTTTAATTTACATGTTGTAAACACTTTGTATGTATATGTCAGATGGAATTCATTTCTAGGCTAACATGAGAATTGTACAGGTTACAGCATATCTATTTACTCTCCAGGGCTCTTCCACACATGACAGGACATCTAAAATGCCTGGATCCTACTTTACTACATAATAGTGGTAACACACCCCTCCCACAATCACCTACCCAATCTTTTCACAACCAGAAAACATGCTGACAATTTCCAGAATAACCTCCAGGGGGCAGTGCTTTCCTTACTGAGAACGGTTGAACTAATTTATCTTCTATTTCTCCCAGACCTCTCCAGCCTTAGCAGAATTTGGAAAAGGGGTTAAGTTGGGCCTAAACCCTAACCCAGGCCATTTGGGGTACTTTAAGATTCTCAAATACCTCCCTTCCCATTACGTCTCATCCAAACGGAAATTCTGATCTCATGTCTGTTAACAGCATCCCTCCAGGGACCTGCGTACCCCTCCTGCCTCTCCTCCAAGACGCTGGTTCTGTTCATCTTTGCAACTGTTAATTCAACTCATTATATGGAGCTCATGTCATGCTAAATAGGAGAGATTCAAAACTCTATAAGCTCCTGCCCTCTAGAAACTTCTAGTATAATTTGACAGACAGCATAATAGAGATCAATGAAGTAAAGAAGAATACGGAAATTAGGTAGATATGATGCCTAACAGACATAGAAGGTCAGGGAGAGCATCTGCCAAAAAATTAATCACATTTACTGCTGTTGTAATTCCCCTGAATGTTGAAGAAAACCCTTTATTGAGGAAAAAATAAATCTAAATAGATATGTCACTTGCACACTTAAAGAAAAATGATTTACTCCTTTTCTTAGTTCCATCATCAATGGAAAGAAAACTGGATAGTAGTCCCATCACACAAAAACATGTTTTTTCAACATCTATAAATACGGATTTATTGCATACCTGTAAATAACCATAACATATTATAAGTCATTTTTATTTTTTTCCCAAGTTAGGCAATAGATTAGAAAACAACTCAAGTATTTCCTTCTCAAGAGTTAATATTCCACATATGCCGCTGGGATTTCTCATTTTCTATATAAGGAGGATATACAGCTATAACTTAGCATATGTGTATTCAAAAGCATCATTTGTCCAAATAGATGTTTTTACAGATTTTATTAATTATCTATTCCATTTACAAATAAAAAGTAGGTGGGAGGGCAAATTAAAAGCTCAGTAGTAGCAACTTACTGTTCAATAAATAGGAGTTTTTAAAATAGAAATGTTCCTACTAATTTTTTGTTGTTATTTTACAAAGAATACCATAGCTGGAACATCTGACTGAGAAGTTGCTTCTCATACTGGAAAGATATGAAAGTATATTCCATTCTCAGAGCTTATTTAGACAGTTTAGCTGTTTACTACTTTGAATGTCAAAATATTCTTGTTCTTTACATTTATTTATTTATTTATTTTATATTTTATTTATTTATTTATTTATTTATTTATTTATTTATTTATTTATTTTGAGATGGAGTCTCGCTCTGTCGCCAGGCTGGAGTACAATGGTGCTATCTCAGCTATCACTGCAAGCTCCGCCTCCCAGGTTCAAGCAACTCTCCTGCCTCAGCCTCCCAAGTAGCTGGGACTACAGGCACACACCACCACGCCCAGCTAATTTTTGTATTTTTTTAGTAGAGATGGGGTTTCGCCGTGTTGGCCAGGATGGTCTCGATCTCTTGACCTCGTGATCCGCCCGCCTCAGCCTCCCAAAGTGCTGGGATTACAGGCGTGAGCCACCGCACCTGGCCCCTTTTATTTGTGAAACACATTTTTCTTAATTTTTCAGAAGTCAAATGTTATAATATTACATTTTGAAGTCTAATTGAAGATTAGATCCTGGATACTTTGTGTAAGTTGAAGTGAGAAATTCATTCCAGCCTGTATAGGTGTACTTCTTACTGAATAATCTCCATTCTGGATGCTTCATAAATAATAATAAACAACAATGATAAAAGTCACATTTTGTAATTTCCTATATACAAAAGTAATACTCCATATGCCATCTCTTTTAGTCCTAAAATAAGGCCAGGTAATATCTAACATTGTCCTCATTTTATGTATAAGAAAACTGAGGTTTAAAGCCATTAATACTTTACTCAAAATCATTAAAGCAGAGCTGGGATTCAAATGGTTGAATCTTGCATTTCAGCTTATAGACCTCATGGCGTCAGAACTGAAAGATCAACTCTTTAATGTCCCTTTCTCTCAAATATCTGGCTGGAGTAAGGTTTTTGCTTCTATCACTAGAAAATGCCTCTTATCCTTAATGTTTCCTTTATCTATGACCAGCACTTTCCCATGACCTCTGTGCAATAAAAAGGTTTCATTCAAATATCTCTTAAGAACCTTTTGGGAGTATCACATGGAATAAAATAAAATTCCCCAGAGTGGAGAATGGCAGCACAAATTCACTTGGTAGTGGTAGACCTTTCATAAGCTGGATGCCAAAATGTTGTGATATTTATGAAACCAGAAATTAAATACTACAGAGCAATAACTACTATTTTACAATTTATGTGGCTGGTTTCATATACCATCATCCCCAACAACCATAATTTGTTTTCCATTTCTGGAACATTTGCACCTATAAAGGCTTTAAAAAAAAACCACTTGGCTAAACTGATAATGTACTGGCCCAGTTGTGAGAATGGGCTGTGGAAAATGCTCATAAAATATCAGAACTAGAAAGGAACTTAGAGGTAAAATTTAGTCACATCCATTTTCAAAGGAGAAAATCAGGGTGGTCACAAAACTAGCTAGCGACATCACCCAAACTAAGACCGGCTTTAGTGGAGACACTGTTCCATTACCATTGGTTCATGGTATCAATTCTCGATAGTGCCTATGAGATCATATTTACACTCTTTTAAGTTTTAGGTTCACTTTATTGCTCTGCCCTGTTCATTGTTGGATATATAGTCACCTGAGGCTGTAAGTATTGTTGTAGATCCTCTTTCCTATTAGTTTCTCCTGATAAATGCTGGTCACCTGTTTCTCTATTATTTTCCCTTCCATTCCACACCTGCTGGGCTCCACAGCATCTGGCTCTCCAAACTCACCTAGTCATTTGTCTTTCTCCCTTCTCCAATTACAATGCAAAGTTTTTATGTGCTTTTATTTGGAAAGACAAGAATGAAAGTAAAGCCTGATAGAGGCCAAGGAAAAGGTCAAGACCAAGGAAGAATGTCATTATTCAGGCTGGCTCAAAGAAGGGACTTGTTGAGGAGAGGAGAGAGGAAGGGATAAAAGAGACAAAACTAGGAATGGACAGCATCAGGGTTGGAGAAAACAGATCAAGAGGCGTGATCAGTCTCCAGAAGTGTGTGACAAATTCATCTGACATTCAACGACGCCTATATCCAATGAAGAGTGGAGCAGGTGGGCCCAGCAGCAGCAGAGTCCAGGCGGGGGTCATTTTAAATGCAAGGCTAGGGTGACGTAGGGGAGAGGACTGGGTCAGGATTCTGAATCATCATTCTTTAGTAACAGACTCCATCAAGTGCCCCAGAAAATGGGAGATTGTGTTCAGCCACAAATAGTAAGGAGAAAGCTAGCAAGTAGCAAAAGGTAGGCCTGAACTAGGCAGTTTCTGAGGCCCGTCAGAGTACATAAGGATTCAGGACTAAGCTCCAGTACTAGCAGGGACTGATGTAATTAACTTGAGATAGGTAGAAACCCAGTTGCATGGAGAGGGCCAACAATGTAAAGTAAGGCTACAATTCAGTGTCTAGTGGGGGCTTGTACAATTTTGTGGCTTTTGGCAGCAAAACTGTCTTGTCCTCTACTGATTGCTGGACTAAAATCTCCTACTTTAGTCTCTACAGTGCCATGTTGGCTCTGGAAATGAGTGGCATCTCAGTGCCCAAAGCTGAGCTAGGGAAGGCTAAGGTTGACCCAGGCCATGTGTAGCATACAAACCAATGTCAGAGGAGACAAATACATTGATGATAAAGGGAAACATGGGAACTGAATGAATATCACAATATTAACATGGGAGCAGACATGCTGCCCACAAAACAACTGGACTTTGAACTAAGGCAAAGTGTGCTTTGAGAATTTTCTATACCCTTCTCCATAGAACAGGCACCAAAGTCTAGCTTCATGGAATCTAACGTTTGCAGGACCAAGCAGTCCATGCTTGGAAAATACAACCCTTGCAGTATCCAGCACGCCCTGATCTCCTAAGAGAAAGACTCCCATGCAGTCCACTTTGGAATTACTTCCTCCATCTATGAAAATCTAAGCCCCTCATCTTAAGCACCCTACAATGCATGATTACTTCTGAGAGCAGCAGGCATCTTCCCACATATGCCGCAGATCACAGGCAAAGCCAACTTTTAAGTAGTGAGAACCACTTCATGCCAGGATCATCTTCACTATACATTCTCACATCATTCACACACAGAAAGAGATTACAACTTTCCTAAGGCAAAGACATTAAAGTAGAAACAAAATTAAAGGTGTGTTTTCAACCATCCTCCCTTTAAGAAGATAGGCACAGGAACAAAAGGCAATTTGCTATAGTAAAGAAAAAAGGATATCACTAAGGAATTGTGTTTATTTTATAAGAACTTTAAATAAATAATGCTGAAGTTCTATTTTTTTTTTTTCAGATGGAGTCTAGCTCTGTCACACAGGCTGGAGCGCAGTGGCACAATCTCAGCTCACTGCAACCTCTGCCTCCCGGGTTCAAGCGATTCTCCTGCCTCAGCTTCCCAAGTAGCTGAGATTACAGACATGTGCCACCATGCCTGACTAATTTTTGTATTTTTAGTAGAGATGGGTTTTTGCCATGTTGGCCAGGGCTGGTCTCGAACTCCTGACCTCAGGTGATCCTCCCACCTCGGCCTCCCAAAGTGCCGGGATTACAGATGTGAGCCACCGCGCCTGGCCTAAAAACCTTTTTAAAACATTATAATGTACAGGTAGACTCACAATCACCTGGAATCTATCTTCAGATTTGCGATTTCAGAAATTCTATTTCATTTCTGAATTGACAGGCTGAGAAATAACTTCATTTTCATTAACCCTGACGCCAGGTAGAAGCCAGAAACAGAAATACGACCCCAAGCAGGAATCAATATACCTTCTCTTAATTGAAATAGATATTAGTGATTCTGAAAAAACAAAAGTGCTATAGACGAGGAAATTGAAGAGTTTTCCTCTAATTTCCTCTCTTTTCTCTCAGCCTATGAAAATACCCAAGACTATCCATCCTAAATTAAACATGATGCTCCCCAGAGTTGTATCCTTGACTCTCTTCTTTTGCTTTTTACTTTATATATTTCTACACAGCAGACCACCATTCTTGGTGATGACTCCCAAATGTGTATCTCCATTTCTGATAGCTCCCAGAACATGGATCTGACTGCCTGCTAAACAGTTCCATTGTATCCTCATGGGAACCTAGAACTCAACATATCCAGCATTGAATTTAATCACATTTCTTCTTGCAAAACATACTCTTAATTCTATATTTTGAATTCTCATTAAAGACATCACAGTCAAGCAATCCAAGTCGAAAACATAATGATCACTCCAAATTTCCCTCATAATCCCACTACCCATAGACGTATCTAGTCATTTTCAGATGTTCTGATAATAAATCTATGCAGAAAATCTGTGTAGCTACTAAAACTGAGTTTGCAAAGTTCCAGGATCAAAGATCAATGTTAAAAATATCAACTGTATTTCTATATACTAGCAACAGTTGGAAACAGCAACTTTTTAAAAAATACAAGATGTGGACTACTTAGGAATATATTTGTTAAAGTATATACAAGACCTAATATTGAAAACTACCAAATATTAAAGAGATAAATTAAAGAAGCCCAAACTAAGCAGAGAGATACAACATTTCTGTAGGTCAGAAGACTGAATTTAGTTAAGTTAGCATTCTTAAATTGATGTAAAGGTTTAACACAATCAATCAAAATCCCAGCAGTTTTTTTTATGGAAGTTGACAAGCGATTCTAAAATTCAGTTAGAAATGCAAAGGACCTGGAATAACAAAAATAACTTTGAAAAGGAACAAAGCATTTTACCTTACTTCAAGACTTTTTACAAAACTACCATAATTGAGACTAAACTATTAACTCCAAGGTAGATAAATGAATCAATAGAATAGAAATAGACCAATCCATATATAGTCAATTGATTTTCCACAAAGCTTCATACACAATTCAGTGGAGAAAGGATAGTCTTTTTAACAGATGTTATTAGAATAATTGTAAATTTATACACCAAAAAAAATCTTCAATCCATACTTCATACCATATACAAAAACTAACACAGGAATGGATCATATATATAAATGTAAAATTTCAAACTATAACATTTCTAAAATAAAACTTAGGATAAAATTTCTGTGCCTTGGGTTAGGTACATATTTTTTAGATAAGATATCAAAAGCACCATTCATAAAATAATAATAAATTAGACTTCAACAAAGTGAAGAATTTCTGCTCAGCAAAAGATATTGTGAAAAGAATGAAAAGACCAAACCATATATTAGGAGGAAATATCTGGAAGTCTCATATTGGATTAAGAACTTTTATCCAGAATGCGTAAAGAGCTATAATAACATAATAAGAAGAAAACAACCAGTTTTCAGAAATGGGTGGATGATTTGAACAGATACTTTGCCAAAGACAATTTACTGATAGTAGGTAAGCACATGAACAATACTCAACGTCATCCATCATTAGGGAAATGCAAATTAAAATCATAATGTGATACTACTAATCACCTCTTAGAATGTCTACAATTAAAAACCATACCAAGTATTTGCCGGGGTATTGAACAACTGAAAGTCTGTTGATGGAAATATAAGTTGTCAGAACTACTTTGAAAAATAGTAGGACAGTTTCTTTTTTTTTTTTTTTTTTTTTTTTGAGACGGAGTCTCACACTGCCACCCAAGCTGGAGTGCAGTGGCGCAATCTCAGCTCATGGCAACCTCTGCCTCCTGAGTTTAAGCAATTCTCCTGACTCAGCCTCCCAAGTAGCTGGGATTACAGGCACCCACGATCATGCCCAGTTAATCTTTGTATTTTTAGTAGAGACGGGGTTTCACTATGGTGTCCAGGCTGGTCTCAAACACCTGACCTCATGATCCACCCTCCTTGGCCTCCCAAAGTGCTGAAATTACAGGCATGAGCCACCGTGCCCAGCCAGGACAGTTTCTTAAATTAAATACACACTACCATGTAACCCAGTAATTCCAACACTGAATATTTATTCAAAAGAAATAAAGGCATATGTTCATATAAATAGTTGCACATGAATGTTTACAGCAGCTTTATTTGTTAGCCAAAAACTAGAAACAATCCAAATGTCCATCAACAGGTGTAGGAATATAATAATTGTGGTCTATCCTTACAGTGGAATACTATTTAGCAATAAAAAGAAATGAGCTACTGATACATGTATCGACTTGGATGAATCTCAAAATAATTATGCTGAGTACCTCATTTTTGTTTTAGCAAACACACATGTAAACCTAACAGAATATTTTTAACAAATAACTACTCAAAATTACTATATTCTGCACACATTATACCTTATGATTTCCTACCTTTCATCTAAATGAATATGCCTGCATGGCAAATGAGTCTTATAGTATTATATACCTGAGGACCCCACCCTACCTCAGTGTCAGCAAAATGCTATCCTCAAGTCTTATTCCCAAGCAGAAGATCATTCCAATTCTCATTGTTTACCACCATTAATTTCTAATATATTAAAAACGATTGAGGTTGTTTAATAATAATATTTATGAGTGGATTAAGACATTCAAACTTCTGAATACAGCCTGTGGTATGTGTTTTGGTGAGCAGAGGACTCTCGCCCTGAAATTGGACTCCATACAACTTTGCAACTTCAAAGTTTCCAAAGCTTTTCACATACATGTCCCATCTGGTCCTTACAAAAATCTCATATGTAAGATAAGTGAAAAAGGCATTAAAACAGTTATTGGTACATGGTAAACATTCCACGGATGATAGCTACTACTACCTATTTTTATACAAATACTTAAATTACATTTCAAAAGATTTTTTCAGTTCTAGTTCAAATTACCCAAGAATTATTGGTTTCTTTCTTAGAATTACAGCAAATAGTCCTAATATTGTTCTGTATGTAGCAATTTCCTACTTAGACATAAGCCTTTATTGACAGTACTGAAATGGTAATTTTTACTAGCATGTAAATTTTCTGAAGAAGAAAATATATAAGCATGGTTTTCCTGTGTGATAAGGAAAGTTAAAATACTTTCTTACTTCTGAAATTTCCCCTTTCTTATAGCATTAGTGAGAACCATTACTTTCTTATAGGATTAGTGAGAACCACTACTAGTGAGAACCAGCCTACTTTTGATATCTACTTGGAGGAAACAAGCCAAATTTCCTATGAAAATCTAAATGTCATCAGTCCAGGTAATTTTCATTCTAGACACTACTTTCAAGTTGATTATATTTTTATTATGATACCATAGGGGACATTTTAGATCAGGAGTGAAGCAATATGCCCATTTATACTTTTTGAAGTGACAATAACCTTCCACTTCTGATTCATCTTCCTTTATTGCCTCAGATTCCTTCAGTGAGAATTGCCTCCAAATGTTCCATTTCTAATCAAAACTTTTCATATCACTCCTAGGGGGCTAAATACATTTTTAATTACTCTTAAAATTGATTTATAACATTATAGAATTTCTTACAGCTGGTTCAGTCATATTGAAATTTGTGGCCAAATTTTCTACCATCTGGAAAGGTGATGTGCAATTGGTTGGTCCCTGAGTGTATGCAGAGTATACATGACGGCATTATGTTCATTCTTTTTAATTTTCACTTTATCAATTTACTGTTCTTTGTATGCTTTCAAAAAGTCTTATACTTGATATTAGTTTGTTCAGGTTGCCATAACAAAGTATCACAAATGTTGCCATAAATAACCAAACTCTATTGGCTCACAGTTCTGAAGTCTGGAAGTCTGAGATCGAAGCATCAGCAGGGTTGATTCCTTCTGAAGGCTGTGAGAAAGAACTTGTTCCATGCCTCTCCCCTAGTTTCTGGTGGTTGTTGGTCATATTTTATGTTCCTAGACTTGTAGATACATCACTCCAATCTCTGCCTTTATCTCAGATAGGGTTCTCTCTGTGTGCATGTCTGCGTCCACATTTCCTTTTTTTAATGAGGACACCAGTCATATTGGATTAGGGCCACCCTAATGACCTCATCTTAATTAATTAAATCGACAAAGACCCTGTTTTCAAATAAACTCACATTATTAGCTACTACGGGTTAGGACTTAAACATATGAATTTTGGCGAGACACAATTCAACCCATTAAACACATTCTATATAGGAAAGTTTGTAGCATACTTTTAGTACATTTACGTTTGCTTTCTTCATGCCTTTTTTTCATACGATGAAAGCTTAAAATTTTTAAGACCATCAACGATGTGGAACGATAAAATAGAAGTGCTTAGGTTAAGTTACTTCAATGGGGCTAATGTTCAGCTAATTCTTACAGACTATCCTCTCTGTTGAACTAGACTATACAATCACACTGAAACAGGGACAGTCTATGCCCACCCTCCCTTTCCTAGTACATTTTGTTGTTTGCCTGCTACTTTCTAACTATAGTCATACATAGTCACCGTCTCATAATAAATTCTATAAATATAAAATACCATTTATAGGCTGCAGCTCTGTGTACAGTGCACATGATTTTTGCCATCAAGTTTTAAACAATGACAGCTTTGTGATACTGAATTAAATGAAACTATTTAAGTTAGCTTCACAAGTATTGACAAGCAGGGTAGCAAATCAGTTCCACTTTTCTCTTAGTGCCACTTCAGTCAATTAGTCAATTAAATTTCTAAAGAGCTTAATTGAAGATACTTAGGTCCAAGGGAATGGGAGGTGATTTCAGATTTTTAATGTCTACCACTAGTTGGGATCAAAGTGGCTTAGTCATGCCATGAGTCACCATCCTGTCCCTAAGTCACCCTAAAGCACCTAAACACAATTGAGGTCACCAAAAGACAATTGTCACCTAGATCAGATCTGAGGTCTAGATCATTCTGACCCCAGGTCCTGCTTCCCCCTAATTTCTTCAGTTTATGAATTATCTTCCTGACCCACACTAGATCTCTCTCTTTCCTACTTCATTGACCCTGTGGAAATCAGCCCTGAGCTTCATTCTCTGGATTGCCTCTCTCAGATTTTGCACCAATTATCTTCCAGGTGCTGTAGTCTAAAAGCAAATTAAGGTAAGGTAGAGAAATACTGTGACCACTACATTCCTGACTAGCTATTGTCGCTGTCAAGGAAGGTCACAGAATTATAAGACCTTCCTATGTCAGCATTCCAGTGTCCATTCTTCAGTTCCATGGATTGAGAGGCATGTTCCGTGACAGTGGAGGTTTCAGAGGTAGTGGCTCCCCTAGTGAGGCAGCTGTGCATTTTCCCTCAAGACATTTCTAAAGGCCTAACTTAGACCTCTTTCTTCAATCTCTCTAGTTATTCTTTTAAATATCCAATTGTTTTCTAAGCTCCTGTTTTCTTGTATTAATCCTCTTTCTGCTTAAAATACATAAAGTAATAATCATAAGTATGGTAGATTTTACTGAAAATGACGGAGGAGCAGAGTCAAAATGTGTATGGCACAGAAATGCAATTTCAGACCGAGCATTACACATTAACTTCTATTATTATCTTTGAAACAACCCCCTGTGGCAGTTTTTACTGGATACAAAACCAAGCTTTATACCATCTCACCCTTCCTTTCCAGATTGTTTCTGACTTGCTAAATTCTCCCTAATTGCAAAGAAATTCATGCTAATATTTCCCAACCCCAAACCTAGATCTCAGGTCAAGGTTGTATACATATCCAAACCCACCACAGTGCATAGCAGTTCAGAAGAATTCATGTAACAGGAGCCACTCTTTCTATGGCAGTTTTACTTATATGTAACGACTTTTTCATCCACTAGATAATGATAGTTGATGCAGTAGCCAATGGAATAGGGCTGACATGTCACATGAAAAATTAAAGTGCAACCCAAGGGTGGTGTTATCAGGCAACATCAAAGTTTCACCACCACATGACAAAAACACAGTGTAAGTTTTTAGGGTTAAGACTGTCAGCAGAATGAAGAGCCTGTATCCATCAGCCTGTTTTGTCTCTTTATCTCTCACCTCCAACCCTTGGTTATGAAAATCAATCCTGCCTGGGCACTTTCAATCTGCAATACACAAGTCTTTTTTTTTCAATCCACTGTTATTTTTCCCATTTGTTTTTTAATTGTTATCTTCCCTTATATCCATTCCTTTTTCTCCTTTTGGAATCCCTAGTATCCAGATTTTAGAACTCTTGATGCTGTCCTCCAAATCTCTTGTGTTCTTCCTCAAGATTTTATTCTCTTTGTATTTTTCTATGTTTTGAAATGTGTCTTGCACTTGACCCACCAGGCTGCTAATCCTAGTCTCTATAGTGAATTTCTCTCCTTAATTCATCTGCTCAAATTTTAAATTGAAAAATTACACTTTTTAAGTTTAGGAGTCTCTGTAAATCTATAATAGAATCTCCCTGAGCCTTCTTTAAAAAATATTTTGTTGCAATATGATTATTCTGGTAGTTGTCAGTCTCCTGTAACAGTTTTATTACACAAGAAGCTTTCCCATTGATGGTACTCTCTCACACTCTCTCTCTCTGTCTCTCTCTCTCCTCTCTCTTGCACTTTCTCTCTCTCTCTGTGTGTATATATATATATATGTGTGTGTGTGTGGTTTGTATGTGTATATATGTGTGTGTGGTGTATACATAAATACACATATATATTTGTGTATTTATGTGTGTGTGTGTGTGTATACATATATTACTCTCAGGTACTTTATTAACTCATCACTCTCAGGTACTTTATTAACTCAGTATGAGAAAAGACTCATGGGTATGCAAAGAAAATCACAGCCTATGGGCTGTGAAGAGAGGACTGCTCTACCGGGTCCCCATAGGCTGTGATTTCCTTTGCATACCCATGAGTCTATTCTCATATTGAATTAGTAAAGTACCTAAGAGTGATGAAAACCTGAAAGCAGTAGGAAGTACTACTGTTGACAAACAGGGATGTAAAAATTGGAGACTCTTCAATCCCTTCAGCAAACATTAAGAAGAACTTGATTACTGCTTTCATAGGCAGAGGGAGAAGGCTTAAAGATCAGCAAATCCTCCTAAAATGGCATGTGAGGTGAAATGCTTTGTGGGACATGACTGCCACTCTGCCCCAGAGACAGAGGGGCGAGTGTAGGGGAAGGTTATTGAAAATGAGCTGGTAGTAGTGGTCAGAAAGATAAGCTTTGGTCTTTTTAAAACAAGTCATCTCAGAACTTGATTTTTTTAATTAAAAAATTAATCCTTCCTCTCTTCCCTCCTGTATTTCTTCCCTCCTTTGTTCACTTATTAAAAATACATTGAATACCTTAAAAAATCACATGTGTGGGCTGGCATGGCTTTTCCTCTTGAGGATCCATAGGTCCTAGATGTCCAATATCCTTTTAGGAATAAAAGAGTTCAAATCCTTAGCCCAGGCCAACCTCCAGGCCCAGAACTGAGAATCATCCTAAGCTTGCAGCTTGACAGGGTCAGGGTCTTGCAGGGTCACAAACTCTTCAGTTCAAGCACCTGTCCCCCACTGGAGATGTAGTTGGTGGTTGGGTCAGTGTTTGAAGTGGATATCAGAGCAACAGGGATGTATATTCTGGCCACCATCTCATCAGAATCCTGATAACTATGGGGTAGATGGAAGAGATAAAAACAAAAGCAAAATGCAAGAAGGATTAAAACAGCCAATATTTATTTGTTTTATACTTTATCACTCTCCATAAAAGATTTAATATGACTTACGGCAAAATACATGCAATGAAACAGCAAAATGTAAACAGAGAAAGTCAGAATGAAGCAAAACATAATTTAGAAGAAGAGATTTAGATAAGGAGTAAAATGAAACAGGTAACTTTTATCTAGAGCTAGATCAATGGGCAAATTAGCCAGGGGGTTGCCAGCAACACTGATTTCTAGTGGATAAAAAGCATCACTGGAATAAATTTACTCATTAAGGTAAGTAGAGCCAAGTCAAAAGGCAAAATAGCCCTTACTACACTACTTTACCTTTTGGGATATTTTTTCCTCTGCTTATAGGTAATTTCAGTGAATTAGATGTCAATAAAATCAGCTGAGATTCTAAAACTAAAAAAGCCAGACCTAGGTCTGCTTTGGGAGAATAAGCAAATTAGTTTGTTAAATTTGAAAACTTATACTACTATTCCTTATAAGAAGTCATCTTGTAATTCTATAATTCTATAATATCCCCAAATTTAAAAATTATAAAAGAAGATAGAAAGATAAGAATAGAGAAAATAGAAACTAGTTTGACTAATAACTTTAATTGTATTAATGAATGAATACATAATTCTGTATCTGCTCTAACTGCTTAGAAAAAATATTTCTCCCACATCCACTGTATAAAAGTTTTTAAATATATTTTTTAAATTTCAGTTTGGAAAAGCATCAAGTTATTTAACCTGCCTCCTAAGTTCTAATATCTGTCTGGCCTTACATGTAACACATTCAGTAGTAAGCCTGCTAAAGCATTTCTTCTAACTCAGTTTTACCTTTTCCAGAAACCAGAATATTGACTACAATAATTAGGTCATCCTAGTTCAAATACGTAACTATGACAATACCTAGAATTATTTTGAAATTAATATTGTTTAAAGAAAAAGATTACTTGATTGAATACTATTAATCACACATTTTGAAATAAAAAATCTATACATATTACTGTACTGTAAATGTGAATAATAACAGATACAACTTTATATAAATAATGCTACAATTTCACTCAACACTAAAAGTTTCTTTGCAATAAAGAATTAACATTTACTGCTAAACATGAAAACAGAAGAATAACACCTGCTACCCCAAAAACACACTGAAGCTCATAGCCCACAAACACTATAAAACAACCACACAATCAAGTCTACAAAACAACATGCTACCAACATGATGACGAGATCAAAATCTTACATATCAATACTAATTCTGAATGTAAACAGTCGAAACACGTCACTTAAAAGGCATAGAGTAGCAAGCTGGATAAAAAGACAAGACCAAACTGTCTGCTGTCTTCAAGAGAGCCATCTCACATGTAATGACATACACAGGCTGAAAGTGAAGGGATGGAGAAAGATCTACCATGCAAACAAAAAAGACCAAGAGTTGCTATTCTTATTCCTGAAAAAAAAAAAAAAAAACAGAATTTAAACCAACAACGATTAAGAAAGACAAAGAAGGGTGTTTCGTTTCATAATGGTAAAGGGTTCAATTCAACAAGAAGACTTAACTATCCTAAATATATATGTACCTAATGTTGGAGTACCCAGATTCATAAAAAAAACTTCCTCTTTATCTATGAAAAGACTCAGACAGCAACACCATAATAATGAGAGACTTCAACACCCCACTGACAGTGTTAGAGATCATTGAGGCAGAAAACTAACAAAGAAACTCTGGGCTTATACTTGACATTTGATCAGTTAGACCTAATAGACTTCTTTAGAATATTCCATCCCAAAACCACATAGTATACATTTTTGTCATCTGCACACATGGAACATATTATAAGATTGATCATATGCTCAGTCATATGGTCAATTTGGGATGCAGCTAAAGCAGTGTTAAGAGGAAAGTTTATAGTGCTTTCAAACTTCATCAAGAAGTTCAAAAGATCTTGGGCGAGGTGCAGTAGCCCACATCTGTAACCTCAGCACTTTGGGAGGCCGAGGAGGGCAGATCACTTGAGCCCAGGAATTCAAGACCAGCCTGGACAATATGGTGAAACCCTGTCTCTAAAAAAAAGGCAAAAGAATTAGCTGAGTGTGGTGGCATGTGCCTGTAGTCCCAGCTACTTAGGAGGCTAAGGCAGGAGAATCGCTTGAGCCTGGGAAGTGGAGGTTGCAGTGCACCAAGATCACACCACTGCACTCCATGCACTCCAGTCTGGGTGACAGGAGTGAAACCCTGTCTCAAAAAAAATATATATACAGTTCTAAAGATCTCAAATTAACAATCTAACTTTGTACTTAGAGGAACTAGAATAAGAAAGAACAAACGAAACCCAAAGCTAGCATGCTAAATAACTAAAATTGGAGAATAACTTAATGAAATTGAGAAACAAAAATCCATATAAAAGATCAGTGAAACTGTTAGTTTTTCTAATGGGTAAACAAGATTGATAGACAGCTAGCTAGATTATGAAAGAAAAAGAGAAGATCCAAATAAATACAATCAGAAATGACAAAGATTACAACATCCTACAAGAATGCAAAAGACCTCCAGAGACATTCTGAGCACCTCTTTGCACACAAATTAGAAAATCTAAGGGAAATTGCTAAATTTCTAGATATACACAACCTCCCAAGATTGAACCAAGAAGAAAGTAAAACCCTGAACAGACCAAAAACAAATAGTGCAATTGAATCAGTAACTTAAAAAACCTACCAACAACAACAACAAAAATCCCTAGACCAGATGGATTCACAGCTGCACTTTACTAGATTTACAAAGAAAAACTGGTACCAATCCTACTGAAACGATTCCAAAAAATCAAGGATGAGGGGCTCCCCACTAACTCATTCTACAAAGCTAGCATCCGCCTGATACCAAAATCTGGCAGAAACACAAAGGAAAAAAGAAAACTTCAGACCAATATCCCCAAAGAATATAGATGAAAAAATCCTCAACAAAATACTAGCAAATCCAATCCAGCAGCACATCAAAAAGTGAACAAACCATGATCAAGTAGGCTTTATTCCTGGAATGCAAGGCTGGTTCAACATATGCAAATCAATAAATGTGATTCCTCACATAAGCACAGTGAAAGGCAAAAACATACGATTGTCTCAATAGACACCAAAAAAGTTTTCAATAAAATCCAAAATCCTTTCATAATAAAAACCCTCAACAGATTAGGCATTGAAGGAAAATACCTCAAAATAATAAGAGCCATCTGTAACAAACCCATAGCCAACATCATACTGAGCAGGCAAAAGTCAGAAGCATTCCCCTTGAGAACTGCAACAAGACAAGGATGCCCACTCTCACCATTCCTAATCAACACATTGCCGGAAGTCCTAACCAGAAGAATCAGGCAAGAAAAAGAAATAAAAGGCATCCAGATAGGCAAATAAGGAGTCAAACTATCTCTCCTCACAGACAATAAGATTCTATACTTAGGAAACCCTAAAGATTCCACCAAAAGGTTCCTGTAACTGATAAACAACTTCAGTAAAATTTCTGAATACAAAATCAATGTATGAAAATCAGTAGTATTTCTATATACCAATAATGTTCAAGCTGAAAGTCAAATCAAGAGCATAATCCCATTTACAATAGCCACCAAAAAAAATAAAATACCTAGGATTACATCTAACCAAGGAGGTGAAAGATCTGAACTACAAAACACTGCAAAAGAAATCAGAGATGGCACAAATAAATGGAAAAACACTCCATGCTCATGGAGTGTCAATAGCATTAAAATGGTCACAGCATTAAAAGCATTAAATCAATAGCATTAAAATGATCATTCTATCTAAAGCAATTTACAGATTCAGTGCTATTCCTACCAAACTACCAATATCATTTTTCACAGAATTAGAAAAAAACTATTCTAAAATTCATATACAGCCAAAAAAAGAGCATGAAGAGCCAAAGAATTCTTATGCAAAAAGAACAAAGCTGGAGGCATCACACTACTTGACTTCAAACTACACTACTATAAGGCTACTGTGATCAAAACAGCATGGCACTAATACAAAAAACACACACATAGACCAATGGAATGGAACTGAGAATCCAGAAATAAAGCCACACAGCTGCAACCAAATAATTGTCAACAAAGTGGACAAAAATAAGCAATGAATAAAGGACTTTCTATTCAATTAATGATGGTGGGATAACTGGCTAGCCATATGCAGAAGAATGAAACTGGACCCCTACATTTCACCATCTATAAAAACTAACTCAAGATGGATTATTAAAGATTTAAATGTAGGACCTCAAACTATGAAAATTCTAGAAGAACACCTAGGAAATACCCTTCTCAACATTGGTCTTGGCAAAGAATTTTTGGCTGTCCCCACAAGCAATTGTAGCAAAAACATTGACAAGTGAGGCCTAAATGAACTAAAGAACTTATGCACATCAAAAGAAACTATCAACAGAGTAAACAGACAACCTACAGAATGGAGAAAATATTCACAAACTATGCATCCAACAAAGGTCTAATACCCAGAATGTATAAGGAACTTAAATCAACAAGCAATAAACAAGTAACTTCATTTAAAAATGGACACAGGACATGAATAGACACTTCTCAAAAGAAGATATATAAGTGGCCAGCAAACATGAGAAAATGCACAGCATCAGTAATCATCAGAGAAATACAAATCAAAATTATAGTGAGATACCATCTCACACCAGTCAGAATGGCCATTATTAGAAGTCAAAAAATAGCAGATGCTGATGAGGCTATGGAGAAAAGAGAATGCTTATGCACTGTTGATGGGAATGTAAATTAGTTCAGCCAGCTTGGAGATTTCTCAAAGAACTTAAAACAGAGCTATCATTTGACCCAGCAATCATATTAATGGGTATATACCCAGAGAAAATAAATTGTTCTCCCACAAAGGCACCTGCACTGATATGTTCATCACAGCACCATTCATAATAGCAAATATACAGAGTCAACCTAGGTGCCCACCAATGGTGTACTGGATAAACAAAATGTTGTACATATACAACATGGAATACTACACAGCCATGAAAAGAATGAAATCATTTTCTTTGCAGTAACATGGATGCAGCTGGAGGTCATTATCCTAAGCAAATTAATACAAGAACAGAAAACCAAACACCACATATTCTCACTTACAAGTAGAAGCTAAACATCTTGTATACATGGACCCAAAGATGGGAACAACAGACACTGGGGACTAGCAGAGAGTGGAGGGGCCAAAACACTGCCCAGTGGGTACTGTGCTCACTACCTGGGTGACAGGACCATCCATACCCCAAACATCAGCATCAAGCAACATATAGCCTTGTAAGAAAATCTGCACATGTACCCCTGAATCTAAAATAAAAGTTGAAAGTATAAAAAATAAATGAGTTACATGAAAGCAAAGGCAGAGCTTGAGGAAAAAATAATAATGTTCCTTACCCAGCCTGGCCGAGAGAAGAGACTATGTTTTGGTCTAGTTTAAATTTCTCTCCTTTCAAAGTCTTATATTTGAACCTCTAATACTTTTAGCATGTTATTCTGAGGCTCTGTAACACAGTACAACTTTTTGTATATCAGTCATGCTTCAACAAAGTGATTGTAATTAAATACATACTTTTTTTAATTGAGAAGGAAAAGATACAAGGTTTCTTCAAATGACCGAATCTTTAATAATTGCTTTTGGTGGAAGATGACTTCCTCCAATGTTTTGTATTAAGGTTCATTCCTTTCTTCAAACTTGGCTCTCAACTCTTTGTCTCTTTTCACCATTGTAAATATCATTCTGAACCTCTGTTCTCTGCTTTGGTGTAGAGTCAAGAACTCCTATGATAAGAAAAGACACATTCCTATTGGTGTCCAAACAGGAAACATCTAACTAACCCCAATGGGCACAAAACAGACTGCCATGTCGCTACCTATGAAACACATTTAAATATCCCTATTTGCTAAAATATATCAGAGCTATTAATGTTAAATAATTTAATACCCCAAATCATTTGGGCTGCATACAGAGCTGCAGACCATAAATGTTATTTCGTATTTACAGAAATAAATATTATTTCCTATTTTCTCACTGGCACCCTCATTTGATGGCTGTCACAACCCTGGGAAGCAGGTTAAAAAGACATAGAATTAGTCTCATCTTACAACTGAGGAAACTTGGAGTCTTAAATCTGTAAGTCATGGCAAATTCATAGTCCATAAGGTCAGACAGATCTAGGTTCTAATCGCAGGGCATTCCCTTGAGGTAGGTTCTAAATCTCTATTCACCTTAGCTTCGTCCAACCTCGTAAAACTGTTGTGAGGTTTAAATTAGGTAATGCATATAAAGCACTGGTATGATTCTATCATTTTATTTATTTGTTTGTTAAATAAATAGCATTTTTCTCTCTTTTTCCTCCCTCAAAAAGCTGGATCTAACCACCTGGCCAATAAATGCCAGACTTCATAAGAGCACCCAACTTTTCTGACTCCTGACCAAGTGAGAAATGTATCAACTCAGAGATTAAATCTCCTTTTACATTTATAATTTATGGCTTGCCCATACCATGTGAAAATATCTCCAGCAGAGACATAGAGGCCGACCCATGTTTTGTGCAGCCTGACACAATTTACAAGCTCTTTCTTTATGAAAAGAATACAAAATTGAGGACACAGGATCACGTATAAAAGCACTATTTATTTCGAATGAGAGAAGAAATCACAACAAATTATAAATTTTAAAGAGCTGATTAAAAACTACAACATTATTAAAATCCAGAAAAATAATATAATAAATAATCTTTCACTATTAGACATACCTCTATCATACTTTTTTTCTACATTTTTTGGCTGCATACTTCATATAACAATTTTGAAACATTTTTCAAACTTGGAGATTACTGGAATAATTAGGTCATTCATCTAGCATAGTTGATTGTTTTACTGTATTTAAGGTTATAGTACGTGCTGTTTGGTCTAGAACCGCAAAACTGCATTAAGGTAAGAGATGTCAGATACTCTAAGGTGCCATCTGATGCATTAGAATGTATAAAATAAGCAAGCTCACCAGTTTGTCATACTGCTATGGATATGTCTCCTATAAATACAAGAATCCTGGTAAGTTCTATTTCATGTGATAACCATCAAAAAAAAAAGACGGGATGTTACTAACTAGAGATAACTTGGGCTTTCATTAGTCATCAATATGGACTGGATTCTCCACTTACAATTTTACATGTCTGAAAATTGGGAGAATTTTTCATAGAGTAGTTTCTAGCTCCACATATTTGAAGCTTTGCTTCACTTTCACCTCTCTTATCAACATACTTCAGGAGCAAGGTTTATATCAGGATACTGCACCCTTAGGTCATGATGGTGAATGAGTCACATGATAAGCACAAAGTGTGTTTTCCTGTGAGCTACGTGCATACTGGGATATCTAGCAATAACTTAGATATACTCTGAAGTGATTGCAAACCATGCAAATTATGTCATAAATCTTTTTAGCCAGATCCAAACAATGCATGCAATGTCTCTAATACCACACACCATAACAGGAAGTATGTCCAAGGAAATTTTAGAGTGGAGAGAGTAGTCCTAACTAATTGCTGTTAAAATCTCTTCTGGGTTTTCTTGTTTAATATTACAAAACCTGTGACCATTAGAAGTCATTGCCAGGGCACCTCCTTCCAGGGCCTTAGATGGGATGAGTGCAAGCGAGTAGCCCTGAAGCCTCCCTCAGCTTCGTACCCTTCACAGAAAATCCACCTCAGGGAGAGACCCAATCCAAAGCAATGTCAGGGGGCCAATTTAATCAGATGCTTCAATTTTTGCTTATAAGGGAGAAATATGTTTTAGAACTCTCAAGCAATTTAAAAGGATGAGATAGCTTCTTACAAGGACTACCTTCACCCCGCTTTTAATTGACTCTTCTTTGATCAGTTTTGTTGCTTTGAAAAACTTGCAGAGTTTCTAGGCAAAGAAGAGCAAAGAATTTATAGCAAGAAAGAAAAAATGTCTACTAATTGATTGTTCATTCCATGACATTTTGACACTGGAGCATATTTTTAACATTTGAGCTATAACCCCAACTTTGCCCCATGTTGTATTACCATTTCAGATTCACTTTGGCACTGAAAACACCAAGCTAAAATTTAGTTTCTGGGTCCACTAGCCACAGGTTGTAACTATTCTGACTTATTTTCATTCCACTGTGGATCTTTCAGTAGTCACTGAGCTAATTCAATTTTCAGGCCCATTAATCTGGAACTTCAAATCGAAAGAGAGACCGTGCATCTCCCTGATGGGTTTGCAGAGCAGCAGCAACTGTAGCAGCCCCATCTTAAAACTTCTTTTGCTGCCTACAGATCAAGTGTGTTCAGCATACCATTTCCCAGGGCCCCTGACTTGTATACAGATGGCTCCTTAAGTGCCAGAGGGAAGGGAAGAGAAAGGAAGAAAGAGATGATAATACTTGTCATTTCCTCATTGTTTGCAACTGATACTAACAAGACCCAGCCTTCCAACAATGCAAACTAGACAGTGCTTATTTTTGAAATCCCCATGCCTCCCACTCTCAGTCTAACTTTGGTTTGAGCTCTCAGTTTCCACTAGAGCCCAGAGTTCTCTTTCCTTGGTGTCCTTTTCCTCTCCAGTAATCTGTTTTTCAGAAAGATGCCTGATTTAAAAGAAAACAAAAACAAAATGCCCACACGTACATATCCCAGGTAAAAATGAATACAGTTTAGTGTCCCACCCACACAGTGTTTGTCAAAACCACCTATTCATCAAAATCTCTCACGGAGTTTTTTTAAAAATACCAATACCTGGGCTTCTATCCAGATTAATAAAAATGGACACTGGGGGTAGAGCCCAAGTGTGGGGATTTTTCTAATAGTTCCCCGGGTGAATCTCTTTTGTTATTTTATTTTTATAGGGAAAAGAAAGCATAAGGAAAATCTGGAACTCCCATTTGTATAATTTCAGGCAACAGAAAGCAAGGGAGGTATTTCAGGGACCAGATGGAAGAGGGCTTTCCCAGCAGCCTTAAAATCCCTTAAGTAGTCAATTTACTTCTCCCATTCATAGTTAGAGCCTGCTCTGAAAACGCTTCATGTATATCAACCAAATTTGAATTAAGCTGACTGAAGTGCCAATATGTTATAACATTTCAGACCCACAAAATCTATAAAAAATAACTTTCATATTTCAAATATGAGCTTCATCGACTGAATTTTGTGCATATCACAAATAGTGACAGCAGATGTCATTAGAGGACAGAAATTTTCTATTTCTCTGTCAATGTTGTTTATTAACAAGCACTGGGTGAGCAGCCATTGTAGATAACATGTACTGGTAACATGTTAGGGATTAAGAAATAATTACAGAGATAATCCCTCCTTAACTATAAAATCCTATGATGCTGTGGTACATCTCTTCTCTAAATGGTGAACACTTTAGAGAGGCCTCTTATGAGATGGGCTTTTTCAGGTATCAAAGACAAATTATTCCTCCACAGTGTTCCCTTTCTGATCTGCCTGAAATTCACATTCCTTCTATGAGTCAATGTAAGTTTCATGGACTTGACTTGGAAAAGATGACACATTACACTGTAGCAGCTACTGACCCTTAGCCAATATTGATCACCAGATCACTTAGAACAAATCCACAAGGCTTAGGACCTTGAGCAGGGACGTTCTGTAGGGAAAGAAGAGATTAGGAAATCCAAGCCTTGATGAGACAATGAGAGCTGCAGGCCAGGAAAAAAACACAGATGCCCAATAGAGAAGAGAAGAGCTGCAAGAGAATGGTCACAGAGAGGACAGGAGGTGGAGGGCAAAAGAAATGAACATCACAGTCTCTGCCTACTTCTCAGTGTTGCCTTAGAGAAGTCTAGACCCTGTGAATTCTGGACAACCTGTTACTGGTTTGGACCCTTTGGCTTTATGGCCATAACTTTACATTGATTGTTCTCCACCAGTTTCGCCCGTCTCCTTGCAACCTGACTCCCAGCTTTTGTACCCACTCTTGCCTGCTCCTGGTTTCTGCCTAACCCCACCTTCCACCAGCTTCCCACACCACTGCCTGACCCTACATGGAGGGTAGGATGATGCTTTTTTTAAAGAAAGGTCAAAAGCAAACTATGGGTTATTGTGAAGCAGAAAGATATGTGGAGATAACAGTATTACTAAGAATTGCTTGTGTACTAATGAATAGGCAATGTATAACATTTTGCTCTTCTATGCTGTAATGTCAGCAGTGAGCACCAAGTAAGTGTTCCCTTTTTTTTTTTTTTTTTTTTTGAGACAAGAGTCTCGCTCTGTTGCCCAGGCTGGAATGCAGTGGTGCAATCTCGGCTCACTGCAACCCCTGACTCCCGGGTTCAAGCAATTCTCCTGCCTCAGCCTCCTGAGTAGCTGGGACTATTGGCACGCACCACCACGCCCAGCTAATTTTTTTTGTATTTTTAGTAGAGACGGGGTTTCACGGTCATAGCCAGGATGGTCTCAATCTCCTGACTTCATGATCCACCCGCCTCGGCCTCCCAAAGTGCTGGGATTACAGGCTTGAGCCACCGCACCTGGCCAAGTGTTCCCATTTTTAAGTACATATTGCTATATTCTTCCCGTTTCTTCTTCCCTTCAATGGGATATTCTTGTACTCTTCTCTGTCTAGAAAGAGAGTATTTAAAGCACATGTGAAAAACACATGTAACCTCCAGTCTAGATGGAAAAGATCTGGGTGGGAGCTTCTTGCTGCTTAGTGGCTAAGGCATGAGTCCAAAAGAATGCTATTACTATTTTTATGTAGAATTTCTGAGGCTTACGTAATCTGAAAAATTATGGGACACACATATATAAGGTATTTTTATGATGTTGCTTTTACAGTCTACTTCCTTCAAGAAAAATTTTCATTTGTTAGAATAACTGCCTCTGTATCTTAAGATACATCCCAGTCTGTTAAGGCAACTACAACAAAACAGCATAAACTAAGTGGCTTATAAACAACAGAAATTTATTTATCACAGTTCTAGAGGCTGGGAAGTCCAAGATCAAGGTGCTGGCCATGTTCACTGAGGGCTAATTTCCTAGTTCATAGATGGTGCGTTCTCCCTGTGTCCTCACATGGTAGGAAGGGGCATTAATGCCTCTGGGGTCTGTTTTATAAGAGCACTAATCACATCAATTAGGGCTCTGTTCTTATGACCTAATCCCCTCCCAAAGATCCCACTCCCTAATACTATCACCTTGTGAGTTAGGATTTCAGCCTATGAATTTGGGGTTGGGAAGACAAACATTTAGATTATAGCAGATGTCATTATAATTAGACATTTAGAAAACCTGATTGTGAATGTCAGAAGACATACTCTCTGCTCCAACCAAGAGCATTAAATCACACTTGCTTTTCGTTCACTGCATGTAACTTGTATAAAATAAAGTTACTTTGAATGCACTGTAAAGTAGACCTAGAGGCCTAGATTGGTGAAACAAGCTGAATTCAGAAGTTGCCAATCAATGGTAAATGATGTTGAAAGAGATTTTAAAATGAAGAATTGGACATACACCCTGGATATTATGAAGGCATAAATAATTATATCCCAAATGAATCAGACCCAAATTATTGACTTTTTCAAATTTAATTATAAATACAAATGATTTGGTGACAATCTCATTGATATTTAAGGTTCCTCTAGCTTTTAAAAAATAACACTATAAAAATGTTTGCTTTTTTTATAGGAATAGCTGGCTCAAATAAAATAATAGTAATTCGATAAAAAAAGAGTAAGCTTTCAAGGGGAAAATGAGTGGTGCAAATTTTCTTTTTCGATGGTTATTTGAATTAGCTATGGAAGATATTGAAACAATAAGACTTTTTCTGCAGGCAGCAAAGATAATTGGCATATATTAAAAAATAATTCCTAGTATGTCATCTGAATAAATATAGAACAGTAAAGCCAAGTCTCAAATATTTTAGTAGGTAGTCTACTTTATAGACTTTCCCTAATTTGATTTAGACCGTTAATTAAGGCCAAAGGTATTATACTATTTTGTTTAAATATAAGGAGACTCAATAAAATGTCAGCCAATGAAGTGTCCCTACTGTGATGGGATTTCACTAAGGATAAACACCCAGGATTAAGATGAGTTAGTGAAGGGGGTTTTCAATCAGGCATCAGATTTGGTCCAGGAAACAGAGTCGAGATAAAAGCATCATCAGTGATGGGTCTATTTCATTTGTTCATTCAATGAATGTTTTTGTGTAGTTACTATGAGTCTAGCATTGTGCTAAGTTCAGAGGACACAGTGGTGGCCAAGACAGACTTAGCAGAACTTACTCTCTAGAAAGCAGTCTTCAGTTTGATGTATCATAGCTCTGAGAGTGCAGGATCACTTTTCAATAGGTACATGGGCTGGGGTGGTTTTAAGAATATCAGTTTCTAGATTTTCAACATCCATATGTACTTCATGAAAATTGTGCCGTCTGAGAATCTGACTGTGGTCCAGACATCATGCTGGCTCTCTTTCTGCAACTCCTATTTCATGACCATCTTTCTCCTACCATATGAAAAAAAGGTATAACTCCCTCCCATCTCAAATTGTACTATATGCCTATGTAGCAAGACCATGGAGAGAACTGTGGGATATAACATGTGAGGACATGAGTGGTCATTCACATCTCTGCTTTTTCCAGCAAACATTTAGGAACTGCCTCTTATGTGCCAGGCACTGTCCTAGGAACTAGGAAAGTACAAAACAATCAGCTGTGCTCACTTTCCTCAAAGAAAAGGCAAACTATTACAAAAGACAAATATGTTAAAGTTATTAAAATAAAATGTGATGAAAACTAGAGTAGAAACATTATTTGAAACAATTCATAATGGCATGGAAATAACTGTTAATTGCTTGTTATATCTCCCTTAAATTTTATCAGAAATTGTAATATTAATTTATACCTACTTGTGTATTACAGTTTTAAGAAAGTAATAAAGACATTTGGACAATGGAATCTTCATCGCCTTCCACCATTTCATTTACACAACTCTAAGTGCAAGGTTCCTTTCAATCAAGAAACGTCTGTAATAAATGTCTCCACCTTCCACTCAGTTTTACCTCTCAGGGTGACACAGAAAAAAACTTCACTCAGTGGATTATAAATATCAGAGTCTTCTATAGGTTTTCCTGTTATGAATTAGCTCTACTCAGCCTTCTGAATTTGGGAGATAATGTAAACAGAATAAAACGTAAAGAAGAGAAGGTGGAAAATGTCTATTTTCCTAACACAACCATCTTTATGGCTGCCTAGTTGCCTGAAGCCCCATAGAGATGACCTTTTATTTATTCATTCATTCATTCAACAACTATATATTAACTGCTTACTATGTGCCATGCACTATCCTAGGCACTGGAATTACAGAAGTAAAAGAATAAAAATAAAAAATCTTTGACCTCCTATAATTTTACATCCTTGTGGGGAAAGATCAAATATTAAAATTTTAAAAACAGCATGCTAAAACCATTAAATTGATGGAATGTTGATGGAATATTAAAGAGAAATGAATACTATGAGAAAGATAAAACAAGCAAAGAGAATATTGGGCTGGTAAACAGAGTTCAATGTTAACTAGTGTGGTTAGGATAGACCTTCCTGAGAAGGTGACATTGAGCAAAGACCTAAAGGAGGTGAGGAAAATGAGCCAGGAAGGCAACTGAGGAAAGAGAGAACAGCAACACCAAAGCCCCTAAAGTGAAAGTATTTTTAGCGCATTCAAGGAACAGCAAAGAACCAGAGATGCTAGAGTGAAGTGACCATAGAGAACATAAAAGTGGAGAAGGTCAGATAAGCTAAGGGAGTCCAGAGTGAGCAGGGCCTGTGAAGACATGACAATGCTGATCCATTTTTACTCTCATCAGATGGGAAGCCACTGAGGCTTTCAGCAGAGAAGTGATATAATGGGACCTATGTTTTAAAAGGGATGGTTTTAACTTCTCAATTAAGAATAGACTGTATGGAGCGAGAGTGGAAGAGAGGCCAGTGAGAAGGTATCTTAGCCTGGTTTTCCCAAAAGCAATGCCTGAGACAGTAGCTTACCCACAGGTAGCTCGTTGTGTAAAGTACAATAATCACAGGAAGAGAACTGGA